>NC_000019.10:38149964-38452995 GCF_000001405.40 Homo sapiens | reverse complement strand
TGGCGGTTGCGCAGGCTTCGCAGCTTGCTCTGCTTCTCCTCGTGCTGCAAGTCCTCGGAGGGAGGCTCGAAGTAGATGATGAGGTCCTGCAGGCTCAGGATAACGCCCTCGATGGGCAGCGCCGTGCCAGCGGGTGGCCCCGAGCCCCGTGGCTTCCCGCTGAAGCTGTCCAGGCTCCTACAGGGACCTCGCAGCTGTCAGCCACGGCTGGGAGCGCTAACTGCCGCAACGTCACTGCCGCAACCTCACTCCCGCAAGACTCCCCCAGACCCACCCGTTTTACAGAGAGGGAGACCGAGACGCAGAGAGGGAAAAGCATTTGTCCGAGGTCACACAATGGCCAAGGGCAGAGCTGGGACTGGGACTCGCTCCTGTGTAGGTACAGGGGGGTCCCGGAACTCAGGGATGGAGAGGTCCAGGGTCCAGGCTCTGGGTGTCAGGGGTGTGAAAGTTGGGTGATGATCAGGAATGTGATCATGGTTGTCAAGGTCAGATTAGGGGTCAAGTGTACAGAGGTCAGGAGTTTAGAGGTTAGGGGTCATGTGTATATTATTGTTATTATTTTTTGAGAAGGGTCTCGCTCTGTCAGTGAAGCTGGAGTATAGTGGCTCACTGCAGCCTCTGCCCCCTCGGCTCAAGCAATCCTCCTTCCTCAGCTTCCCATGCAGCTGGGACTACAGGCACGTGCCACCACACCTGGCCAATATTTTGTTATTTTTTTTATAGAGACAGGGTTTCACTATATTGCTCAGGCTGGTCTCGAACTCCTGGGCTCAAGCGATCTGCCCGCCTCAGCCTCTCAAAGTGCTAGGATTACAGGCATGAGCCACTGTGCCCAGCCTAATTTTTTTTTTTTTTTTTTTTTTTTTGGTAGAGGCGGGGTCTCCCTATGCTGCCCAGGCTGGTCTCAAGCTCCTGGGCCCAAGCGATCCTCATGCCTTGCCCTCCCAAAGTCTTGGGATTACAGGTGTGAGCCACTGCGCTTGGCCCATGTATATGTTAGACAAGGGTGTGGGCAACAGAGGTAGAGATGAAAGAGGCCAAGTGTATGGATGCCCGGAGCATGGGACAGCACAGGAGTCACCCCAGCAGGGAGGGCAGGTTGCTCACTTGATGAACTGGTTGTATAGGCCATTGGTGCTGTGGATCATGCGGGCGGCCTGGGACTCCTCCTGCTGGCAGCGGGTCAGCGACAGTGCGTCGTCCATGTGGCCCTCCTGGTGCAGCATGGCCTAGGAGTGGGGAGACAGAGGTCTGGAGTGGGCCCAGCCACCCAGGGCCATGCCCCCAAGACGTCTGTCTAGACTTGAGTTCTGCACTTGCCCCCTCCTCCCTGCTCTGCAGAATCTCACTGCAAATTCCTCCTCATTTTTCTGTCCCCCGTCATCTGTCTCCTCTGTGTCTTTGATTCTCTCTCTCCTCTCTGTCTCTCTCTGTCCCTGTTTTTGGTTTTGTCTGTCTTTGTCTCTCTATCTCTCTCACCTCTGTCCCTGCCTCTCCCTCTCTATCTCTCTATCCCTATCTCCTTCCTGTCTCTGTCTCCAGGCCAGACCCTTTCCACCTGTACCTACTGCTGACTTAACATTCCCCCCGACCAGAAAGCTCTAACCCCCAAATTGAACCTGTCCCAGATAGAATGCCAGACCACCTTTCCACGAGGTGAGACCATCATGGCTGCCAGCTTCACCCCAAGCCGACCTCCCCAGAACTCATCCAGTCTGCGGCTGTAAACACCATCCACCTGCTGATGATGCTCACGTGTCCCCACTTTGGACATGGCCCAGGCCCCGTCTCTACGCCCTTGGCTCATGTATTCAACTACAGGCCTGTTTTTGCAAACGAGTGCCTCCCCAAGGATTCCTACTTGTCCATTCAGCAAGGCTGTAGTAAGTGGCTCTGTTCTAGGCACTGGCAGTAAAGCCTAAGATCCCTGTCCTTCTGAGCCAACACTGACTGTCCCCTAACTTGGTTGATGGCACTGATACAAGAGGTAGAAAAAAATTATTTAGGCAGAGAGTAAGGGCAACAGAGTCCTCGGCAGAGTTTCCTTTCTAACGGAAAGCAGCCCCCAAAATAATTTCTTTTCTAACAAAGAGCAGCCTGGAAAATCGAGCTACAAGCTTGCATGGGGGAATGTGCCGATAGAAAAGGTATACCTGGGGCTACGCATGTCCAACATGGAGGCTCCATCTTCCCTTTATTTAGTTATTTATTTATTTATTGTTTCCACGTTGTACAGAAAAGGAATGGGCAACATGGCCAGCTCAGGCAGAGGACCCGCTTGTACAATAAAAGCTTAGGGTGGAGGCAGCCAGAAATTTGTGCCCTATGCAAATGGCACAACTGGTCCAACCAGTCTTTTGCACCCTAGGTAAATCAGATACCACCTCCCCACCAGCTCATCTGTAAAGCCCCCTGCATTTCACCATGGAACCCCCTGCATTTCAACCCATTTTTCTGGGACCCTTCTCTGCAGTAGAGAGCTCCTTCTTTCGCCTATTAAATGTCCCCTCTTAACCTCACTCTTTGTGTGTCTGCGTCCTTGTTCTCTGTGGCTGTGAGACCACAAACCTTGGGTGATACTCCAGACAATGAGGCTGTTTCAGCACTTCCATCCTTCCAGTTGCTTGGGGCAAAAAATCATGGCATCATCCTCAACCCCTCCCCTTCTCTCACCCCACAGCCAATCTGTCAGCAAATCCTGTTGGCTCTACCCTCAGGACCCCACCAGAATCTACTACTCTTCCCAACTCCACAGTCCCCTCCTGGTCCTGTCCACTGTCATCTCCCATTTGTAACATCATGGCAGTCTCTTCTCTGGTCTCCCTGCTCTGGCTCTGTCCCCTGACCGTAGTCTGTTCCCAGAGACAGCCTAAGAATTCTGTGATCCTGCGTCAGGTCACTTCCCTGCCCTGCTCAAAATCTCCTGTGAGCCCATCTCACTCAGGATAAAAACTAGAACCTGGCCAGGAGCAGTGGCTCACACTTCACTTTAATCTCAGCACTTTGGGAGGCTGAGGCAGGAGGATCACTTGAGCCCCAGGAGTTTGAGACCAGCCTGTGTAATATAATGAGACCTCGTCTCTACAAAAAACAAACAAACAAACAAAACTAGACCTCTCCCATGGCCCACAAGGCCTCACACGAGCTGTTCCCATCCCCTCTCTTTCCTCACCAACCACTACTCCAGCCTGCTCACCCTGTTCCACACTGTGGCTTCTTTCTGCTACTGCAACAAGCCAAGCTCATGTTAACCTCAGGACCTTTGCACATGCTGTTCCTGCTGCCAAAAATAGTTTTCCCACTCCTTAATTGTAAAACTATGTACTTCACTAAAGGCAGTTTGTTCACAATTTCTGAGCACTGGGAGGGCAGGGAACAGGTCGCTACAGCTCATCTATTTTCTGCACACACAACCAGAACAACGCGGGTACTCAGTAATTGTTTGTTGAAAGTTATTCTCAGTTGGTCATTATCCATCTTTTTCTCACTCTCTCTGTTTTTGTTTTTGTTTTGTTTTGTTTTTGTTTTTCTGAGACGGAGTTTCACTCTTGTCAGCCAGGCTGGAGTGCAATGGCACGATATTGGCTCACTCCCAACCTCCACTTCCCAGGTTCAAGCAATTCTCCTGCCTCAGCCTCCTGAGTAGCTGGGATTACAGGCAGCTGCCACCACGCCTGGCTAATTTTTGTATTTTTAGTAGAGACAGGGTTTCACCATGTTGGCCAGGCTGGTCTCAAACTCCTGACCTCAGGTGATCCAACCGCCTGGGCCTCCCAAAGTGCTAGGATTACAGGCATGAGCCACCACGCCCGGCCGTGTCTCTGTTTCTCTGTCTCTATCTTTCTCTATTTCTCTGTTTCCATGCCTCTTTATCTCTGCCTTTCCCTGTCTGTCTACAGATTTCTGCTCTCTCTCTCTCTCCATGTAGATATATCCCTTTGTCTTTTTTGCTGTTTCTCTCAGTCTCAGTTTCTCTCCCAGTCTCTATCTTTCTCTCAGTCTCATCCTCAAACTCCCAAGGTCTCAAGCACCACCCCTCAGTACCCTCCTGCACCCCATCTCACTCTGTCACCCAGGCTGGAGTACAGTGGCATGATCACCAGCTCACTGCAGCCTTGACCTCCTGGACTCAAGCGATTCTCCCACCTCAGCCTCCTGAGTAGCTGGGATTACACCCACCTTCTTCTTGAGCACGCCGAGCCGCAGGGCCTTGGGGTCTGGAGCAGCATAGGTGAGCCACAGTCCTGAGGCCACATGCTGCACGAAGCACAGTGACTCCCCGTACTTGATCTCAGGGGGGCCCATGCCCTCCACATCCCGCTTGGGGGCCACATCCAGCTTCTCCTACAGGGGCAGGGGACACAGGTCAGCCTCCTCTGCCTGTGTGTTTAGCAGGGGAGCCCCCCTGAGGGACTGCAGAGTGCAGGCTGGGCTGGGACTGGGGGCTTCAGGTGAGGGAGGGCGCCACAAACCCCACTGACCTTGGAGATGCGGAAGCAGAAGGAGGTAGCCTTGGTGTGAGCCTTGCTGGCGTCAACCACCACCAGGCCCTGGTCCTCGGTGAGCGCTAGGTACTGCCCGGTAGTGACATGCCGGACTCGGAGTGGCTGGCCCCAGCGCAGGTGGCTCCCACTCCAGCTGTGGAGGGTGAGAGCCAAGGGGAGTCAGAGGACCCCCCAGTTCTCCCATGGACATTACAGTCTTTTCTTCTTTTTCTTTTTTTTACAGAAACCAGGTCTTGCTATGTTGCCCAAGCTGATCTTGAACTCCAGGGCTCAAGCAATCCTCCCACCTCGGCCTCCCAAAGTGCTGGGATTACAGGCATGAGCCACTGCACCCGGCCTGGACACTATAGTCTTGGTCCAAACCTCCTCAAGCCCCGAACCCTCTTCCAGTGTTCCTCAAACCATCTTAATTAGGACCCCTAGTCCTCCCTTAGGAACCCCAATCCTCTCTCAGGCCTTCACAGCTTCCTCAGGGCTTCCCAAATGTCTCCAGTGCCCTCGTTTTTCCAGACCCCTAAATTCCCCCATCATTTTACTCAGGGCCCCCAATCTCTCCCTCAAAAACCCCCCAAACCTCCTTTTCCCACAGGACTCCAGAGAGACTTCATTTTTTATTTTTGTTTTGCTTGTTTTTTTTTTTTTTTTTAAGGCAGGGCCTCACTCTGTTGCCCAGGCTGGAGTGCAGTGGCACAATCTCACCTCACTGCAACCTCTGCCTCCCAGGCTCAAGTGATTCTCCTGCCTCAGCCTCCCGAGAAGCTGGGATTACAGGTGCGTGCCACTACCGCCTGGCTAATTTTGTATTTTTAGTGGAGACGGGGTTTCACCATGTTGGCCAGGCTGGTCTTGAACTCCTGACCTCAAATGATCCACCTGCCTCGGCTTCCCAAAGTGCTGGGATTACAGGTGTGAGCCACCGCCCCCGGCCTTTGTTTTTGTATTTTTTTGAGATGGAGTCTCGCTCTGTCGCCCAGGCTGGAATGCAATGGTGCAATCTCAGCTCACTGCAACCGCCACCTCCTGGGTTCAAGGGATTCTCCTGCCTGAGCCTCCCCAGTAGCAAGGATTACAGGTGCCCACCACCACACCAGGCAAATTTTTGTATCTTTAGTAGAGACAGGGTTTCACCACGTTAGCCAGCCTGGTCTGGAACTCCTGACCTCAAGTGATCCACCTGCCTCGGCCTCCCAAAGTGCTGGCATTACAGGCGTGAGCCACCACGCTTGGCCTCTTTTTGTTTTTGTTTTGTTTGTTTGTTTGTTTGAGACAGGATCTTGCTCTGTCACCCAGACTGGAGTACTGTGGCAGGATCTCAGCTCACTGCAGCCTTGACCCGCTGGGCTCGAGTGATCCTCCCACCTCAGCCCCACAAAGTAGCTGAGACTAAAGGTGCACACCACCACACCCGGCTAATTCTTTATTTTATTTATTTTATTTTATTTTTTTTGCAGAGACGGGGGTCTCATGATGTTGCCTAGGCTGGTTTTGAACTTCTGGCCTCCAGTGATCCTCTTGCCTCAGCCTCCCAAAGTGCTGGGATTACAGGCATGAAGTCACCACGCCTGGCCGAGATTTTCATCTCTCTCTCAGGCTGCTCTGATTTTCCCTCGAGACCCTTCAGTCTCTTTATCAGATCTTCCCTCAAGACCTTTTCTGTCCTCCCAGCCTGCCAGGTGACCCCAGCCTCTCCCTGGTCTCTCCCCATCTTCCCCGCCCTACCTGATTCTCAGTGGCTCCAGCCTCCAGAGGGAGCGGGCATGAGTGCACACAGCTCCCCCCTCATAGTAGACAAGTCTGGGGACACAGAAGAGAGTGAAGTCAAGGGTTCAGCTCCCCGGAATCTGGTCCCTAATCCTACTCATAGGGTCCCAGCCCTCCACGTCCACCCCTAGACCCCAGGCCCTCTCGTCCACAGCCCAGACCTGCGCTGGTCATCACTGTCAGCAGGGGAAATGGTCAGACACTCATCCATATGTCCATGAAAGAGGCGGAGGACGTGACCTCCCGTCACGAAGCCTGGAGAGGAGCAAGGGAAGTTGGTCAATGGGAGGCTGGAGCCCCAGGAAGACCAGGAGCCAAGATGAAGTCAGGGGCCCTGCTCCTCCCCTGGGGGAACCTGAGGGCTGAGTTTGGGGTTTTGCAGTTGGAGGTCTGAGTTTCAGGGTATTTTCAGGCCAAGGTTGAGGCCTGAAGTGGGGATATGAGACTTGGGGTCTGAAGCTGGGCACCTAATTTGGGGGGTCTGGGTCTGCAGAGCTGAGGCTGGGGGAGTTGTGAGTCTGTCATTTAAGGTTCTGAGTTTGGACTTTTGAGGTTGGGGTCAGAGTGTGTGTGTGGTGAAAGGTGGAGGTCTAATGTTCACTGGTGTTGGAGTCTGAGTTCTAGGGTTGAGGTTTGGCCTCTGGGTTTAGAAGGGTGATGGTTGGGTCTGAGGCTGGGTTCTGGAGTTAGGGCCTGAATTTTGAGGGTTTTTTTGTTTCGTTTTGTTTAGTTTTGTTTTTAAGACAGAGTTTTGCTCTGTTGCCCAGGCTGCAGTGCAGTGGTGCAATCTTGGCTCACTGCAACCTCTGCCTCCCAGATTCAAGCAATACTGCCTCAGCCTCCCAAGTAGCTGGGGCTACAGCCGCCCGCCATCATGCCCAGCCAATTTTTGTATTTTTAGTAGAGATGGGGTTTTGCCATGTTGGCCCAGGCTGGTCTCGAACTCCTGATCTCAAGTGATCCACCCGCCTTGGCCCCTCAAAGTGCTGGGATTACAGGCGTGAGCCACCGCGCTTGGCCTTGAGTATTGATTTTGGAGGCCAGAAGCTGGAAAGTGAGGTTGGGGATCTGAGGTTACAATCTAGGGTTTGGAAGTCTGAGCTTTGGGGTATGACGTAGGAACGATCTGAGCTTTGTAGTTAGAAGTTGATGAGTCTGAGTTTCAGGGTCTGAGTTTGAGGGTCAAAAACCATCTGTGGTTTGAGTCCCAGCGTGGGTCTGGTTTAGGACTCTGAAGTTTGGGGTATGAGACTTGGGGTCAAAGTATTGGGCCATGCCTGGAGTCTTAGCATGGGAATCTGAATTGGGAGTTTGCTTTGGTGGATTTTGGTTTTTGGGATTTGAAATTGAAGTTTGGAAGTCTGAGGTTGGAGGGCTGAAGATTGGAGTCTTGGTTTGGGGATCTGAGGTTTGAATTTGGGGGTCTGGGTTTGAGGGGCTGAGATCATAGTCTATGCTTATTGTCTAAGGAGTTTAATTTTTTTTTTTTTTTTTTTTTTTTTTTGAGGCAGAGTCTGGCTCTGTCACCCAGGCTCCTCTGCCACCCAGGTTCAAGCAATTCTCCTGCCTCACCCTCCTGAGTAGGTGGGATTACAGGCACATGCCACCACACTCAGATAATTTTGCATTTTTAATAAAGATGGGGTTTCGCCATGTTGGCCAGGCTGGTCTCAAACTCCTGAACTCAGGTGATCCACCTGCCTCGGCCTCCCAAAGTGCTGAGATTACAGGCGTGAGCCACCATGCCCGGCCTTTAAACAAGCTTTAAACTTGATGTTTTAAGATTTGAATCTGAGTTTAGGAGCCTTGGGGGCTAATACTTTGGGGTCTAAGTTTGGGAGCCTGATATTTAGTTCGGGGTTTGGGGGGGTTCTGAGCTCTGGGGGTCTGGATTTGGGGTCAGCTGGAGATCTAAGTGTGAGAGCCATAATTTGGAGATCTAGGTTTGAGGTCTGAGGTTCCAAGGCTCCATTTGGGTATGCCTGAAGGGCAACATTAAGGGTCTGTTTTGGGGGGATCTCCATTTAGGGGGAGGTCTGGGGCCCTCACCCTCTTCGCAGCGGGAGCAGATGGGGTTCATGTTCCATAGTGTCTGCATGAAGGAAGCGTCAACCTGGAGCTCCCCACTGGCGGTCGACAGGTGCTGGGGGCCACCAGGATGCGGCAGTCAGAGACGATTGCAGGGGTGGGCGAGAGTCCCAGCGTCAGAGGCCAGAAATCAAGGGTGGATACCCGGAAACCGGCAGATGGGAGACAGAGTCATCAGAGATCACAGATCAGGAAATGATCAAGTCGGGCAATGGGAGGTCAGAAATCAGAAAATTGGATGTCAGGGGTCAGGAAATGGGAAATTGGGAGTCAGGACCTTGGGGGTGGGAGATCAGCCAGGCAAACCCATGGTGAGAAGATGGGGACCATCCCATGCGCCCCCAGACCTGGGAGCAGGAGGAACCGCAATGGCTCACCAGGTAGCGCTCGGAGGAGACACTGACAAGGATGATGTCATCCCCAACGCGGACCTTTTCTCCTTCAGACCTCTGCTTGGAGGCTGGGTGCATGGTCCACCAGCAAGCCTCTCCTATGGGTGGGGATGGAATGGGGGTGGCTGTCAGATGATGGCTTCCCAGAATGCTCTTCCCCAGGGCTCTCCCTCCACCAGGCCTCCCGGGCCCTTGGCCCACAACTCTCCTATCACTGCCACCAACTCTCTGCCTAACAGTTCCCCGTTCCTGACTTCAGACTCTCTGCCTAGTGGTCCCCAACGTGTGTCTGTCTCCCTGTCTGGACTGTACCGCAGACTCTCTGCTACGAAGCCCCCATTCATGTCCCCAGGGTAGTCTCATGCTTGCCTTGGCGTTCTGCAGACCTTCTACCCCCTGAATCCCTGCTGCGGGGCCCCTTCACACCCCCATCCCCTCCAGCTGCTGCACCTGTTGCGTCCTCCTGCAGTCCCACATCGAAGGCCAGCTTGTCAGTCATGGAGCGGGAGGTGGTGAGGCAGCTCAGATACTAGGGTTGTAGAGGGAGGTCAGCCTCCTTCTAGCAGGCCCCACATGCCCTGGCCCCTGCCCACGCCCACCGAGGTTGCACTCACCATGCGGCTGTGTGCATGCCGGAGCAGGATGGCATGGCCATACAGGAGCGTCCTGTGTCCCCCGCCCTGGGATGACTGCAGGGGGAGGGAGGGAACAGAATAAGCACAGATCCCCGGACTCTCCAGATCCCCAAGAGGTCTGGCCTAGTCACAGGTGACAAGATGCTCCCTGTAAAATACCATGCTCAGGCCTAGAGGTAAAACAGCCTCAGCTCAGACTCCTGCAGGACTCTCTGCCTCAGTTTCCCCATTCACGGAAGCAGGGACTATATCTCTGAGATGCCTATGGATGGAGCATTTTATATTCCCCAAAGCCCACTCTGTCCTCTCTGCTGCCTTCACCTTGGCTGGAAATCACTCAGGAGAATGAACCCGTCTTCTAGTTTCCTGGGGACCCTGAGGACACCCCCAAGATCTCGTGTTCCGTGTACTCTGGCCCCTCTGCTCTGACCTCCCCCATCATGCTGCGCTGCAGCCCGTGTGCTCTGGGACAGGCCTAGCAGTTGTTCCATAGGTGAATGTCACCCGCAGTCTAAGACAGCCGCCCCTCCCCAGCACAAGGTCCCCAACCCGGACCTTGGGGCAGACATCTGACTGCTCGATGTCACCATGCCTCCCATCATGGCTGTCACATGCCCATGCTCCAAGGGCGCCATGGGGGTACCATGTGATGGGGCCAGGTGATCACATGGTGGACCCACTCCTGGACCAGAGGGACTCACGCTTGGGATGGGGGAGGTGGGAGAGGTCCCATGCGGAGAGGAGCTGGGATCAGGGTTGGGGGAAAGGACTGGAAAGAGGAGAAAGGAGCAGGCGTCGGGGACAGGGGCTCAGAAGCCCCCATCCCCTTCCTTCCTTCCTGCCTGGCCTGTTCTGGGCTCCACAGCCCCTGACAACTGGGGTGGGGGAGGACCCTCCAGCCCCTGTGTGCAGGGCGTGGGCCTGAGAGACGGGCCTGCCTGGGGTCAGGAGGGGTGGAAGGACAGGTGACATCCAAGGCCGGACCTACCCACTTATCCAAATTGAGGGCCTGTGGGGGGCAGGGCAGAGAGAGGAAGAAGAGCAGATGGTAAGCGACCCCCGGGTCCTCTCACCCATCCTTGCCACCGTGCCCTAAACGACCCCTGGGTCCTCTCGCCCATCTCTGCCACCCCGCCCACCCCCAGGTGGGGTCCTCACCTCCACGCCAGCCTCCACCGTGTTAGCCAGCATCTCCTGCAGGGCTCGCACAGACAGGGACTGCTCCAGGACGAAGCAACAGATGGCCAGATCGGGGGGCACATTCTGGGGTGGGAGGGGGATGTAAGTGAGGGGTCAGAAGACCCCCCCACCCCAGCAACATTCCCTGCCACACTCCCTCCCCTAGTCTGGATGCCCACACTCTTGAGACGCCAGACCCCACCCCCACCCCACAGGAAGGCCCTGCCCTCTGCCATCCCCCTCAGACACACTGAATCTAGACCAACATCACGAAAACACCTCTTCTGTGCCTCCTCCCTCAAACACCTCAGACCCACCCAGACTCCATAGAAACTTCCCTAACCCTAACCCTCCCCACTAACCCGTGTTCCACCTAATCTCATAGGAAGCCTCACCCCCATGCCTCTCCCCTGAGACACACTGACCCTGCTCCAAGGACAGGAATCTCCTGTTCTGTGTCCTCCTCTGCAGATGACCCCACATCCCTCCAACCCCAAAGGAAGCCCCACCTCCTGCCTCCACCATCACACAGTCCTCGCTCCTGCCTTTTCCTTCAAACACCTCTGACCTCTGCTTCACAGACACAGGAGGGCGCTCAACCTTATACTCCCTCCTCAGTCTCCCACCGTCCAACTCCTAAACTCAAGACTCTGCTCCTCAGACCCCACTCGCTCAGACTCTGAAACTTCCCCCCCATCAGATTCCACATCCCCTGGTCTGCCAGCCCCTGCCCCTCCTCCAGGTCTCCTCCTTTCAGACCCCAGGCTCCTTCCACCTCTCAGCCCCCAGTCTCCCAAGTCAGGCCCCTGCGGGTGTCCCCTGACCCTCCAGGCCCCTTTGCCTTGGATCCAAGGCCCTCGGCCCCTCGATCCCCTGCCCTCTCAGACTCCAGCTGCCCCCACCCTCAGAATTCCCGAGCTCGGACTTGGGGATCACCTTCCCTCAGACTCCACTACCTAAGACCCTCAAGCCCCCACCCCCATCAGATGCCCTCCGCATCTCAGGCCCTGTCCCATCCTCCCCCGCCCCCGCCGAGGGCCTCCTTCCCCCTAAAACACCCCATAATAATTCAGTCTTGTTACCTGAAAAACTTTTAAAAATAAAAAATAAAACCCCTCCTCCTTGTGCTCCAGGTCCTTTGCCTCGTCCCTCCCTACCCCCCCTCCCCACGCCCCAGCCGTCCCTCAGTTTCCCTGCTCCTCCCTCCTGAGACCCGTTCCCCAACCAGCCCTTCTTCTGGACTCTCAGGCTACCTCCCCTTAAACCCGAGGCTTTCTGCCCACTCAGCCACCTGCCAAGGAACGTTCTGGATCAGCAGCCCCCGCCCTGGCCTACCACACTTCTGTGCACACAGGGATTCCCTCCAACACCCCAGACCCCCTGCCCCTCCCTTCTCAGACCTCCACCCCTCCCCACCTCAGGTAGCCCCTCTTAGCCTTAGCCCCCCTCCTCACTTTCTCTCCTGTCAGCACCTCCTTTCAGACTCCCAGAACCCTCTTCTTTGGACCCAAGATTCTCTGCCCCTTCAGACGCCCCTGTCCCCAGGCCCCTCTCCCTCCTGCACAGACCTGCGCGTTGCTAGTGGGCTCCAGGAAGCACAGGCGGTTGCCGAAGCCCTCGGCGGCCAGGCAGAGCTTGAGCTGCTCCTTGAGCACGGTAGCGCTGCACTGCAGGACCACCTCATCGTCCTGCGGAACCGAGGGGCAGCGTCTCCAGGGGGGCCTGGCCCGGATACCACAAATACTGCAGACCACAGGCCCCTCCTCCCACCCTGGTCCTTATGAAAAAGACAGTGACTGACAAGATCAACCCACCCAAGCCCTCTACCTGCTCCTGACAACTCCTTGAGATACAAGCCAGCATCATCCCATTTATTTTATTTTTTATTATTTATTTATTTGAAATAGTCTCTGTTGCCCAGGCTGGAGCACAGTGGTGCAATCTCAGCCCACTGCAGCCTCCACCTCCTGGGTTCAAGCGATTCTCCTGCCTCAGCCTCCCAAATAGCTGAAATTACAAGCGTGCACCACCACACCTGGCTAATTTTTATATTTTTAGTAGAGACAAGGTTTCGCCATGTTGGCCAGGCTGCTCTCGAACTCCTGACCTCAAGTAATCATCCCATTTATTTTTATTTTTAGAGACAGGGTCTTGCTGTGTCACCCAGGCTGGAGTGAAGTGGTGTAAATTATAGCTCACTGCAACCTTGACCTCCTGGACTCAAGCAATCCTGTTGCCTCAGCCTCCTGAGTAGCTGGGACTACAGGCATGAACTGTTGTGCCTGGCTTATCCCCATTTTAAAATGGGGAAACTGAAGCTCAAAGTGGGACACAGATGGACCAAGGCCACACAGTTGGTAACAGGAGGAGCTGGGATTTGAACCTCAGTCCAACTGGCTCCAGAGGCCTCCCAAGTGGGGTCTGCAAAGTGATCCACTGGAAGGTGGAAACTTGCTCAAGTTAAATTGCTTTTTAAGCTCATCTTTCTCTAAATTCTCTCTTTTGCGTGTTGTTTTAATAATAGACTGCTATTTTATCTTTATTTATAGACTGCTTTCTAATGGCACCTGAATGCAATGTGACAGCCCGGGCTGGATCCTGGAAGTACCATAAAGGACAGTATTGAGTCCGGGCGCAGTAGTTCCCACCTATAATCCCAGCACTCTGGGAGGCCGAGGAGGTGGATCACTTGAGGTCAGGAGTTCGAGACCAGCCTGGCCAACATGGTGAAACCCCATCTCTACTAAAAAATACAAAAATTAGCGGGGTGTGGTGGTGCACGCCTGTAGTTCCAGCTACTCGGGAGTCTGAGCCAGGAGAATCGCCTGAACCCAGGAGGCAGAGGTTGCAGGGAGCTGAGATCGAGCCATTGCACTCCAGCCTGGGTGACAGAGTGAGACTCCATCTCAAAAACAAACAAACAAAACCAAAAATAGCCGGGTGCGGTGGCTCACGCCTGTAATCCCAGCACTTTGGGAGGCCGAGGCAGGTGGATCACCTGAGGTCAGAAGTTCGAGACCAGCCTGAACAACATGGAGAAACCCTGTCTCTACTAAAAATACAAAATTACCCGGGCATGGTGGCGTATGCCTGTTATCCCAGCTACTTGGGAGGCTGAGGCAGGAGAATGGCTTGAGCCTGGGAGGTGGAGGTTGCTACCACCAGATTGCACTCCAGTCTGGGGCAACAAGAGTGAAACTCCAGCCTGGGGAAAACTCCATCTCAAAAAACAAACAAAAAAAAAAATAGTAATGGTATAGGCTGTTTTTATTAGGCACTTTACTGGCTCCCAGGCCTTATGCTCTGGGCCTTACACTCATTTAACAGACTTTGGTTGAGCATCTGCCATGGGCCAGGTGCTGTTCTAGGCACTAAATATAGAGCAGTGAATAAAGTCAATGAAGATCAAGATCCCTGCCTTGGCTGGACGCGGTGGTTCACACCTGCAAATCTCAACAGTTTGGGAGGCTGAGGCAGAAGGATTACTTGAGCCCAGGAGTTTAAGACCAGCCTGGGGCCAGGCACGGCGGCTCACGCCTGTAATCCCAGCACTTTCGGAGGACAAGGTGGGAGGGTCACAAGGTCAGAGGATCGAGACCATCCTGGCTAACATGGTGAAACCCCGTCTCTACTAAAAATACAAAAAATTAGCCGGGTGTGGTGGCGGGCGCCTGTAGTCCCAGCTACTCGGGAGGCTGAGGCAGGAGAATGGTGTGAACCTGGGAGGCGGAGCTTGTAGTGAGCCGAGATCGCACCACTGAACTCGAGCCTGGGTGACAGAGCGAGACTCCATCTCAAAAAAAAAAAAAAAAAAAAGACTAGCCTGGGCAATATACATAATGAGACCCCCATCTCTACAAAAGTTAAAAATTAAAAATTAGCCGAGCATGGTGGTATGTTCCTGTAGTCCCTGCTACTCGGGAGGCTGAGGTGGGAGGACTGCCAAGCCTGGGAAATCGAGGCTGCAGTGAGTCATAATCAAGCCCCACCTCCCTGGGGCCCCTGAGACAGATTGAGACCATGTCTCAAAAGGAAAAAAAAAAAATCACGGCCCTCAGGGAGCTTAAATCCTCATGGTGGAGACAGGGAATAAACAGGTGAATTAATATGTAATGTTAATGTCAGTGATAGGTGTTATAGAAAAAATAACCCAGGCTGATGTAAGAGAGTGGCTTTTAGGATGGGGATGAGATCAGTGAGGGAGTGAAGTGACAGCCTCTCCAAGGAGGTGACATTTGAGTTGAGCCTTGTCCAAATAACAAGAAGGAATCAGGCCTGCTCATCTCTGGGGTAAGAGGAGGGAGTCTGGGTGCTGGGGTGTTGAGGGACAGCACAGGAGATGGAGCAGGATGGTGGCCGCAAGGAGGAGGGGCAAACAGGGAGGAGATGAGGTCAGAGAGATACTTGCATGGGCCCCTTGAAAAATAACTTTTTTTTTTTTTTTAAGAGACTGGGTCTCACTCTGTCTCCTGGGGTGGAGTGCAGTGGTACGATCATAGCTCACTGCAGCCTTGGACTCCTAGGCTGAGTGATCCTCTCCATTCAGCCTCCTGAGAAGCTATGACTGCAGGCTCATGCCACCACACCCAGCTAATTTAAGATATATATATTTTTGTAGACACAGGGTCTTGCTCTGTTGCCCAGACTGGAGTGCAGTGGCGAGATCACAGCTCACTGCAGCTTCCGACTCCTGGTTTCAAGTGATCTTCCCACCTCAGCCTCCCAAGTAGCTGGTACTACAGGTGCACACTGCCACGCCCAGCTAAAGTTTAACATTTTTTGTAAAGACAAGGTCTCCCTATGTTGCCCAGGCTGTTTTTGAACTCCCGGCCTCAAGCAATCGTCCTGCTTCAGCCTCCCAAAGCGAAGGGATTACAGGTGTGAGCCATGGGGTCTGGCTATTGTATATAATCTTGTCCCCATTTTCCAGATGAGAACACTGAGGCTCAGAGAGAAAAATAAAAATCACTTGCCCCAAATTAGGAAGCAGGCAAATGGCAAAGCCAGAGTGCAAAGCAGCGACAGAGAGCCCAATCATTACCACATTGATTCTCAAACTTTTCCTGAATTAGAATGAAGGCAGGCTGGGCGAGGTGGCTCATTCCTGTAATCCCAGCACTTTGGGAGGCCAAGGTGGGCGCATCACTTGAGGTCAGGAGTTCGAGACCAGCCTGGCCAACATGGTGAAACCCCATCTCTATTAAAAGTACAAAAATTAGCCGGGCGTAGTGGTGCATGCCTGTAATCCCAGCTACTCGGGAGGCTGAGACAGGAGAATCGCTTGAACCCAGGAGGCGGAGGTTGCAGTGAGCCGAGATTGTGCCATTGCACTCCAGCCTGGGCTACAAAGGAAGACTCCATCTTAAAAAAAAAAGAAAAAGAAAAAAAAAATGAAGGAAGCGGAGGGTTCTGGTTAAAAATATAGCTTCCCTGCTGGCCCAGTCCCCTACCACCATCAAGAGCCTGATTTGGGGTCAGCAGGGAATACGTACTGTTTACCAGACCCCAGGAGCTTCTAACTTGGGCCAGGGTTTGAGAAACCCCAGCCTGGGTAAGGGTAGAGGTCACCACCCACCAAAGGGAAGTGAAATCAGTTTGGGGGGGCTGTGGCCATCATACTTAACCAAACGAAGCAAAATGGAGCAAGAATAGAAAATCACAGCGTGCCCATCATGCTTCAGGGGCCATCTACATTTTATGAGACTTGTTTCAGTTAAAAATAGGTACAAGTGAATGGTCACAGGCCCTGTGTTGTCTATAATAGTAAAAATTGGAGACGACTCAAATGTCCATCAGCAGGTGAACTGATAAACACACCACAGTATAGTCGCACAATGGAATAATATTCGGCAACAAAAAGCAACAAACTCAATACATGCTACATGGATGAATGTCAAAAATATTATGCTGAGTGAAAGAAGAAAGGCCGGGCATGGTGGCTTATGCCTGTAATCCCAAAACTTTGGGAGGCCAAGGCCGGAGGATTTCTTGAGCCCAGGAGTTTGACACCAGCCTGGGCAATATAGTGAGACCTCACCTCTACAAAAAATTTTACAAATTAGCCAAGCATGGTGCTATGCACGTGTAGTCCCAGCTACTCAGGAGGCTGAGGTGGGAGGATCACTGGAGCCTGGGAAGTGGAGGTTGCGTTGAACCAACCACCAAACTGCTGTACTCCAGCCTGGGCAACAGATTGAGACTCTGTCTCAAAAAGAAAAAAAAAGGCCGGGCGTGGTGGCTCACACCTGTAATCCCAGCACCTTGGGAGGCCAAGATGGGTGGATCATCTGAGGTCAGGAGTTCAAGACCAGCCTGGCCAACATGGTGAAACCCCATCTCTACTAAAAATACAAAAAATTAGCTCGGCTTGGTGGCACGCGCCTGTAATCCCAGCTACTCAGGAGGCTGAGGCAGAAGAATCGCTTGAACCCAGGAGGCAGAGGTTGCAGTGAGCTGCGATCACGCCATTGCACTCCAGTCTGGGCAACAAGAGTGAAACTCCATCTCAAAAAAATAAATAAATAAACAAAAACAAAACAACTCATTGAACACATAAACTGGGTAAAATTTATTGCAGGTCAATTATACCTCAATAAAGTTGGTTTTTAGTCATGTCTATGCATGTGTGCATGTACTGAGTTGTAAGACAGAATGTTTCTTATGGGCGGGATGTGGTCCAGAAGGTTTTTTGTTCTGAGATGGAGTCTCGCCCTGTCGCCCAGGCTGGAGTGTGCAGTGGCGCAATCTCGGCTCACTGCAACCTCTGCCTCCCAGGTTCAAGCAATCCTCCCACTTCAGCCTCCCGAGTAGCTAAGATTACAGGCATGCACCACCACGCCTGGCTAATATTTTTTTGTATTTTTAGTAGAGACGGGGTTTCACCATGTTGGCCAGGCTGGTCTCAAACTCCTGACCTCAAGTGATCCGCTCACCTTGGCCTCCCAAAGTGCTGAGATTACAGGCATGAGCCACTGAGCCCAGCCTCCAGAAAGTTTTGAGAAATCCACCACGACCTCAGTAACAATCAGAAAAACTGACCCAGTCTGGGGTGGAGAGATTCCAGGGCCAAGCCTCCAGAACCCTAACGCTGACTACTTTGGCAAGTCTGGGCCCAGATTTTCTCTGGTGAAGGCAATGGGGCTGGGCACCAGGGGCATCCAGAGATGCCACTTCCTGGCCTTGACCTTGGGTGAGTGATTCTACCATTCGGGCCTTGGTTTCCCTCAAATCTGTCAGGGAGATAAAGATAGGACCCTACCTCAGAAGACAGGGCAGCAAGGATATAATTAGATGTCTCAGGAGGCAGAGGCCCAGGGCACAGGGCCTGGTTTAGAGCGACAGCTCAAGAGCCAGTGGCCATGGCCATGGTCTTATTAGGGCTGGGGAGGGCCCGACCCATGGTGTCTGCTGAGGGGCTGGGGCTGGGGAGAGAGTCTCGGCTGAAGCTAGGCCCCTTCCCAGCTGTCCCCATCCTTCACTACCAGCCCCAGCTGTTTGTTCCTCTCTCCCAGGAAACCGGACCCGGCTCGCCAGGGTCCTATTCTGGGGCAGGAATGCTGTGTCAGCATTTCCTGTGTGGCTCCAGGGCCCCGGGGGGAGGGGCGGGGCTAGCGTCTGGTCAGCAGACCTAGCCCAGAGGAGAGGACGTCCCCTCCCATATTTACGACCCCACACCCTGCGGAGCCACTGGGAGGGGAAGATGGGAAGGACAAGGAGATGGCAGCCCCTCCTCCCTCTCATCCCCTCCCCATCCCCTGCCCAGGCCCCAGAAAAGCCGGCTATTCTGGGAGGGACACCTGTTGTTCCAATTCCCATCCCTGCCCCCAGCTGGGGCTCAGATGCAGGGAGTAACCCAGCTAGAGAGACAGCGAAAATCAGAGGGCCTTAAGCTAAGAAACAGAGACAGGGAGACTGAGATGGAGGAAGAGACAGAGACATGGAGACACCCAAAGAGACAGATGGGGAGAGACACCACCCAGAGACCCTGCAAGACCATTAGCAGCCATTGGGAGCAGCCCTCCTGCCCAAAACGAAGAAGGAAAGAAAGACCCAGAACCCAAGAGATCCCTCCCCCACAAGACCCTCAAGGGCTAGGAGTTGGAAGCAGCTGTGTCCTCCAGCTCACTCCAGCTCCCTTCTCAAGAATTTAAATAGGTCAGAGTCTGGAGCAAAAAGAGAATTAGGGCTAAGGTGGGGGTGGGGGGATGGCTAAATCAAGCCCAGGAATTAGAACCACCTTCCCCAAGTGCCTGCTTCCAAGATGGTGTGAGGGTGTGCTCCCTCGGGGGTCCTTCTTGTGGGGGACAAATCGCTAAAGTCAGAAGAGAGGGCAACCGAAGATCCCTTTCCCATTCTGGAGTCCCCAATCCTACTAATTCTCTGTAGTGAGAAAGGTGAAGGAGACTAAAAGACAGAGTGACAGTCACTCAAAGTGACATAGGAAGAGACCTCGAGTCTCAGAGACCACCAGCAAGCCGGACAGGGACATTCAGAGACAGAGAGACCCTCAGAGAGCCCCAAGAGATAGCCCCACAGGCCCCTAACCCAGAGATACGCACCGTCCGCAGGAACTGGACCTCGTCTTCGCCTTCTGCGTCACCCATGATGTCGAGGTCGGAAGCCCAGGGTCTGAGGTCGGGGAACAGAGGGAGGGGGCTGCGGGCTGGGCGGGAGGGCTGGGGGCGGGCTGGGGTCGGAGACCTCTGGAGACACCAGAGGCACCCGCGAGGTAGATGGAACTGCGAGGAGTACACGCATGCTGGACAGAGATGGGAGGAAGTCCCCGCCCCCGGGCCCCATTGGACCAGGACTCCCCGGCCACTCCCCTTCGCCGGAGCCCTGCCCACATACCCCAAATCTTGGCTGGAGGTTTGCTTGGCCGTTGGCCGCCGGAGGTGGGGTGGGAGAGAGAGTATCTAGGAGGTACCTGCGCTTTCTCCCCACCACGGTAAGTAACGTGCCATCATTCTCCCATTTCACAGAGGGCAGACTGAGGCTCTGAGTGGGGAAGTTCTTGCAAGATATCACGCAGCAGAGCAGGGATGTGCACCAGATCTCCTGACTTTAAAAAGCACCAAACATAGTGATTAAGAACAAGGACTCCGGCCGGGAGTGGTGGCTCACCCCTGTAATCTCAGCACTTTGGGACGCCGAGGTGGGTGGATCACTTGAGGTCAGGAGTTCGAGGCCAGCCTGGCCAACATGGTGAAACCCCCGTCTCTACTAAAAGTACAAAAATTAGCCAGGCGTGGTGACACATGCTTGTAATCCCAGCCACTTGGGAAACTGAGGCAGGAGAATTGCTTGAACTCCTTGAATTCGGGAGGCAGAAGCTGCAGTGAGCCGAGATTGAGCCACTGCACTCCAGCCTGGGCGAGACTTCGTCTGAAAAAAAAAAAAAAAAGAACAAGGACTCCGACTCCAAGCCAGATAATCTGGATCTGAATCCCACCCAGCCTTGCCACTTCCTTGAGTTACATGGATAAGCCACTTAGCTTCTCTGTGCCTCGGTTTCCCCATCCAGTAAGGGGAATATTAATAGTACCGACCTCACGTGGTTGTTGGGAGAGTTAAATGAGATAATTAATTAAATGAGATAAAACTTAAAACAGTGCCAGTGCCTGGTTAATGTAATGTAAGTGTTGCTATTATTATTATTTATTTATTTATTTATTTATTTTGAGACGGACTCTTGCTCTTGTTGCCCAGACTGGAGTGCAGTGGCAAGATCTTGACTCACTGCAACCTCCACCTCCCAGGTTCAAACGATTCTCCTCCTCAGCCTCCTGAGTAGCTGGGATTACAGGCACCTGCCAACACACCCGGCTAATTTTTGTATTTTTGGTAGAGACGGGGTTTCACCATGTTGGCCAGGCTGGTCTCGAACTCCTGACCTCATGATTCGCCCACCTCAGCCTCCCAAAGTGCTGGGATTACAGGTGTAAACCACCACGTCCAGCCCTATTAAAATTATTACTAGGCCAGACACAGTGGCTCATGCCTGTAATCCCAGCACGTTGGGAGGCCAAGGCAGACAGATCACTTGAAGCCAGGAATTTGAGACCAGCTTGGTCAACATGGTGAAACTCTGACTCTACTAAAAACACAGAAATTAGCTGGGCATGGTGTCACACGACTCTAATCCCAGCTACTTGGGAGGCTGAGGAACAAGAATCATTTAAGCCCAGGAGGCAGAGGTTGTAGTGAGCCGAGATTGTACCACTACACTCCAGCCCAGGTGACAGAGCAAGGCTCCACCTCAAAAAAAAAAAAAAAAATTTTTTTTATTAACATGTAGTGGTATACAGTAAGTTATATAAAACAATATCCCATAGTTAAACAAAATTACATAGAAACCGTTCTTCAAGGTATAGCAGGTTTCTAGGTGTTCCATAATTAAATACTGATGTTAACACAACTGCAATAAATAGCACAAAAGTTTGTGTCATATTATGGAATTATATAATTTGGCATTATATAATGTATAATTATATAATTATATATTTAGGCTAATATAATTATACAGTACAATACAATTCTATGTTGTATCTGTTATACATTATCCAACGCATAGTTGTATATTAAATATTGTTTTTCCCTAAAACTTTATGTAAATGTAAAATGATTCTGTGTCATTGAGCATTATATCATAAGATATTAATAGTGTTTCTTATTTTTGTCAGTCATCATTATGTGTTTTAAGACCTACCCTTGTTGCTCTGTGGACACCTGGTGTGTGACAGTGGTGGCTTTGCAGGATTCTCTGGTGACTGATCCCTTCTGTTTTTCCACCTACCCCTACTGGGAGCGGACACCCAGGCTGCCTCCAGCTCTCCCGAAATAATGCTGGAGGGAACATCTGTGTATTGGTCCCCCAGGAAGCTGAGGGAGAATGTTTTATTGTGCGTACCCAGAAGCTAATTGCTGGGTGACATATCCATGCGCACCATTTGTGTAAGTAGTGCTGGGTAGCCCTCGGAATGGCTACTCACTACCAGTGCATGAGGGTCCCCGGGTCCCCATATCCCCAACCCTCATGTGGCATTTCCAACTTAACTAATTTTTGCCAGATTTATATAGGGTGACTCACTGTTTTTTAATTTATTTTCTCTATTTTATTTTTAGAGATGAGATCTCACTTTGTTGCCCAGGCTGGGGTGCAGTGGCGCAATTATGGTTCACTGCTGCCCGGAACTCCTGGGCTCAAGGGATCCTCCCACCTCAACCTCCCGAGCAGCTGGGACAACAGGCTTGTGCCACCACGCCCAACTAACTTTTAAATTTTTTATAGAGGTGGGGTCTTACTATATTGCCCAGGCTGGTATTGAACTGCTGGTCTCAAGTGATCCTCCTACCTCAGCTTCCCAAAGTGTTAGGATTACAGGCAAGAGCCACCGCGCCTGGACTCGCTGTCATTTTAATTTCCACTTCCCTGATGAGTTACCAACAATTTCTAGCATCTTCTCAAGTGCCTATCAGAGTTTTGGGTTTCTTTGTTATCTGCTCATTGTGATCCCTGCTCACTTTTTTTTGTTTTTTTTTTTTGAGACAGAGTCTTGCTCTGTCGCCCAGGCTGGAGTTCAGTGGCACCATCTCGGCTCACTGCAACCTCCGCCTCCTGGGTTCAAGCAATTCTCCTGCCTCAGCACCCCCAGGACTACAGGCGCATACTGCCACACCTGGCTAATTTCTTTTGTATTTTAGTAGAGATCGGGTTTCACTGTGTTGCCCAGGCTGGTCTCGAACTCCTGAGCTCAGCCAATCCGCCTGCCTTGGCCTCCCAAAGTGCTAGGATTGCAGGCGTGAGCCACTGTGCCCAGCCTAATTTTTGTATTTTGAGTAGAGACGGGGTTTCGCCATGTTGGCCAGGGTGGTCTTGAACTCTTGACCTCAGGTAGTCTACCCACCTCGGTCTCCCAAAGTGCTGAGATTACAAGCATGTAATCTTACATTATAGGCGCAGGAGCCACTGAGCCCGGCCATTTTTCTATTATGGTTGCTGTCTTTTTCGCTTGCTGATTTGCAGCTGTTCCTTTTATATTCTTTTTTTTTTTTTTTTTTTTTAGATGGAGTCCCATTCTGTCTCCCAGGCTGGAGTGCAGTGGCTCAATCCCAGCTCACTGCAACCTCCACCTCCTGGGTTCAACTGATTCTCATGCCTCAGCCTCCCAAGTAGCCGGGATGACAGAGCAATACCCACTACCACACCCTGCTAATTTTTGTATTTTTAATAGAGACGGGGTTTTGCCACGTTGGCCAGGTTGGCCTCGAACTCCTGATCTCAAGTGATCTGCCCGCCTCAGCCTCTCAAAGTGCTGGGATTAGAGGCATGAGCTACTGCACCTGACCTATATTCTAGATATTAATATCTCATTGATTTTTAAATATTGCAAACACCTTTTCCCCTTCTGTCATCTGACATTTGTCCCATGGTGTCTTCGTTAAAAGAAAATCTGCCTGTAATCTCAGCACTTTGGGAGGTCTAGGTGAAAGGATCCCTTGAGCCCAGGAGTTTGAGACCAGCCTGGGCAACATAGCAAGACCCCATCTTTAAAATTTAAAAGAGAAAGAAAGAAGAACAGCAACAAAAGAAGAAAGTCTGTATTTGCATGTTATCATGTCCATCATTTTTCTGCCTTAGGAGTTTCTGTGGTTTGATTCAGAAGTCCCTTCCTTTGTAGTCATCAGCACGGGTATTGTGGGTATTCTTGGCCAGCCCGAGGACTAAGGCTGCCTGTGTACAGTAGAAACAAGTGCCAGGATTTCTGACCTCCTCCTTGAGGCTTTTCTGGGTCCCCAGGGCCTGGAGACACTGCCACACTACGAAGTCTCTGCTCAGCCAGGATTGTTAAGTCACATTCAAGATGCAGGTGCTACAGGAGATGGTCTGAGAGAGTCAGACAGAACACCATGAGGCCAGGGGGAGAGAGGGTGAAAACGGGCAGGAAGAGAGAGTCTGAAGCTATGGTAACATCGCGTGATGGAAAAACTAAAGACGGCGAGTTCAGTGACTGTCTAAATGTTCTGCATTGGAAAAAATATACATCCACGGTTCTTTCTTTTAGTGAAAAAAAAAGTGGAAAAATATACTTCTGAGAGAACGATTTCAATGAATTGCTAACATGCTATGTTTGGTAGAATCACAGTAACTACTATGACCCATTTATTCCACTCCTGGGTACTGCCCTACAATATGGTACACTCTATGTTCATCAAAAGTCAGATGCTCAAATAGTCACAGCAGCCCCAACCTGGAAACAACTCAGATGTCCATCACAGGAAAATTGATCAATAAATCACGGAGGCCGGGGACAGTGGTTCACGCCTGGAGAGTCAGCAATTTGGAGGCATAGGAAGGACGATTGCTTGAGCCTAGGAGTTCGAGATCAGCCTAGGCAACAAAGTAAGACCCTGTTTCTACAGGAAAATAATAAAAAAAAAATTAGCAGAGCACAGTGGTGTGCACTTGTAGTCCTAGCCACTCAGGAGGCTGAGGTGGGAAGATGGCTTAAGCCCAGGAGTCCGAGGCCGCAGTGAGCTAGGATCTCGCCACTGCACTCCAACCTTGGTGACAGAGGGAGACCCTGCTGTGGAGTCTTAATTAAGAAAAAAGAGTCAGGTTGGTAGGACCAAATAAAAATAAAAAAAAAAAACAGAGAAGCTATAAGTTTGTCTTTTTTTTACAGTCTAGGACATATAGTCCTCTTGTATAGATAACTCACTTAACTTAAAATGTTTTAGTGTCTAGTTATTACCAGACTCTAGACTGATGAAAAATAGAACTTAGTGCTGTGACTCACGCCTGTAACCCCAGCACTTTGGGAGGCTGAGGCGGGTGGATTATTTGAGACCAGGAGTTCAAGACCAGCCTGGCCAATATGGCAAAACCCCGTCTCTACAAAAATTAGCTGGGTGTGGTGGCACACACCTGTGATCCCAGATACTGGGGAGGCTGAGGCAGGAGAATCGCTTCAATCGCAGAGGTTGCAGTGAGCTGAGATCACGCCACTGCACTCCAGACTGGGCGACAGAGCAGGACTCTGTCTCAAAAATAAAAAAAAAAAATAGAAGTTAGCATGCCACCAGCCCGCTTAGTCACTATCCACAACACCTATCTCTAAATAAATAAATATATATATATAAGTCATGGAATTGTCACATAATGAAAGACTATATGGAATTATTATTATTATTATTATTATTATTATTTTGAGACAGAGTCTCGCTCTGTCGCCCAAGCTGAAGTGCAGTGGTGCAATCTCGGCTCGCTACAACCTCCTCCTCCCGGGTTCAAGCGATTCTCCTGCCTCAGCCTCCCAAGTAGCTGGGATTACAGGCACGCACCACCACACCTGGCTCATTTTTGTATTTGTAGTAGAGATGGGAGTTTCACCATGTTGGCCAGACGGGTCTCGAACTCCTGACCTCAAGTGATCTGCCCATCTCAGCCTCCCAAAGTGCTGGGATTACAGGCGTGAGCCACCGCGCCCGGCCAAAAAAAGGAATAAATTATAACCAAATATGATAACATGGAAGAACTGCAAAGACAAGACGTGGAGAGAAAGAACCCAGATTCAATACAGGAGTCCATTTTTATCCAGCTCAAAACAAGACAAAACTACTGCGCCAGACTTCGGGCGAGTGGGGATCTGTGGGAATTCGTGCTGGGAAGAAAGACAGGGGGCTTGTGGAGGGTGAGAATGTTCTGTGTCTGGATTTGTATGAATGTCACACAGGTTTGCTCAGTTGGTGACATTTCATCAACCTAAATACTTAATGATTCGTGATCTTTTTTGTACTTCAATTTAAAAAAAAGTGTCGAGCATGACACATTTAGGTAAAAAGAAAAAAATGCACACTCAAAAGAAAAGTCTGTTTCTAGGAGCACATGTTTATATGATGTGCTTAAACGCACAGACAGCAGTTTGGACGAAACTCGACAACGTGTCATATTGGTCACACCCTGCTTAAGAAAGGCAGGGGATGGGGAGGGGCTTCCCCAAGGCTTTACCTCCATCTCTAATGTTTTTTGATGTGTGTGTGTGTTTTTTTTTTTTGTTTTTTGTTTTTTGAGACAGGGTCTGGCTCTGCCACGCAGACTGAAGTGCAGTGGCACCATCATGGTTCACTGCAGCCTCGACCTCCTTGGGCTCAAGCAATCTTCTAGCCTCAGCCTCCTGAGTAGCTGGGACTACAAGTGTGCATCACTACGCTCAGCTAACTTTTTTTTTTTGAGACAGAGTTTCGCTCCTGTTGCCCAGGCTGGAGTGCAATGGCGCGATCTCGGCTCACGGCAACCTCCGCCTCC
This sequence comes from Homo sapiens, assembly GCF_000001405.40. Classification (NCBI taxonomy): domain Eukaryota; kingdom Metazoa; phylum Chordata; class Mammalia; order Primates; family Hominidae; genus Homo; species Homo sapiens. The sequence goes on along the minus strand of NC_000019.10, from coordinate 38,427,125 downwards.
TGGGTTCAAGCAATTCTCCTGCCTCAGCCTGCCGAGTAGCTGGGATTACAGGCATGTGCCACAACGCCTGGCTAATTTTGTATTTTTAGTAGAGACGGGGTTTCTCCATGTTGCTCAGGCTGGTCTTAAACTCCCAACCTCAGGTGATCCGCCCACCTCGGCCTCCCAAAGTGCTGGGATTGCAGGAGTGAGCCACCACACCGGCCTAACGTTTTACATTTTTTGTAGAGACGGGGTTTTGTCACGTTGTTCAAGCTGGTCTCAAACTCTTAGACTCAAGCGATCCGCCTGCCTTGGCCTCCCAAAGTGCTGGATGACAGGCGTGAGCCCCTGTGAGCCCCCGTGCCTGGTCCGGTATGTAATTTTTTTTAAGGTAACAGTGGATTGTGTGAGGATTAAATGAGTTAATATTTTTAAAGTCCTTACAGCAGTGTGTGGTACACAGTAGGTGCTATGTGGAGGTTTGTTACAATAAAGTCAGAAAGTGAAAATGTTTTCCAGGGTACAAATGGTATCACTTAAACTAGGAATAAGAGACGCCTATGAAGAAATATACAAAATACTATGTCTTGTGAGTTTCCATTCAAACCTTCATGAATTATATATATGAATATGTCCTTCTAGACAGACAGACTTATCTTTTTGAGTGAGTGTGTGTGTTTTTACATAAATATCAGTCATGCTTTAAAAAGAAAAGCCCCTTCTTTTATTGAAGTATGACAGTGACGGGTCTCGACACCGAAAGATGGGGGAGATAGAGAGCCCGCCGGGGAGCTTGAGGGTGGGAGAGCCAGCGATGCCGGAAACCTCAGCAGAAGGGATCCCCGTGTGGGGGAGGGGGGCCTTCGGTCTCTCCCCAGCCTCTTCCTTCCCCCTGGCCTGAGGGTGGGTGGGGAGGGGCAGTTCCTCTTTCCTTCCCAAGCACCGAGGAGGCCCCAGCTCCCTAGGGGCTGAGAAGCTGGAGTCCTGGGCAAGGGGAGGAGCTGAGCCCTACTCTTGCAAGACCCCCGGCCTCCTCACCCCACGCGGGAAGCATGAACAGAAAAGACAGTAAGAGGTGAGAGGACCCTCCCCAGGGAGCCCGGCAGCACCCTGAGGCCTCCCTCTGCATGGGAGGGCTGGGGAGATCACTCGCCAGGGTGGCAGGATTCCTGACTTCTTTGGGATCAGGCGCAGGGGGGCCAGGTGGATGCTTCAGGGAGTCTGGAGCCAGCTACGGCTGCAGTCGCTTGTATGTGGCATCTGTACCGTGTTGTCCCTGGAGTTTGAGCTGCTCCGTGCCCCTTTTCCACTCCTCATCACCCCACCTCCATCCCTGGCCTGGGCTGAGTGTCTCTGCCCTCCCTGGGGGCTTCCTGGTTCCCCATCCCCGTGGACTGGAAACTCCAGGCTCCTGCAGGGCCTGGCCCAGGAGAGGGGAGTGTGGCACAGGGCAAGGCGACTCCCCTGCCTCTTAAACCACTCCTGGCTGTTCCAGACCCCTACAGGGGGCTGCAGGACAGGGCCTAGTGGCTGGCTGTGCGGCCGGTTCTGGAATGGGCTTCATCTCCTGGGCAAGCTGGCCCTTCTGTCCCCACAGAGGCAGATGGTGGGTGGCTCCCTAGCCTGGGTAACTCCTCCTGCCACCCCCAGCACCACTCTGATGGGCAAAGGGCTTTCCTCCCCACCCAGCAGTTTAGTGGTAGACTCCTGGCTGCCTAATTTCCTAGCTGTGTGACCTTAGGTAAGTCACTTAACTGCTCTGTGTCTCGGGTTTTTCTTCTGTCAGTAGAACAATCATATCCTCTACCTCGGAGAGGCCTGTAAGTACTCAATGAGACACTCTAGACCAGTGGTTCTCAAACTGGAGCGAGCCTCAGAACTGTCTGGAGGGCTTGTAAAATACAGGTTGCTGGGCTTACCTTTAAAGTGTTTGGTTTTTTTTTTTTTGTTTTTTTTTTTTGAGACGGAGTCTCGCTCTGCCGCCAGGCTGGAGTGCAGTGGCACAATCTTGGCTCACTGCAACCTCTGCCTCCCGGGTTCAAGCGATCATCCTGCCTCAGCCTCCCAAGTAGCTGGGACTACAGGTGTGCACCACCACACCCAGCTACTTTTTTGTATTTTTAGTAGAGATGGGGTTTCACCATGTTGGGCAGGATGGTCTCGATCTCTTGACCTCGTGATCCACCCACCTCGGCCTCCCAAAGTGCTGGGATTAGAGGCATGAGCCACCACCCTTAGCCTTAAAGTGTTTGATTTTGTAGGTCTGGGTTGGGACCTGAGAATCTGTATTGATATCCAGTTCCCAGGTGATGCTTTTGGTACTAGCTGGGTGCCCACACTTAGGGAAATGCTGACTTAGTTAGAATGCTCCTTCCTTAGCCTAGGACATATATAATACTTTAAAATGTCCCTTCTAGTAACGATGGCTCATGCCTCTAATCCCAGCACTTTGGGAGGATAAGACAAGGAGAACTTGAAGCCAGGAGTTCTAGACCAGCCTGAGAAATATAGTGAGACCCCCCCCCCCATTGACACACACCCAAACACACACACAAAATTAGCTGGGTATGGTCGTGCACACCTGTAGTCCCAGCTACCTGGGAGACTAAGGCAGGAGGATCACTCGAGTCCAGGAGTTCAAGGTTACAATGAGCTTTGATTGCACAACTGTGCTCCAGCCTGGGAGACAGAGCAAGACCCTGTCTGAAAAAGGGTAGAGGTGGGAGCCTGGCGTGATGGCTCACACCTGTAATCCCAGCACTTTCAGAGGCAAAGGTGGGAGGATCAGTTGGGCCCAGGAGTTTGAAACCAGCCTGGCCAACATGGTGAAACCCCATTTCTACTAAAAATACAAAAATTAGCTCGGCGTGGTGGCACGTGCCTGTAGTCCCAACTACTTGGGAGGCTGAGGCAGGAGAATTGCTTGAACCCGGGAGGTGGAGGTTGCAGTGAGCTGAGATCGCACCACTGCACTCCAGCCTGGGTGACAGAGTGAGACCCTGTCTCCAAAAAAAGAAAGAAAGAAAGAAAAAAGAAATCCCTGGAGAAGGTCCAAGGACTATCCTCATTTTTCCTTCGAGGAAATTGAGCCCCAGAGAAATTAAGTGACTAACACGAAGTCACAACAGCTGGCAAAAATTTCTGGATTCTACTTTCGTCTGAAGCTTGGATTCAGCAGCCTCCCTGCTCCCACCATCCTTGTCTCTCCATTACCCTCTTCCCCTATCAGGAACAGCAGCCTCTGGGAGGCACCAGGCAGAGGGAGAATTATTATTACTATTATTACTATTATTATTATTATTATTTTGAGACTAAGACTCGCTCTGTTGCCCAGGCTGGAGTGCAGTGGCACGATCTCGGCTCACTGCAACCTCCGCCTCCTGGGTTCAAGCAAGTCTTCTGCCTCAGCCTCCTGAGTAGCTGGGATTACAGGAGCCCACCACCACGCCTGGCTAATTTTTGTATTTTTAATAGAGATGGGGTTTCACCATGTTGGCCAGGCTGGTCTCGAACTCCTGACCTCAAGTGATCCACCCACCTCAGCCTCCCAAAGTGCTGGGACTACAGGCGTGAGCCACTGTGACTGGCCTCTCTTTTTAATTTTTTTATTATTATTTTTGAAACAGAAATCACTCTGTCACCCAGGTTGGAGCACAGTGATGCAGTTCCGGCTCACTGCAGCCTCCACCTCCTGGGTTCAAGCGACCCTCCTGCCTCAGCCTCCTGAGTAGCTGGGATTACAGGCGCCCGCCATCACGCCTGACCAATTTTTGCATTTTTAGTAGCGATGGGGGTTTCACCATGTTGGCCGGGGTGGTCTCGAACTCCTGGCCTCAAGTGATCCACCCACCTTGGCCTCCCAAAGCTTTGGGATTACAGGCGTGAGCCATCACACTGGTCCAAGAGCCTTGCTCTCTTGAGGGCTGTGGGAGGAAGGAGGGGAGGGTGTTAGAGACCAAACGGGAGCCCTGAGGAGGCAATTCCTGAAGGCAGGTCCTCCCATGCCTCTGCCTGGGGAGGACAGAAGAGATTCCAGGGGTCTTCTCCCGAGTCCCTGGTAGGCCAGGAGTAATCCTGGGATCTGCCAAAAGGAAGTCTCTTCCAGGATGCCCTGGAAGCAGTCAAGAGGAAGTTGGGGGCAATGCCTGGGGAAGGAGTTCTTATGATTCCCTGAGGGGTCTTGAGTGGTCCCAGGGGTCTTCTACTGTGATTCCCTGGGAGATTCAGAGCAGTCCTGAGCGGCGGTCCCCAGGCTTTTTGGCATCAGGGACCAGTTTTGTGGAAGGGGGTGGGGATGGTGTGGGGATGATTCAAGTTAATTACATGTATCCTGTGCTTTATTTTTATTATTATTACATTGTAATATATAATGAAATAGTTACGCAGCTCACCATAATGGAGAATCAGTGGGAGCCCTGAGCTTGTTTTCCTGCAACTGGATGCTCCCATCTGGGGGTGATGAGAGACAGTGACAGATCATCAGGCATTAGGCATCAGGCATCATAAACAGCACGCAGCCTAGATCATCAGGCATCATAAACAGCACGCAGCCTAGATCCCTCGCATGTGAAGTTCACAATAGGGTTCATGCTCCTAAGAGAGTCTAATGCCCCAGCTGATCTGACAGGAGGTGGAGCTCAGGCGGGGGTGCTTGCTTGCCCGCTGGTTCCTAACAGGCCACGGACTGGTACCTGTCTGTGTCCCAGGGGCTGGGGACCCCTGGTCTTGAGGATCTTCCTCTCTGATTCCCTGAAGGGAGCAGGAATATCCCTGGGAGTTTGCTTGTGGGAGAGGGCTCCCATGATTCCCCCAGGGATCTGGAATATTCCTGGGGATTCTCTCTAGAGTCCCTGGTAGGTCAGGGGTAACCCTGGGGCTTTGCCTTTAGGAAGCCTCTCCCGTGGTGCCTTGGGGCATTAGAGTCAAAAGGAATTCTAGGGTCTGTCCGAAAGAAGGTGCTCCCATGACTCCTTGGGGGCTGTGCCCACAGGAAGTCCCACCAGGAATGCACCGGAAAAATAGGAGGGCGAGGCCGGCCCCGCCAAGTGCGCCGCCACAAGACATGCCCCAGCCCTCGGGAAATCAGCAAGGTCATGGCTTCCATGAACCTGGGCCTGCTGAGTGAGGGCGGCTGCAGCGAAGATGAGCTGCTGGAGAAATGCATCCAGTCCTTCGGTAAGTGTCCTCTCCCCAGCAGCCTCCCTGGCCCTAACCTCGGGCTCAGCACTCGCTTCTCTCCACCTCAGTTTTTGGAGGTAAAATGAGAACAGGGCTGGGTGGAATGAAACTCAATCACTACATTAGAGATAACAGAAACACCTGCATTTCTTCTTTCCTGAAATGGAAATATATACATTTATATATATATATAATATATGTGTATATTATATATATTTATATAAATCTTTTTTCTTTTCTTTTCTTTTTCTTTTGAGACAGAGTCTCGCTCTGTTACCCAGGCTGGAGTGCAGTGGCCTGATCTCAGCTCACTGCAACCCCCACCTCCTGGGTTCAAGAGATTCTCCTGCCTCAGCTTCCCGAGTAGCTAGGATTACAGGCACATGCCACCAGGCCCAGCTAATTTTTGTGTTTTTAGTAGAAACGGTGTTTCACCATGTTGGCCAGACTTGTCCCGAACTCCTGGCCTCATATGATCCGCCCGATTCAGCCTCCCAAAGTGCTGGGATTACAGGTGTGAGCCACTGTGCCCGGCCAGTCTGGTGCTATTTCAATCTTCAGCAAGACTTGCCAGGGGTGATGCTGCCCCATGCACAATACAGATAAGGAAACTGAGGCACAGGAGGTTAGGTTGCCTGTCCAAGGTCATGCTGGGGATCACCGTTAGAGCTGGTCTTTGAACCAGGTGGTCCGGCAGGATCTGGAGCTACGCTCTGCATTGCTTGAGGGCCATTCTGTCACAGAGTACCCCTCCTTCCACCCCAGATTCAGCTGGCAGCCTGTGCCACGAGGACCACATGCTCAACATGGTGCTGGCCATGCACAGCTGGGTGCTGCCGTCCGCCGACCTGGCTGCCCGCCTGCTGACCTCATATCCTCCAGGACTGTGAGCTATGGGTGGAGGGCAGAGGGCAGAGTCGTGAGAACCTGGGCAATGGGAATGGGGAGCAGGCAGGTCATGGATCCTGGAAAACAGAGCCTTGACCAGAACTCAAATACCAGAAGGCCACAGGGGACACCCAGGAGCTGAGACGGCTGCAGATCTGTCACCTGGTCAGGTAGGGCTGGGCCGAGATCCCCACTCTCAGGACCCACGACTTCCATCCTGCTTCCCCCTCAAAAAACATTCCTCAGAGAATCCCCAGGCCAGTTCCCACAGACCCAACCAGCCCCACAGGCCAAAATCCCACTTCTGAGACACCTGTAGCTTGGTTCCTAAGACCCTCTTAGTTCCGTTCCTTAGAACCCCCACTTCCTAGAGACCCCCCTCACCAACCAGATCCCATAGACCCTCCTAGCTGGTGCCCAGAGACCTCCAACTCTGATCCCCAAAATCTCTACCTCCCACAGACCCCAGCCTAGCCCATAAGACCCCCTCATTCTGTCCCTCCAAAAATTTCACCCCCGGAAGCCCCCAGTCTAGTTCCTAGGACGCTCCACGATCTTGCTTCCCAATAATCCCACTTCCAAGTGACTCCCCGGTCTGTTTCCCACAGATCCCCCCAGTCTCTGTTAAGAGACCCCCATCCTACTCCAGAGATTCTCCAAGCCTGGTGCCCCTCCAAACCCCAACCCTCCAGGGACCCCCACACACATTTAGAGACCCCCTAGCTCAGCACCTAGAAATTCCTCAGCCCAAAATACCCCTTGTAGAGACCTTCGCCACCCCCGGCCTCATCTCACCATCTCCAAACCACTCTCAGGTACTGGCTGATGCGACACCCTGAGGTGATGCACCAGGATCCCCAGCTAGAAGAAGTCATAGGTCGTTTCTGGGCCACCGTGGCCCGGGAGGGCAACTCAGCCCAGAGAAGACTGGGAGACTCTTCTGACCTGTGAGTCAGCCCTGTGCTCCCCTCTTCCCTGCCCCATCGCCATTCTGCCATCTCCCTCTATATCCCCAAGCCCTCAACTGTGAGCCACTCCAATACCCTGCCCCTCTTGGCCCCCAGCCTGAGCCCTGGTGGCCCTGGCCCCCCACTCCCAATGAGCAGCCCAGGCCTGGGCAAAAAGCGCAAAGTGTCCTTGCTTTTCGACCACTTGGAGACGGGGGAGCTGGCTCAGCACCTCACCTACCTGGAGTTCCGGTCCTTCCAGGCTATCACGGTGAGGACCCCCTCCCATCCCCGTCCCAAGCAGGGGAGACACTGGGGTAGGGGAGGGATTGGCTGGGGGAAGGTAGGACTGAGAGGACACCTGCATGGTCATTCGGCAGAGATCTCAAAGTCTTAAACTCAAACCTGTATGCTAGAAGGTCCAGGAAAATGAGTTAAAGAGGCCAAGGCAGGCAGATCGCCTGAGGTCAGGAGTTTGAGACCAGCCTGGCCAACATGGTGAAACCCCATCTCTACTAAAAATACAAAAATTATCCAGGTGTGGTGGTGCATGCCTGTAATCCCAGCTACTTGGGAGGGTGAGGCAGGAGAATCACTTGAACCTCAGGAGGCGGAGATTACAGTGAGCTGAGATCACACCACTGCACTCCAGCCTGGGCGACAGAGCGAGATTCTGTCTCGAAAAACAACAACAACAAAAAAGTAAAATAAATAAATAAAAGGCTTATTGCAGCGACTGGCACTTAGTAAGTGCTCAAAATATTTTATCATTTATTCAACAAGCATTTAAATTCATGGTGCCTCAGTTTCCTCATCTGTAAAAAGGGGATATGCACAGTTCCTGCCTTGCAGGAACAGTGCCTGGTCCAGGGTAAATGCTATCTGCTTGAACCATTTGAAATTGTCATATATTACCTACCCAAGGATCAGTTTCATGTGCTTCAACATATATATGCATTAGCTTTTGCCATCTGGACATCATCATTTCAAGGGAAGGTGGGGATCTGTTTCCTTCATGTGAAACTGTCCCGATTGTATGTGTGTGTTGTGTGTGTGAGTGTGTATGCAAATATACTCAGTGTAGTGGATGTGGGTATGAAATGAACACTCCTTGGGCAGAACAGATAGAGGTTGATTTCAATTCATCTTCCCCAGCCTTCCCTTTGCTTACTGTATACCAGTCAGGTGTACAGTTAAGAGCATATAGACGCCCACCCTGACTCACACCTGTGTGACCCTGGGCAAATTACCTATCCTCTATGTGCCTCAACTGTCTCACCTCTAAAATGGAATGATACTCACCTCATAGAGTTATGAGGATTAAATTATTTAATATGATTACTTGTCAAATATAGTGCCTGGCTATATTGAAACATGCCTCCTCAGATGGGAGAGGAGCATGGTGACGTTAAGGACATGTAGCAGCCTGAGGGTTGGGGGACAGATGACAAAGGTCACTCCGGCTAGACCAGGCTAGGACATCAGAGATCGTGACTGCTAGTTGGATGCCATGGAAGGGCAGGGCCTGAGCGCCACGGCCCACCTTGACACCCACCTCGCTCCCAGCCCCAGGACCTGCGGAGCTACGTTTTGCAGGGCTCAGTACGAGGCTGCCCGGCCCTGGAGGGCTCCGTAGGTCTCAGCAACAGCGTGTCCCGCTGGGTGCAGGTGATGGTGCTGAGCCGTCCCGGGCCCCTACAGCGTGCACAGGTGCTGGACAAGTTCATTCACGTGGCACAGGTGAGGCCCGCCCCTTGGGGCTGCGAACTCCACTGCACGCAGCCACCTGGTCCTTCCCCTTCCAGACCCTCGACCCCACAGGGTCATCCCGGCGGTGACGTCACGCATCTCCCGGCCCCGCCCCCGAGGCCACAGCCTGGGCATTCCAACCAAGGACCGTAACTTCTTCTTTGGCCTTGATGTCACCGCGTCGCACCCACCGTGGCCCCACCCCTTGGCCCTAGACGTGACAGGCTCCCAAGCCCTATGCCCGAATATTCTATCCCCAGGTCAATGAGAGTGTCTCTTCCATGCCCCCACCTTTGTGGGGCATGGAAGCCCGAGGCTTCAATCCCCAGTCCCCAGGCCCCAGCGGTCGCTTCGGGATTGTGCATCGCTCCCCATTGCGTCCGGGCTCTCCCCGCCCCGCCCCATTGTGTTACGCCCTTCTCTTCCCCTCCCTTCCCCCTCCTTTCCGGACACCTTCTCGCCCTTCTGGGGAAAAGGGAAGCCCTACGGCCCCGCTGTGGCCGCGCCCCCTTGCGTATTTCCACGCAGACCACGCCCTTCCTCTGGTGTCTTCCCTGGCTTGCTTACTCCTGCAGGGCCCCTGAGACCTGGGGGTCTCGACGTCCGCCTGGGGTGTCCTTAGTCTGAGCATTTTCCATTCCTCCCTGGCCCCACTCTCTCCACAGCAACCTCTGCCGAAATTTGTCAAAAGGAGGGCAAGGGAATTCCCCAGCTGCCCTGGTGGCCCCACACCTGTCTAGCATCTGTCTGACTCCTCCATATCTCTCTGGCCCTATTCACCTCTGCCTGGCTCCCAGCTCCTGCCCAGAGCCTGCACCTTCTTGCCTCCCCGCACCTGTGTGACTCTCAGAGCAGTCAGACCCCCAGATGGCTGACACCCTGACATGTCTGAAGCCTCCTCCACCTGACACACACCTGTCTATTCCCCAAATCCGCCCAACTTCTCGTACTTCCTGTCTCCCCAGATTTTCTAACCTCGTATCAGTCAATCACTTGCTTGACCCTCCCGGCTCAGATAGCCATCTGACACCCCTGTGAGGCCCACACATGGCATGTCCCACTCTTGCCGCACACACCCGCCTTCTCTCACCTGTCTGATCCCCACATTGGTCCACACATGCCTGGGACCCCACCTCAACTGGGATGCTGTCATCTGAACTCCTGACTTGCCCTCCCTCCCGTGACGGCCCTGTGTGCATGCTTCTCTTCCTAGAGGCTCCACCAGCTGCAGAATTTCAACACGCTGATGGCAGTCACAGGGGGCCTGTGTCACAGTGCCATCTCCAGACTCAAGGACTCCCATGCCCACCTGAGCCCTGACAGCACCAAGGTGAATCCCACTACCCTCCCCAAAGCTCCAAGTGGTCAGCTGTCTTGAGCCCCCACACCTAATTCCCCAAGCCCTGTCCATTCCTGCCCAGGGGTCCTGGTACCACATGAAGTCCTTGCTCCTCCAAATCCCAGACCCCCAGGCTCTGCCAGCATTCCTCCTCCCTGTCATCCATCCACTCATGGTGCTGATCCCTCTCTGCTTTCAGTGTGTCTGGTCCGGAGCTGGACTGTGAGGGAGACAGATGGGAGACAGGCTAGCAGAGAACTTTGCAGTCCCCATGGGGAGGACTGGCTGAGGTCAGAAAGTGGCAGGAAATTAAGCCGAAGATGCCCTGGGAAGATCCTATAGCGCCTTGTAAGATGGGCTAAGCTAGGGAAGTTTTGAGAGTGATGACACACCCTTGATAAAATCTGGGTTTTTAAGAAATAATTATAGGCTGGGTACAGTGTGGCTCACACTTGTAATCCCAGCGTTTTGGGAGGCCAAGATTGGAGGATCACTTTAGCCCAGGTGTTTCAGACCAGCCTGGGCAACATAGCGAGACCCCATCTCCAGAAATTTTTTTTTTTTTTTTTTTTTTTTTTTGAGACAGAGTCTCGCTCTTGTCGCCCAGGCTGGAGTGCAGTGGTGCAATCTCGGCTCACTGCAACCTCTGCCTCCCGGATTCAGGTAATTCTCCTGCCCCAGCCTCCCGAATAGCTGGGATTACAGGGGTGCACCACCATGCCCTGCTAATTTTGTATTTTTAGTAGAGACAGGGTTTTACCATGTTGGCCAGGCTGGTCTCAAACTCCTGACCTAAGGCGATCCACCCACCTTGGCCTCCAAAAGTGCTGGGATTACAGGTGTGAGCCTCCGCGCCTGGCTGAAAAAAAATTTAAAAATAAATTAGCCAGGGATGGTGGCCCATGCCTGTAGTCCCAGCTACTTGGGAGGCTGAGGGGGAGGACTGCTGGAGCCTCCCCCTCAGCCTTTTCATTGTTGTTTTTTGAGACAGAGTCTCACTCTATCTCCCAGGCTGGAGTACAGTGTCGAAATCTTGGCTCACTGAAGCCTCCACCTCCCAGGTTCAAGCGATTCGCCTGCCTCAGACTCCCGAGTAGCTGGGATTACAGGCCTGCACCACCAGACCCAGTTAATTTTTGTATTTTTAGTAGAGACAGGTTTTTACCATGTTGCCCAGGCTGTTCTCGAACTCCTGACCTCAGATGATCCGCCTGCCTCGGCCTCTCAAAATGCTGGGATTACAGGTGTGAGCCACCGTGCCCAGCCATCAAGCTCAGGAGTTTAAGGCTGCAATGAGCTGTGATCATGACACTGTACTCCAGCCTGGGTGACAGAGTGAGACCCTAGCCTAAAAAATAAATAAATAAAAAGGCCGGTCTTGATGGCTAACGCCTGTAATCCCAACACTTTGGGAGGCCGAGGCAGGCAGATCACCTGAGGTGAGGAGTTTGAGACCAGCCTGGCCAACATGGTAAAACCCTGTCTCTACTAAAAATACAAAATTAGCCTGGCGTGGTGGCTCAATGCCTGTAATCCCAGCTTCTTGGGAGGCTGAGGCAGGAGAATCGCTTGAACCCAGGAGGTGGAGGTGGCAGTAAGCCGAGATCACGCCACTGCACTCTAGCCTGGGCAAGACAGCAAAACTCCATCTCAAAAAAAAAAAAAAAAAAATCAAAAAGAAAGAAAGATAAAAGAAATCATTTTAGCCAAAGAATGGGGGATTGTGGAACTTCTCTGAGATGGGGACCCAAGAGGAAGAGCAGTTTGGGGGAGATGCTGAGACCGGCATGGGATATGGAAGGGCTCCAGAGGTTTCCACAATGCCACTGGGTCCCTGAAGGCCTAGAGCCCACACAGGAGGCTGCTCAGGGGATGGGACTGTCCTGATAACGCCCCAATCCCATGTCCCTCCTCCCCAGGCCCTCCTGGAGCTCACTGAGCTCCTTGCCTCCCACAACAACTACGCCCGCTACCGCCGCACCTGGGCTGGCTGCGCGGGTTTCCGGCTGCCTGTACTGGGCGTGCACCTCAAGGACCTGGTGTCCCTGCATGAGGCACAGCCCGACAGGTTGCCTGACGGCCGCCTGCACCTACCCAAGCTGAACAACCTCTACCTGCGGCTGCAGGAGCTGGTGGCCCTCCAAGGGCAGCATCCACCCTGCAGCGCCAATGAGGATCTGCTGCACCTGCTCACGGTGAGCCCCCCTGGCCCCGCCCAGGCTGGGCTTCCAAGGGTACTGAGATATAGGGTCCTGGGTGTGTGAGTGTCTCCAGGACCAGGATAGAAAAGTGCTGGAGTGCATGGGTTTTGAAGCCAGAACTTCTAGGTTTTTTTCTAGCTGCGTGATCTTGGGCAAGTCACTGAACCCTTAAGCCTCAGTTTCCTTATCCACAAAATGGGAATAATAAAAGGACCCAGCCGGGCGCAGTGGCTCACGCCTGTGATCCCAACACTTTGGGACGCTGAGGTGGGCAGATCACCTGAGGTCAGGAGTTCGAGACCAGCCTGACCAACATGGAGAAACCCCGTCTCTACTAAAAATACAAAATTAGCCAGGAGTGGTGGTGCGTGCCTGTAATCCCAGCTACTTGGGAGGCTGAGGCAGGAGAATTGCTTGAACCCGGGAGGTGGAGGTTGCAGTGAGCTGAGATTGCGCCATTGCGCCATTGCACCCCAGCCTGGGCAAGAAGAGCGAAACTCCTTCTCAAAATAAATAAATAAATAAAAATAAAATAAAATAAAAGGACCCACTTCAGAGGGTGGTTGAGGAGAGACAGCCAATGACATCGTTCAAAGAATGTCTTTAAGACAGTGTCTAGCCGGGCGCAGTGGCTCATGCCTCTAATCCTAGCACTTTGGGAGGCTGAGGTAGGCGGATTGCCTGAGGAGTTTGAGACCAGCCTAGGCAACATGGTGAAACCCCATCTCTACTAAAAATACAAAAAATTAGCCTGGCATAGTGGCACACGCCTGTAATCCCAGCTACTTGGGAGGCTGAGGCATGAGAATCGCTTGAACCTGGGAGGCGGAGGTTGCAGTGAGCCAAGATCGTACCACTACACTCCAGCCTGGGTGACAGAGCAAGACTCTGTCTCAAAAAACGACAGTATATGGAGCAGAGTGAGCTCTGTATTCTATTTAAGTAACATGTTTTTTCCCCACTTCCTCCAATGACTCAAGTATCCATTGATCTGAGCTCTGGAATTGCTTTGGGGTTCACATTCTTAAACTCCAAGGTTCTGAGCTTCTCATGCTGATAGCCCAAAATCTCAAGCTTTGACATATCCAAGAATCTAAGCAAAAGGCTACTAACAGTTATTGATCATTGACTGTGTGCCAGGTACCTCATTCCACCTTACAACCCTATGAGGTCGGGACCCTTACTGTGCCCATTCTGTAGATTGGGAAACTGAGGCCCAGAGAGGTGAGGTCCCTTGCCCACTGTCCCACAGCAGTAATGCCAGGATTTGAACCCAGGAGGGGCTTTGGGAAGAGCCTGCGAGTGGGTGTGGGGGTCTGGGGCAGGGCTATAGATGGGAGGATCCGTAACACCCCTGTCTGCTCCAGCTCTCCCTGGACCTCTTCTACACGGAAGACGAGATCTATGAGCTTTCTTATGCCCGGGAGCCGCGTTGTCCCAAGAGCCTGGTGAGACCCAACCCCTGGCCTCGGACTCCCCCAATTACCTCGAACCCCCCCTAAGCCTATGCAGTGACTAACTGTGCTCCTCTGTCCCCGCCCCAGCCACCCTCCCCCTTCAATGCACCTCTGGTGGTGGAGTGGGCCCCTGGTGTGACACCCAAGCCGGACAGGGTCACACTGGGTCGGCATGTGGAGCAGCTGGTGGAGGTAAGGAGGGGAGGGTGGCCCGGCCGCCAGCAGCCAGGAGGGAAGACATCTGTAGAACCCTGAGCCTGGAGGTGGGGACTTATGGCCATGGGGATCATATTTCGACAACTGGGCCTTATCTGCTTCCCCACACTCCTCTGAAGTCTGTGTTCAAGAATTATGACCCTGAAGGCCGAGGAACAATCTCTCAGGAGGACTTTGAGCGACTCTCGGGCAATTTTCCCTTCGCCTGCCATGGGCTTCACCCACCCCCACGCCAGGGGTAAGTGGTTGTGACTCCTGGATCCTCCGAAGATGAGGACACTGGGGTTGCCTGGACTCCTGGGTCTGGAGGACGTTGGGGCAGGTCATGCTGAGGCTCAGTTTCTGCCCCCAGGAGAGGATCCTTCAGCAGAGAGGAGCTGACAGGGTACCTGCTCCGGGCCAGCGCCATCTGCTCCAAGTTGGGCCTGGCCTTCCTGCACACCTTCCATGAGGTCACCTTCCGAAAGCCTACCTTCTGCGACAGCTGCAGTGGCTTCGTGAGCACCCCACCCCATCACCACCCTTAGGTTCCATCTGTCCTGAAGCCGGCAGTCCGCAAACCCCAGATAACCCCCAAATTCCAGAAATCCTCCAGCTTCAAATCATCCTGTTTCATATAAACCCTAAACACCAGACATTCCCTATATCCTGGATAATCTCCAAATGCCAGATAATCCCAAAATCCCAGATAATGTCCACCCCAGACAATTGCTGAACCATGGATAATACCTAAAACTCTAGATAGGAGGCCAGGAGTGGTGGCTCACGCCTGTAATCCCAGCACTTGGGGAGGCTGAGGTGGGCGGATTGCTTGAGCTCAAGAGTTCAAGACCAGCCTAGGGAACATAGCAAGAGAGACCCCGTCTCTACTAAAAATACAAAAATTAGCTGCATGTGGTGGTGCATACCTGTGATCCCAGCTACTCAGGAGGCTGAGGCACGAGAATTGCTTGAACCCAGGAGGTGGAGGTTGCATGAGCCAAGATCGCAGCACTGCACTCCAGCTTGGGTGACAGAGCGAGATTCTGTCTCAAAAACAACAACAACAACAACAACAACAACAACAACAACAACAACAACAACAAACCTGGATAATCTCCAAACCGGGTAGATTATGTTCAAACAGAATCATCCTCCAAATCTCTAGACTCCAGATCATTCAAACTCTGAATAACTTCCAAATTCAAGAGATCCTCAAACTCTGGCTAGTGGATCAATCTCTCAACCTATAACCCGAGACTAATTCACAAACCTTGGATTACTTCCCACATTCATTTATTCATTCATGAAATATTTACTGAGCACCTCCTGTGTGCCAGGTAATCCTAGGCCCTGGGGTTACAGCAGGAATACAGCAGACAACTCTTGCCCATAGAATTTGCATTTTAGTAACTCTAAATTTTACCTAAATCTAATATCTGAGGTGATTATCTAAACTTGAGATAATCTCCAAGTTTCCTTTATTTATTTTGTTAAGAGATGGGTCTTGCTCTATTACCCAGGCTGGAGTGCCGTGGTACGATCATGGTTCATTGCAGCCTCCAATCCTGAGCTCAAGCGATCCTCCCACCTTGGCCTCCCAACCTCCCACCTTGGCGTCTCAAAGTGCTGGGATTACTGGCATGAGCCACTGTACCCCACCCACATTCCTTTAATTCCAGTTAAATCTCTAGCCTTGAGAATTTCAAAACCTGGGTAGCTTCCACACTTCCACTCCCCAGCTGCCCTGCCAATCCACAGCCCTCCCTCTCCTAGGATGGGTAACCTTTTCTCCTTTCTCTTCCCAGCTCTGGGGTGTCACCAAGCAAGGCTACCGCTGTCGGGGTGAGTGGGGTGTCAGTGAGTGGGAGGGAAGCCTTGGCCCGCAGGCTGGAAGAATGGATGACACAGATCGGACCCCTGCCGCTGCCTTCCCCCAGAGTGCGGGCTGTGTTGCCACAAACACTGCAGAGACCAGGTGAAGGTAGAATGTAAGAAGAGGCCAGGGGCCAAGGGCGATGCAGGACCCCCCGGAGCTCCTGTCCCATCCACACCAGCTCCCCATGCCAGCTGTGGTAAGACCTAGAGCACACCGGTGCTGGGAAGGGGCCTGGGGGAAAGGGGTTGAGTCCAAGGTCAAGAAGAGGTCCTTCCCATCAGACCCACATCCCTTCCATCCACCCACAAACAGGCTCCGAGGAAAATCACTCCTACACGCTATCCCTGGAGCCTGAGACTGGGTGCCAGCTTCGCCATGCCTGGACCCAGACTGAATCCCCACACCCTTCCTGGGAAACAGATACGGTGAGGAGAAACCGCCCCTACCCCCAAGTGGATACAGGGGACACAGGCCATTGGCGTGGGGAAGACTGGACAGATTTGGAGACCCATAGAAAGTACAAATATGCAGAAGTCCTTGACTGCTGGGGTAGGAGGGTATGGATACTGGTTACTTTTTAATATTGATAGAAAAATAGGCTGGGTGTGGTGGCTCATGCTTGTAATCCCAGGACTTCGGGGAGGCTGAGGTGGGAGGATCACTTGAGGTCAGAAGTTCGAGATCAGCCTGGCCAACGTGATAAAACCCTATCTCTACTAAAAATACAAAAATTAGCCAAGTGTGATGGCGGGTGCCTGTAGTCCCAGCTACACGGGAGGCTGAGGCAGGAGAATCACTTGAGCCCGGGAGGCAGAGGCTGTAGTGAGCTGAGATTGTGCCACTGCACACCAGCCTAGGTGACAGAGCAAGACCCTGTCTCAAAAAAAAAAAAAAAAGAAAAATAGAAGTTTCAACATGTTGGGGGTAGGGTGGGGACAATAACCACTAGGAGAACAGAAAAAAGGATTCTAGCCAATAAGATAGCAAGAATAAGGCCAAATATATCAGGAGCTACTGTACGGGTTAATGGAGTAAACGCCACTATTTGAGGGCAGAGACTCTCAGATTGGGTTACAAAAAGGATTCCACAGGGGACGTTCATTCATCCACTTACCAGTCTGGGCAGGGAAGTGTTCCTGGCAGTGAAGCGTCTCCTAGACATCATATGCTCCCCACATCATCTGTCATCTTTCTTCCTCCCTTCCTCCTTCCAGGTCCCCTGCCCGGTGATGGACCCACCATCAACTGCATCCTCCAAGCTGGATTCCTAGACATCTCTTGGTCTCCTCTCTTCCTCACTCCCTTCCCCCAGTCAGTCCTGAGTCCTGCCGTCAGACTCTGGCAGGGCTCCCAGAGGTAGGCCTCCAGAGGCATCCGCCTTCCCATCCACACTGCCTTTAGTGGTACGTCCGTCATCTTTTTCCCTGGAAGTGACTTTCCTCTTTTGCATCCTGGTGGATGCTAATCCTGCTCCCTTTCCCTGCACTTAGTATCTGTGCGGCTGTGTGTTGGATACATTTAGACTCAGGCCTCATTCTACCAACTCCCTACATCTCCATTTCTTTTTTTTTTTGAGACAGAGTCTTGCTCTGTCACCCAGGCTGGAGTGCAATGATGCAATCTCAGCTCACTGCAACTTCCGCCTCCTGGGTTCAAGTGATTCTTCTGCCTCAGCCTCCCAAGTAGCTGGGATTACAGGCACGCGCCACCATGCCCGGCTAATTTTTGTATTTTTAGTAGAGACGGGGTTTCCCCATGTTGGCCAAGATGGTCTCAAACTCCTGACCTCATGATCCACCAGCCTCAGCCTCCCAAAGTGCTGGGAATACAGGCGTGAGCCACCACGCCCAGCTCCTGTTTTTCTGCATAGAATGTGCTCCCTCTGACAGCCTATACTTTTTCCCTCTTTATCTCGTTGAACGTCTGTCTTTCCTCAACAGGAGCATCAACTCCAGGAGAACAGGGATTTCTATCAATGTCATTCACTGCTGCATCCCCAGTGCCTAGAACAGGGCTGGCAGGTGGTAGGCGCCTGACAGATGCTTGTCTGATGCCTGAATGTCTCCTTACCCATGCCCACGGCACAGGATAGATGTGCTATAGGGCAAAGAACTTTGAGGGTCGAGCAGCAGGGGCCCATTCAGTCCCAGGGAGCAGAGACCCCCCCAACCCCTTCACAAACCCCAACACCCCTGACTTGGCCCCCACAGAGAGAGGTCCTACAGCTGTCATAAATTAAATTTATTCTCTGGAGAACATGGTTCTTGGTATTGACGTGAATGGGAGCAGGGCATTTGGGGACTCAGGAATAGGAGATGGGGGGCTTGGGTGCCAAATACCAAGGAAAGCCTTAAACGGACTCCCCAGAGATTACCGATAGCATTAGCATCTCATGGAGGACCCCCCGCCCCCGACCACCAGTCCCCCTTTACTTCTTCTTCTTCTTCTTGCGACCCCAACACTGGGGGCCTCCATCCTCTCTTCGGCTCCTCCAGGTGGGCATGGGAGGCTCCAGCTCATTTGGGCGGCCCCCCCGGTCTGGAACGTTGCCCATAAGCACCTGAGAGTTTATGAGATTTGAGTTGCAGAGAAAAAAAGTATCTTGGACAAGGGGGCCAGAGAGCGAAGGGAACAGCATGAGGCTGAAGAAGAAACAGCAGATGTTGACTATTTGAGTACAGTGGCTGGGGGAGGGGGGACTGAACTGGTGGAAGATACTAGCATGAGCTTTCTTTTTTCTTTTCTTTTTTTTGAGACGGAGTCTCACTCTGTTGCCCAGGCTGGAGTGCAGTGGTGTGATCTCAGCTCACTGCAACCTCCACCTACCGGGTTCAAGAGATTCTCCTGCCTCAGCCTCCCAAGTAGCTGGGACTACAGGTGCGTGCCACCACGCCTGGCTAATTTTTTATATTTTTAGTAGAGACAGGGTTTCACCGTGTTAGCCAGGATGGTCTCGATCTCTTGACCTTGTGATCCGCCCACCTTGGCCTCCCAAAGTGCTGGGATTACAAGCGTGAGCCACTGCACCCAGCCTACTTTTCTTTTCTTTTTTTTTTTTTGAGACAGAGTCGCCTAGGCTCTGTCGCCCAGGCTGGAGCTCAGTGGCGAGAACCCGGCTCACTGCAACCTCTGCTCCTGGGCTCAAGTGATCCACCCACCTCGGGCTCAGTTTTTTTCTTAACTTAAATTTTGCCTCAATAGTTGCTGTGTTAGACTTTATTCCCTAATACTCATTTTACATAAGACTACTTACAGAGGCATGCGGCTAGATACCTAATCACTAAAACAGAGGGTATTTCTGTTTTTTGTTTGTTTGTTTGTTTGAGACAGAGTCTTGCTCTGTCGCCCAGGCTGGAGTGCAGTGGTGCCATCTTGGCTCACTGCAAGCTCCGCCTCCTGGGTTCACGCCATTCTCCTGCCTCAGCCTCCTGAGTAGCTGGGACTACAGGTGTCTGCCACCACGCCCGGCTAATTTTTTTTTTGTATTTTTAGTAGAGATGGGGTTTCACCGTGTTAGCCAGGATGGTCTCGATCTCCTAACCTCGTGATCCGCCTGCCTCGGCCTCCCAAAGTGCTGGGATTACAGGCGTGAGCCACTGTGCCTGGCCTATTTCTGTCTTTGTTTTTTTTTTTTAAATGGTTAAAAGGGTGCGGTTTCTCACACCTGTAATCCCAGCACTTTAGGAGGCCACGGCGGGTAGATCACAAGGTCAGGAGTTCAAGACCAGCCTGACCAATATGGTGAAACCCCGTCACTACTAAAGATACAAAAATTAGCCGGACATGGTGGTGGGTGCCTGTAATCCTAGCTACTCGGTAGGCTGAGGCAGGAGAATCGCTTGAACCCGGGAGGTGGAGGTTGCAGTGAGCCAAGATCAAGCCACTGCATTGCAGCCTGGGTGACAGAGCAAGACTCTGTCTTGAAAAAAAAAAAGGTTAAAAAACAACAAATAGGTAGTGTTTGGTGATAGGGAAGGATTTTAAGCCCAAGCTGGAGAAGTAGCCAGGGACTCAGTAAATAGCTAGACTTTGTTTTCAGATCATTAGGGAGCCACGGAAGCATTCTGAGCTGGGGAGTCCACAGTCAGTTTTTGTGTGAGCGAGGTCCTTCTAGCTGCCATGTCTAGTGGGTGGATTAGAGGTGGTAAGTCTGAAACTTGGACTGGAGCAGAGGCTGAAAGGCCAATCTGAAGGCCAAGGATGCCAGGGCCCTTCCCTACCCCAGATGCCCACCTTGTTGATGGCACAGCAGGTCCCTCTGCGGACAGCCACGCTGGTGGCTGGGACGAGACAAGACAGGTCGGCTCGGGCAGCCAGAACGTGTGCAATGGAGATGTCCGATTCTGGGGTCAGAACCTCTCGAATTGGGATCAGCACTGCCCTCATGGCCTCTCCTTGGGCCTGGAGTGGGGAGGAGGTAAGAGAAGGTACCCTGGAGCCCTTCCCCACGTGGGACCTGTCATCTTGGAAGCATTACTTTACCATTCAAGACCTCACTGCCCACAGCTCAAATAAATATTTATTTTTTGAGACAGGGTCTCGCTGTCACCCAGCCTGGAGTGTGGTGGCGTGATGGTGGCTCACTGCAGCCTCAATCTCCTGGGCTCAAGTGATCCTCCTACCTTAGCCTCCTGAGTAACTGAGATGGACAAGCATGCGCCACCATGCCCAGCTAATTTTTTTTTTTTTAATTTTTAGTAGAGACGGGGGTCTTGCTATGTTGCCCAAGGTGGTCTCAAACTTCTGAGCTCAAGTGATCCTCTTGCCTTGGCCTCCCAAAGTGCTGGGATAACAGGCATGAGCCACTGTGCCTGACTCTGCTCGTATCTCTTAAAGATGGGGTACACTTGGCCAGGCGTGGTGGCTCATGCCTGCAATCCCAGAACCTTGGAAGGCCAAGGCAGGCAGATCACCTGAGGTTGGGAGTTTGAGACCAGCCTAACCAACATGGAGAAACCCTGTCTGTACTAAAAAATACAAAATTAGCCCGGCGTGGTGGTGCATGCCTGAAATCCCAGCTACTCGGGAGGCTGAGGCAAGAAAATCACTTGAACCCAGGAGGCGGAGGTTGCGGTGAGCCAAGATCGCACCATTGCACTCCAGCGTGGCCAACAAAAGCAAAACTCCGTCTCAAAAAATAAAAAATAAAAAAAAAAGGCTGGGTGCAGTGGCTCATGCCTGTAATCCTAGCACTTTGGGAGGCCAAGACAGGCAGATCACAAGGTCAGGAGATCGAGACCATCCTAGCCAACATGGTGAAACCCTGTCTCTACTAAAAATACAAAAATTAGCTGGGCATGGTGGCATGTGCCCGTAATCCCAGCTACTCAGGAGGCTGAGGCAGGAGAATCACTTGAACCCGGGAGTCGGAGGTTGCAGTGAGCTGAGATCGCACCACCACACTCCAGCCTGGCAACAGAGTGAGACCCCGTCTCAAAAAAAAAAAAAAAATGATGGGGTATGCCTCTGAATATACTGCCAGCTCAGAGCTGGGAATTCAACAATACCCTGGGACCCTGAGATTCTAGGAGCCCCAAACCTCAAAAAATTATAAAATGTCCATGGCCTGAGAACCTGCAAGAGGGTGATACTCCTGGCCCTCATTCCTCCTCCCTGCAACTGCAGCCCCCACAACTGGGCCTCTCCAATTCTGCATGGTCCCCTGCCCACCACACCTCTGCCCGGTCACTCCAGTGGAAAGCAGATGTAGTGAGGTCAAGGCGCTTGAGGAGGAGGCAGCGGCGGCAGCGGTACTGATCTCTGAGGCTTTGGGACAGAGACTCCAACGCTTCCTGGGAGAAAAGGTCTCAAGGTCAGGCTAGGGGTCCCTCTCACTGCCACCTCTGATGAGGACACAGTTCACATTCAGTCAGTCGCACACAGTCTTACCCATCTGGGTGCATCTAGCGAGCAGCTGAGGAGGGGCTGCAGGGACCCTGGGGGCAGAGAAGGCTGCAGCTCTGAGATCTGATGGGAGAAGAAGTCAGAGGCCAACTGGGGCAGAGAGGATGGGCCCCTCTGTAAACTCAGCTCCCCACACCCCTGAGGACCTAGGCCACAGATGTGAGAATGCCAGTCACAGCTCCAGAAAAAACAGGCCAGTGGTTGGAATACTCCTTCCAGAAGTGGAGAGAGGACCCCCACCCCCACAAGGAAAGTGGGGTAGCCCAGGTCGGGAGGGGACTCTGACTCTCTACCTTAGCATGCAACTCCTGCAGCAGCTGGCTGGCGGGGGTCCCTGGTGCAGGTCTGGGCAGCCCCAGGGCTTGGAGGGTAAGGTCCAGTTCTTGGACCATGCCGGCTCCCTCCACTACCCCTTCACCAAGGGGTGGCCTAGGACTCGGATCCAGCAGAGAGCGGAGGCACAGGAGGCGGGTGGCTTGGAGCTCTGAGCAGAGAAAGCCTGAAAGTAATAAATGGGTGCTGTGCACTCAGGGAGGCTGCTACCCACTCATCCATCTTGGTCAAAAAGCTCCACTGATGGCCGGGTGCGGTGGCTCACACCTGTAATCCCAGCACTTTGGGAGGCAGAGGCGGGCGGATCACGAGGTCAGGAGATGGAGACCAGCCTGGCCAACATGGTGAAACTGTGTCTCTACTAAAAATACAAAAATTAGCAGGACATAGTGGTGAGTGCTTGTAATCCCAGCTACTCGGGAGGCTGAAGCAGGAAAATCGCTTGAACCAGGAAGTTGGAGGTTGCAGTGAGCTGAGATCATGTCACTGTACTCCAGCCTGGCAACAGGGCGAGACTCCATTTCAAAAAAAAAAGAGGCTCCACCGGCTTTAAAACCTCCACCTTTGCCCAGGCACAGTGGCTCATGCCTGTAGCCTGTAATCCCAACACCTTGGGAGGCTGAGGTGGGAGGATCGCTTGAAGCCAGGAGTTGAAGACCAGACAGGGCAACATAGGGAGACCCCACCTCCACTTAAAAACAAAACAAAACAAAATCCTCCACCTTCTAGTCCCCCCCACCTAAAGCCTTCCAGAGTAAGCCCCACCTTGAGACCCTGTCCCCTCCTACGAATTCCACTCCTGCCCACTTTGAAACCTCAAGCCTTCCTCCTAATCCAACCCACTTGAGCTCCTAGGCCCTCCAATTAAAATTCTAACCCCGGGCCGGGCGTGGTGGGCTCACGCCTGTAATCCCAACACTTTGGGAGGCCGAGGTGGACAGATCACCTGGGGTCAGGAGTTCGAGACCTGCCTGGCTAACATGGTGAAACCCCGTTTCTACTAAAAATAGCCGAGTGTGGTGTCGCGCGCCTGTAATCCCAGCTACTCGGGAGGCTGAGGCAAGAGAATCACTTGAACCTGGGAGGTGGAGGTTGCAGTGAGCCGAGATCACGCCACTGCACTCCAGCTTGGGTAACAAGAGTGAAACTCCATCTCAAAAATAATAATAATAAAATAAATAAAAAATAAAACGAAATTCTACCCCCGCCCATTTTAGAGCGCTCTGCTTGCCCCAACATGCTCACCCCACCCACCTCGTACCCTCTGGGCCGCCCCAAAGTTCTGACCACACCCCTTGGGAACCTCGATTTCCCCTAAAAAGTCAGAGCCCGCCGCTCCGGAGGCCATGGCCTTGCCACTTCTGCATCCCGGGACTCACGCAGCAGGCGCAGTCCGGCACCGGGTTCCCGAAGCGCAGCCGCGCCATCCCCGCCGCAGAGCGCGCGATCCGGGCAGTGCAGCTCCCGCAGCAGGCTGCCGAGCTGCCGCAGAAAGTCCTCCTCCGCGCCAGGGCCTGCGAGGACAGGGGTGTCAGGGCTCGGTGGCCCCGTGGCGGCCCCCCTGCCACCCTCCCGCTCCGTGTTTACCGTCGCCGGCGCTCAGCACCTCCGCGCCCGCCTCTCGCTGCTGCTCGAGGGCGCCCAGCGTCGCCAGCTCCGCCGCCAGCCGCACGCACAGCCCCCTGAAGTCTGGGCATGAGGCGCCCCGCGACGCCGCCCCCGGGACACCTCCATACCTGTGGGGACCGAGGCAGCGGGAGGGGGCGGGGATGTCACTGGGAATC
The DNA here is from genome assembly GCF_000001405.40 of Homo sapiens. Taxonomy (NCBI): domain Eukaryota; kingdom Metazoa; phylum Chordata; class Mammalia; order Primates; family Hominidae; genus Homo; species Homo sapiens. The sequence continues at coordinate 38,403,289 of NC_000019.10, read as the reverse complement.
CCTTTTCGTCCGCGTCCAGGGGGCAGACCTGGCCTTCCTGCACCCACCAGCCTCACCGCACACCCTTTTACCCCAGAGCCAGCAGGTCCTGGGCCACCGCGGCCCCCTCCCACGCTTCCGCCTTCACCGCCTCCATGAAAGTGTGGTCTCGGCGCGCCCCCTGGCGGCCGGTGGCAGGCTCCGCCCCAAAAGCGCCGCGCGCACGAGCTCCCCGCAGCGTCCGGCGGCACTGACCAATCGGCATCTTCCCGCGCAGGGGCTTGGGTGCTCCCATTGGCGCAGGAGGACGCCGAACCCGCCCCGGGGCCCGCCCGCCCCGCCCCTCGGCTAACCTGTCGGGGTTGTAGGAACGCCCCCTGGAGCTGTAAATTGCAGTGCGTTCGGGATCTCCGCTGTCAAGACAAGCTGGCGGCGGGTGTCACTGTTGCGGCGACATAAAAACAACTTCGGTGCCATTTTCCTTTTCCTCCCTCAGTTGTCTTCTGCTGGTGTTTTGTTGGTTTGTTTTTGAGGCAGATTTCGCTCTATCGTTCAGGCTGGACTGCAGTGGCGCCATCGCGGCTCACTGCAGTCTCGACCTTCTGGGCTCAAGAGATCCTCCCGCCTCAGCCTCCCAGCTAAATTTTTAAAAATCAGTCAGCCTTGGTGGCTTACACCTAGTAGCTGGGACCACAGGCGCAGACCACCGCGCCTGGCTGATTTGTTTTTAATTTTTTTGTAGAGACAAGGTTTCCTCATGTTGCCCAGCCTGGTTTCCAACTGCTGGGTTCAAGCGATCCGCCTGCCTCGGCCTCCCAAAGTGCTGGAATTACAGGCGTGAGCCACTGCAACCGGCCAATTTTTTTTTTTTTTTAAAGTTTTGTAGAGGCCGGGCACGGTGGCTCACGCATGTAATCCCAGCACTTTGGGAGGCTGAGGTGGGTGGATCACTTGAGGTCAGGAGTTCGAGACCAGCCTGGGCACATGGTGAAACCTCATCTCTAATAAAAATACAAAAATTAGCCGGGCGTGGTGGCACACGCCTGTAGTCACCACTATTTGGGAGGCTGAGGCAGGAGAATTGCTTGAGCCCGGGAGACACAGACTGCAGTGAGCCAAGATCGCGCCACTGCACTCCAGCCTGGGGACAGAGCAAGACTCCGTGTCAAAAAAGAAATAAAGTTTTGTAGAGAGGGGTCTAGCTATGTCGCCCAGGTTTGCCTCTAACTCCAGTGTTCAAGCAATCCTTCCCTCTCAGCCTTCCAAAGCTTGGGATTACAGGCTTGAGCCAGTGTTCCTGGCCCTGTCCTCTGCTCTTAAAGCAGCCCAGACGGAGTGGTGTTCACCCAACTCTGCCTAAAATCCAAAACTTCCTCCCTCCTTTCCACCTCAGGGTTTGAATTACATAAGGGACCCAGGAATCCCAGCACACCCCTCACACACCAGGCCCTCCTCATCGATCACGATGTGCCTGTTAGGCCTTCACTCCTCTCCCTCTTAGGCCTTGGAGTGAGCAGGTGCAATGCACCATAGTGGTTAAGAGATTACACCCTAGGAATCAGGCAAAGGGTTAGGGCTTGATTCTGTTACTCGCCAGCTCCATGTTCCTGCCAAATTGCTTCCCATCTGTATAATGGGGATAATAGTACCTACCTCTTAGAGTTGTTGCTGAGGATTAATTAGAGTTTCATATGTAAAAAGTGCTTAGCAGATATATAGGGAGTACTTAATAAGGAATAACTAATATATATACAGCATTTAATGTGTACTATTGGGCGAAGTATCTTATCTCTTTTACAGAAGAGAAAACTAAGGTTGAGAGAAGATAAGTCACAGAGTGAATTCATGGTGATGCCAAGGCTTGAAGATGAAATTCCAGACTCTATACTCTTAAACCACGGAACCTATTTCCACTGTTACTACTGCTGTTGTTTTGTTGCTGTTGCTAAGTAAACATTGTGTCAGATCTAATCTCTTCCTTACTGTATCCTGGTATCCAGTAGTTCCTAGACAATTCTGCTGGAAGTTGGGGGTGGACCAGGAGCCTGGAGGGAAGAACAGGGGTAGAACTTGTTCCTTAAGGGCAGATACGAGTAACCCCATAACCCTGTTTACCCCAAGGCAGGACACTTGGGGGGCTATTTTTTGACATAAATCAAATGTTAAAAATTGCCCAGAGGTGGGCCACAGTGGCTCACACCTGTAATCCCCGCCTTTCAGGAGGCTGAGGTGGGAGGATCGCTTGAGCCCAGGAGTTTAAGACCAGACCAGGCACCATAGTGAGAACATGTCTCTACAAAAACATTTTTAAAATTAGCCAGGCTTGGTGGTGTGCACCTGTAATCCCAGCTACTCGGGATGCTGAGGTGGGGGGATCACTTGGGCTCATGAGTTTGAGGCTGCAATGAGCAGTGATCATGCCACTGCACTCCAGCCTGGGTGATGAACTCAATTTAAAACAAAAAAAAAAATTGCTCCAGCCAAAAACCTGGACTTACTATCTTGACTCCTCTATCTCAAATCCCATACATAAATCTGTGGGTTCTATTTACAAAGTAGGCCCAACACCTGCCCACTTCTCCACCCTTCAGGGCCCTCACCCTGGGCCTGTCCGCTGCTGTCTTGTCCTGAACCATCACAGCAGCCTCCTCTCTGTGAAGCTGTCCCCCACCCCACTCCTACTCTGCTGACCACATGCAGCAGAAGGAGCCTGTGAACTGAGTCAGGTCACATGCCTCCCATGTTTGAAATTTCCTGTGGCTCCGTCTCACTCAGGGTAAAAACCTAAGTCCATTCAATGCCCTTCAAGGCCTGACAGATCTGCCCCATCGCCTCTCTGCCCTCATCTCCTAGCGCTCTCTTCTCTGCTTCCTCCCCTCTCAACACTCTAGCTCCCTGAAGCTCCTCAGACTTACCGGACACACTCCTGTCTCAGGGCCTTGCACTGGCTGTTCCCTTTACTTAAAATACCCTTCCCTGCAGACATCCCCAGAACTCCCTCACCTCCGTCAGGGCTTTGTTCAAATGCCAGCTCCTGGCTAGGCACAGTGGCTCACACCTGTAATCACTTGGGAGATTTCCACCTGGAATCACTTGGGAGACCAAGGCAGGTGGATCACTTGAGGTCAGGAATTCGAGACCAGCCTGGCCAAAATGGTGAAACCCTGACTCCACTAAAAATACAAAAATTAGCCGGGCGTTGTGGCACCCACCTGCAGTCCCAGCTACTCAGGAGCCTGAGGCAGGAGAATCACTTGAACCCAGGAGGCAGAGGCTGCAGTGAGCAGAGATCATGCCACTGCACTCCAGCTTGGGTGACCGAGTCAGACTCTGTCTCAAAACAACAAATGCCAACTCCTGAGGAGGGTCTAACCTGGCCACTCTAGCTAAAATGGCATGTATCCCCCATTCCCACTTTTTTTTTTCTTTCTGCTTTCTATCATTTCTAACATATTAAGTCATTTACTTATTGTCTCCCCTACTATAAAGCTCATAAGCTCTTTGCAGGAGGGACTTTTGTCTGTTCTGCCCACTGCTTTATCTCCAGTGCTTTCAACAGGGCTTGGCACATAATTAGGTGCTCAATAAATGCATTTGTTGAGTGTCTTATAAAACTCAGCTTGAGGGTCTGATGGGAGAAGGGAGAATTTAAGTAGGAGACTGGTTTAGCAGTTCAGGAAGGTGAGTGGGTGGGGTGCACAGAGGCAAATAAATAACACAGGCTGAGACTTTGTCACAGACATTTCTTGGAGCAGATCTCGTGCCCCCTCCCCCGATGACAAGGCTGGGTCTTTGGCCCCCATCCTCCCCCACCACTTCAGCCTGCACTGACACTAACAATATTGAGGTCACAGACTGGCTTAGAAACAAGATCAGGAAGATATATGTTGGGGTGCCTCCCCCAAATCTGGGGGCCAAGCATCCGATCTGAGGGGCAAGCGGCTGGGAAATTGGGCCTGGGGGCTCCAGGGTCTGAGGTCTGCCTGGCTCCCAGGGCGGCCCTCCATGTACCCCTGATTTGGGGGCAATGAAGGGGAATCATGGATCAGAGGTGGGTCTCAGCAGGGAGCAGGACTGGGGGACCTGGGAGAGGCGCTGCTGGGAAGTGGCGGCCAGGGGACCTTTCCTTAGCCCCCACCGCTTCATCTGCAGATCCCACAGCACCGTACAGCACTCTGGTCCCCCGTCCCACCCCTCCCCAAAACGAGGTAGGTTAAGAATGGAGCTTCCCCCCCGCCCACCATGGAAGGGGGGAGACCGAGGCACAGAGAGGGGCATGGGGACCCAGGCTGCCCCAGCCCCCAATCCCTCCGCCCTCAGCTCTGGTGGGTCTGACAGTGATGAGAGCTGGGCAGAGTGGGGAGGGGAGAGACACCCCCGCTTTTCTCTCACCCATCCCAGGGTCTGGTTGGGAGTGCTGAATCTCACAGGTTCCGGATGTAATAAATAGTTAATAATTTAAAGGAAGAGACAGAGGACCTATCCCTTGAACCCCAACAAGGCCATCCAAGTCTGGGTAATGAAGAAAGGTTAAGTGCACAGTTCCAGATGCTTGGGGCCAGATGCAGGTCCCAAGCCCATACAACATTGAGACTGTCTTGCTCCAAGACCTTGAGGCCCCCATACAGGACACCAGATCTTCGATCCACTGGAAGCCCCATTTCACTTGGGGGAAAAAAGCCTGTGGCACCCCCCTTTGCACAGAAGAGACTCAGTGGGCCATGAAACAGGCTTTCAAACTTCCTGAAGCAACTTCTCACTCTAAAGTGGAAGAGAGCCAGGTGCAGTGGCTCATGCCTGTAATCCCAGCACTTTGGGAGGCTGAGGCAGGTGGATCATGAGGTCAGGAGTTTGAGACCATCCTGGCCAACATGGTGAAACCCTGTCTCTACTCAAAATACAAAAAATTAGCTGGGTGTGGTGGCACATGCCTGTTATCCCAGCTACTCGGGAGGCTGAGGCAGACGAATGGCTTGAACCCGGGAGGGGGAGGTTGTGGTGAGCCGAGATTGTGCCACTGCACTCCAGCCTGGGTGATACAGCGAGACTCTGTCTCAAAATAAATAAATAAATAAATAAATAAATAGGAAGAGAAGGGGTTAATGGAGGGGGAGAACATAAAAGGTGGGACTTGAACCTGGACTAGGAATTAAGGTTGTGCTTGAAGGAAGGTCTGCAAGACTGGGGGCTGTGGGACAGCAGAGCCATAACTAGCCTGAAAGTTTCCATTGCACACACTTCTTCTGAGGGCACAGTGTGGCCAGCAGACTGGTGTGACTTCCAGCTCCTCGAAACCCTGGGCTGTGTGCCTTCACTTAATGAAGACCCTGCATAATCATCTGTGACAATGCTGGGTCCTAGACGTGACAGTGAGGGAGCTCCTACTTGGTCCTTTTTTTTTTTTTTTAGAGACGGTCTCACTACATTGCCCAGGCTGGTCTCAAACTCCTGGCCTTAAGCGATCCTCCTCCCTTGGCCTCCCAAAGTGCTGGGATTACAAGGCATGAGCCACTGTGCCCCACCCTGGGTGGTCCTACAATGAGTTCCAAATGGTAGGGATCCCACCCTAAGATAAAGGGGTAATTCTGAGGATTGCTGGGGGCTTGGGCTGGGATCCTTGGGACCAGAATTCCAGAGGCTGGAACCTTGGGGTTTTAGGGGCCTATGGATGACAGGATTCAAGGGGCAGCAGGTCTCTGAGGTCCGACAAGTGGGGATGGGGGAATCAGGTGTAGAGGCAACTTGGGGTTCATCAGACTAGAGAGGTTTGAATCCAAAGAAATCTGGGGTCTGAGGGTGCTGGGGTCTTGGGGCACCTCGAATCTGAACGCCTCTGGTATGGAGGGATGAAGGTCTTGGATCAGGAACAATCCCAATGTTGTAGGGTCTTGAGCCTTGCATTTGGGGGTCAGTGGCACCTTTGGGGTATTGGATCCAGTGCTCCTAAAGTACCTTAGGGTCACTCAAGGGCTGAGGGCCAAGGGCATCAGAGGTCTGGGTCACCATGAGCATCCCCTCTTCTGGGAGCTGGACTCCCAGCCCTTAAGGGGTTGGGAATCTGTGGGTAGAAAGAAGCTGAAGATTCCAGGACATTTGGGGTCTCAAAATCCAGGTCCAGGAGGGACTGCAAGAGAGGGCTATTTGAGAACTCGAGACCAGTATCTCGGGTCCTGAGGTGTTGGTGGCCTTCAGTCGCACATCTGAGGACCCCAGGCACCTCTGAGTCCTATAAATGATATCCAAAGCTCCTGAGAACCCTGGCTTGGGGGTGGGTGGACCTATGGAGGTCTTTGATCCCTGGCTTCCAGAGCATCTTGGTGTCTGATATCTGGATCTTGGGGGCTCTGGGATGGGTCTCCCAAGTCATTTTGGTAAGAGAACAGCTCGTGTTTCAGTATATCCGAGCACTCAGTGCATCTTAAGAGTCTGGGGTCCCAGGGTGTCTGGGAGTTCCCTGGACATCTTAGACTTCAGTGTTCCCGGACTGGAGGCCAGGTCTGTGGGCACTAAGTCGTGGGTAGATTTGAGGGGCAGCATCTGGAGATTCCAGAGCATAACAGAGTTTCAAACTCTGTTTGAAACTTTCTCAGGGGTCCTGCTGTCTCAGGGGTCCTGGGACTATGAGAATGTCTCAGATGTGGGGGCACCAGGTCTTAGGTGAATATTCAGGAACTGTTTGTGGGTGACTCCAGGTCCTATGGTCTCAAGATCTGATCTGGGAGTTGAATAAAGGCAGAGCCAGTTATGGGCAAGTCCTGACTAATTGTGGGGCTGTAATCTGAGGGACATGGTGCCAGGCGTGACCGGGTTCTAGGTTGTTCATTTCAACAGGGACCTGCCCTTTTCGGGATCTATGTGCTCCCTGGCCTTTCTGAGATGCAAAGTATGGGGACGCCTGGAGCCTCCTCGTGGGGTGTGGGGGTGGGGGAACGCCAGAACTCAGGACGCCTGGGACTTCTTAGACAGACACCCCAATGAAGCTGGGGCTGGGGTCTCTCAGTCCTAGGTTTGGGTTCCAGGTTCCAGGTCTGAGATCTCTCAATCCAAACTCAAGCTCCAAGTTCCGGATGTGCCTAGGTTTGGGTTTTAGGTCCGAACGGAGTCCGGGGTCCTGGACCCTCAATTTTGGGTCCTCGGGCCGGCTAGGGGACCCACCAGGCCGTCCTCACCGCGCAGCCTCCTCGTGGCGACCCCCGCAGCCGGCGCAGCCGCATCGCGCTGCGACCCAGTGGCACGCGCGCAGGGGCGCGTAGCAGCAGAGGCAGGGCACTGCCAGGGAGAGCGCGGCCAGCGCGGCCCAGCGCGCGGCGGGGCGCGGGTGGCCCGGCTCGCAGGCGCACGGGTCCGAGAAGTCGCCCTCGGCGTCCGACAGGCAGTGGTAGAGCAAGCTCTCGGCGCACCACAGGCAGCTTAGACGGCGCACCAGGAGGCGACCCGGGTCCGGGGCCTCTGCGCAGCGGCCGCCACGCCCGTCTGCTCTGCGACGGAAGAGCGCGCGGCAATGCACGCAGCGCGCTGCCTCCTCCGCTTCCGGGGAGGCCTTGGCAGGCGCAGAGGATGGGCCCGGGCCGGGGGGTGGGCGAGCGGGGGGCGCTGGGGGCGCAGCCTCGGTCAAAGGGGCAGGTAGTGCCGCTGGGGGACCCAGGGCAGCGCCCCTCAACGCGCCGGTCTTGGCGAAGCGCACGACGCAGGTGGACAGGGCGAGGGGCGCGGGTGGCCCGGAGCGCCGGTAATCCTCGTAGCCGCGGCCGCCCCACCCCAGGCCCCCTGCCCCTGCCAGGGGCTCTGAGGGTTCCGGAATCCCCGTGAACGGTAGAAGCGGAGGGTAGCTCTGCGGAACGAAGGGACAAACAGATCAGAATCCATCCCAGTCTTAGCCTCAAGGATCCAGTTCCCTAGCGCACTCTTGGGTCTGGGATTCAGATTTTCAAGACCCCAGCTTGCTTCTCTCCCAAGGTCCCTCAATCCCCACTTTTCTCCAGGGACAGACAGAGGAATCCACGCACCAACCCCACACCTTTAAGGACCCAGAGGCCGAAGGTTCCTAGTCCTGTCCTCTCTTAAGATCCAAGAGCCCCAGCTCCCAGCCCCCTCTACCTTGAGATCCAGGGGTTCTGGACCCAGCCACCTCCTCCTTAAAGGCGCAGGAGTTTGGTTCCTGGGCCTCTTTTACCCTTCTGGGTACCGACTCTCCCACCCTCCCCGTGAATTTAACAGTCCTCTTCCAGGAGTTCCCCAAATATACACTCTGAAAATGGTCCTAAACCTCTCTGGACTTCGAAACCCCTCAAAATCTCCAAGAGCGCAAGGAGACTCGGGAGGCCCGCACCCAAGCCTCCTAGAAACCCAGGCCTCCAAGCCTCTCCCTATTTCCCCGCCGCTTTCTCCCAGTCCGGCCCAGTTATCAGGTCAGCCATCCCCTGGAATCTGTGTTCCCCACCTCCCCGGGCCATGGCTCCCGCTCCCTTCGGGCCCCGAGTGCACCGCCCCATTCCCCCAGGAGCCCCAGGCTCCCAGGTCGCACCTGAGCGGAGGAGCGGCGGCGCTGGGGGGGCGTGGTCGGCCCGAAGCCTGAAGCTGACTCCATCGTGATGATGGGGGCCGCAGCGGCGCTGGGAGGAGTCTCCTGGCGGCTGTGACTGGAGGAGGAGTCGCTGTCCACGTGGGACTGGAGGAGATTGGCGGCCTCAGCGCGGGGACACGCCCCCGCACAGCCGATGCCCTCACATAGACCCCCTCCCATTGAGAGCGAGGGCTCTGCGGCCAGGAAGGCCTGGGTTCAAACCCCGGCTCTGTCACTGACTGGTTGTGTGACCTCCGGCAAGTGAGCTCACCTCTTTGAGCCTCAGTTTCCTCCTCTGTAAAACGGGGATCCTAAGAGTACCTATTCATAAGGATGCGGTTAGGGCCACTGTCAAGGGCACAGCATATGCCTGAAGTACTGGGAGAGCTGGAAATGGTTATTGTTATTTTTGTGGGACTCTTCTCCTGATCTAATCAGCTCGCCAAACCTGAGGAACATCTAATCGTCTTCCCGCTTCTCAGAATCCCTCTCCCCTGGGCAGCCAGCTGCCTTCCTCTCTCACTCCCAGCCCCACACTGTTATTGGGGCAGTCCCGCCCACTCCGAGTGCTCCCCTTCCCATGCAAACCAGCCTCTGTTCTGAAACTAGCTGAAACGACTTCTCAGACCCTTAGCTTCCTTTCTGCCACTTGGACATAACTCCTACCTTATCTGCACACTGCCTTCAATAGACATTCATTGAGCACCCACGACGTGCCAGACTCACGAAGACCACTGTGCAGATTCCAGAGGGGGCCTGGACAGCAGAGCATCTTTCCCGGGTAAGTGCTCCATGGATGGGAACTGTCTGCAACTGTTGTGGCCCCACTTCATCTCCCATGACCCTGGAACCCTCCCCTTTTCTGCCCAGGGAATCAGTTTTGTTCCTCCAGGTGTTTTAGGCAACTCCCAAGGTTTCCAGCAAGTGCCAAATTGCACCCGATATTATGTGCATTCATTCATTCCGTTTATTCAACACATATTTACTAAACACTTACTGTGTGCCAGGCACTGTTTCAGGCATTGGAGACACAGCAAGAAACGAACAAAAGATCCTTGCCGGCCTGGAGCTGACATTCTAGCATGGGAGATAGACCGTAAACTAATAGATAAGAAAATAGGCCGGGAAATACACCTGTAATCCCAGCAATTTGGGAGGCCAAAGCGGGCAGATCACAAGGTCAGGAGTTTGAGATCAGCCTGACCAACATAGTGAAATCCCGTCTCTACTAAAAATACAAAAAAAATAGCTGGGTGCCTGTAATCCCAGCTGTTTGGGAGACTGAGGCAGAAGAATCCCTTGAACCTGGGAGGTGGAGGTTGCAGTGAGCCAAGATCGTGCCCCTGCACTCCAGCCTGGGCAACAGTGCAAGATTCCGTCTCAAAAAAAAAAAAAAAAAAAAAGATAATAGTATTTTCAGAAAGGAAATAAGGAAAATGCCTTAGAACATGGGAAAAATTTAGCACTAGACAAGGGGCATTGGCAGATTGCAATTTTAAATGGAATACTTAAGTTTAAATACTCAGGGAGGCCCTCCCTGAGAAGATGATATTTGTATAAAGCCTTGAAAGAAACAAGGGAATGAGCCACAAGGAAATCTGGGAAAGAGTGTTCCAGGCAACAGCCAGTGCAAAGGCGCTGGGGCAGGGCTGTGCCTGCCACGTTAGAATAAGAGTGAAGAGGCCATGTGGCCGAAGCCGAGTAAGTGAGGGGGCCAGACACACAGGGCCACATGGCATGGGATCTCATATGCCACTGTAAGGACTTTGTCCTTTACTTGAGTGAGTTGGAGCCCTGGGAGGCTTCTGAGTGTGGGAGGGGCATGATCTGACTCAGCCGTTGATAGGGATCCTCTGGCTATGTGTGGGGGCAGGAGGGAAGGAGTTGACAGTGAGAAGCTATTGAGATGGTCCAGTTGGGAGATGAGTTTGGATGGTACCAGGTTGGAGGCAGATTGTGATGATTTGGAAAGTAGAACCAATATTTGCTGACAGATGAGATGAGACGCATAAAAGATAAGGAGTCAGGGATGACTCCAAGATTTAGAGCCTGAGTAACTGGAAGCATGGGGTTGTCAATAATTTGTTCATCCATTTACTTTCAATATTTATTCATTTTTATTGTTTATATATATATTTTTTTTAATTTTCTGCCTTTCCACACTAGAATAGAAGCTCCAGGAGGAAAGGAACTTTTTGTTCACTGATGTAACCCAGTGCCTAAAGCACTGCCTGGTATACAGAAGGTACACAATAAGGACCCTTGAATGAACGTGTGAATCATGACAGGGCAGAAAGACTAGAATAACTGGGATTGAATTGACACTCATAGTTCCGGCCCAATTTTGTGTACCCGGTGTGTGGCATGGTGCCTGCTACACAGTAGGTGCTCAAGAATGTTCATAGAATAAAAACAAAACCCCTACCCTCCCCCAGCAGAGAGGCATCCTGGACACTCACCGTCAGAGGGCAGGGGGTCTCTGCAGTATCCTGGGAAGGAGAGGAGGAGGAGGAGGAGGAGGAGGGGGTGAGTGAGCCTGGGGCAGGGAGAGAGGCAGAGAGTGAGTTCCTTGAGCCCAGCTTCTCCTCCCGCTCCCAGGCCAGCCCACAGTGCACATCACCTGGGCTGCTCACCTCGACCCAGTGCGGCCAGCGCAGCCAGCAGGCTCTTCTGGAACTCATCAGCCTCTGCAGGGCTCTGAAACGTCAGTCCAAACTTGCAGTCACCCAGGCTCCAGTGGTGAAAGATGGGATTCACCTTGTTGTAAACCAAGCCTGGCTTCAGTGTACACTCCAAGGTTGTCTGAGGGGCAGAAGGAAAGCAGGGTCAGATACCCCAACCCAGACATGCCTGTGACGTCTCGTCCATCACCAGCCCCCATGCATACCCTAGTGTCTTCTCACAAACCTCATTTCCCAACCCTAAGTGTAACCCTGAACTCTGATCAACACTGATACGACTCCCCAGTTTTACTTGTTTTGTTTTTTGAAACAGTCTTACTCTGTCACCCAGGCTGGAGTGCAGTGGTGTGATCAGGGCTCACTACGGAATCAACCTCCCAGTCTCAAGTGATCCTCCTGCCTCAGCCTCCCAAAGTGCTGGGATTACAGGCATGAACCCCCACACCCAGCTACGCCCAATTTTACTGAACACACCTCTGATGCTCAAATATTTTCCCAACCCCTTGATCCCTACATTTTCCTAATACCTCCCTCTGATGCCCCTGTAGAAACCCCGAATCTTGCTGAATGGCCCAAAACATTGTTAACCCCTTTCTGATAACCCAACATCCCCCCTCTGGCTCAACAATACTTCCCAGACTTTACTGAACATCTCACAATATTATTGTGAATCCTCTTCTGATAATAATCTCTGGAAACTTTACCCAAAAAATATTCTCTCTCTCTTTTTTTTTTTTTTTTTCCAGATGAGCTCTCTCTGTGTTGCTCAGGCTGGTCTCAAACTCTGGACTCAAGCATTCCTCCGGCCTCAGACTCATGAGTGGCTGGGATTATAGGCACTGTACCCAGCCAGCACTTACTCCAAAACAGTCTTATCAGACTTCCACAGATTCCCCTTCAGATGCTAGCCAACACCCTATTGATGTTCCCTCAAATCCTTGCCTAGTATCACCATATTCCTTCACTCCATTTCAAATCCCTCCACTGACTCCTGCTCCAAAAAAAAAACCTTTCCCCCAAGCCTTTCACACAATCCATATCTTTCTACTACATCCCTAGCTGAAACTGATTCAACACTGTCCCTCCACATTGTGCCCGACAGCCCAGTTATTCCTGATGAACCCATGTATAGAATTGTCAACCATCTCTGACACTTTCAAATGGACCCCAGCAAATGCTTCACTATACTTAGGGCAGACAGGGGCCAGGTGGTGTAGGGCCTCGTGGCAAGGATCTCTGAGCAAGATGGAGGGTTTTGAGCAGAGGAGGGACATGGTGTGAGTCGGGGCGGGGGGGGGGGGGCAGTGCCCCCTGTGGAACAGCCTGGGGTTGGAGCGGGGAGGAGGAGCAGTACAGGGAGACAGCGAGGATAGTCTGGCTGGAAGTGGCAGTGGACAGGACCCTCCAAACACCCCATGTATCCTGCAATTCCCAACTCTTATCTACAGGACAGATATTCACTCCCAAACTTCACACCCCAGCTTGATTCCTAGGCTGGGAGGCAACCTGACCTCTGCTCCACATGCCAGCCCCTCTCCCCTCCCTCCCCAGGTCCCTACCCTCCCCGCATGCCCCAGGGTGGCTCACTTTCTGGTCCCGGAGGCGTTCCCCGTGGATGACGTAGTGCCCCTGGCGGGCCCCCCCCTCGGGCCTGGCCCCTCGGACCCGACACACGCTCACCTGGCTGAGGCCCCCGCCCCCCACAGGCAGCCAGCCCCCACTGGAGTCATCTCGGGCCATCACCACAGCTCGGACCCGCACCATGTACCTGCAGGAGGTGGGGGGAAGGACAGGGACAACACAGTCATGAGCTCAAACCCTGCTCTCCCATGGAATGTTCCCTCAACCCTCATCTCCCCTCCAACTTCATCTCTCACGTCCAGGTCCACTGCACCCTAAGCTAGCAATACCCACCTTCAACCCCATGGCCACCGTCTTCCACACAGCTCCTTTCTTCCTCATGCCATCTCTTCTCTCTCACCTCTATCTTCTTCTCCATGTCTGCCCTTTCTCTCTGTACCCACCTTTCCCCCATCTCTCCGTCCCCACCCCCATAGCCCTGGTGTTGCCCTTCCCTCCCCCTCCTGCTTATCCCTATCACCCCCTTCTCCTCCCTCAGCACATACCCACAGCCCCACCCAGTGCTCCCCCTCACAGCTGGGTGCCTGCGCATATATATTTTCTCTGGGCCCATCAACTCAGCTCCTGTTCTCCCAACCCTGCCTCCGCACCCTGTCGTCCAGGCCACAGGCTGGGTGAGAAACCCAGGCTCTTTCCCCCCCACCCACCCCTTCCCGGATTTATGAATGAGACCGGATGCAAAGCTCACTGAGTCACCCAGCAACGGGAGATGGGCAGGGAACAGGGAGAGAACCAGAAATGGCCAGAAAGAGAGGCTCAGAGGGAGACGGAGGCAGAGGAAGTCAGAAACGGGCGACCGAAGACACATCCAGAGAGCATTTCATTCACAAAAATCAAGGCTGCTCCCCCAGGCCCCAGCCGAGGGAAGCCAGGGGGGAAAGATGGGATGGGGGGGCAGATTGATCCTTCCTCCCTCTTCCCTTCCCGCCCCCCAGCCCCAGCATCCTTCAGAACCATTTTACCCCGCCCCCCAGCTCAGAGGACGTAGCCCTCCGCCCAGTAATCGGGATCAGTGTCCAGCCCTTCACTGCCATCCAGCACAGGGACCCTGGCGTCCCAACCTTAGGGACCCGGACGAGCTCTAGCCCCCTCCCCCACCTGCAGGCTGCTGGGTTTCCCGGGCCCTTCAGGAGGGGAAGGGGCGGCTGCAGCGCCCCCAGCCCCCTTTTCTCAATGGGATGGGATTTTGTGAATGAGCAGTCACGTGACGCTGCTTCCTTTGTCCGCCCGCCTCCCCCGACAACAGGTGAAGCAGGGAATGAGAGCAGGGGTCCCCCCAGGGCCTAGCTGGAATGGGGCACTGGCATTTCAGGGTGGCCTACGCTCCCCACACATCCTGTGTCCCCCGGGGGGAGTGGTCCTCAGCGTTCCTCAACGGTGAGGGTCCAGGACGGAATTTTGTGAATGGGGCATCCTCGGAGAAAGTCCAGACCCCACAAATGAAGACTGGTACCCTGAATGGCTGCCGCGCAGTTTGGGGGGTCCCCACTCTCTAGTCCTCCTAGCCGGGGCCTTGGGGGCGCCTGGGTGGGCAGAAGGCGCAGCGCGGTCACGGCCGCCCCCTCATCGGGGCAGGCAGTCTGTCAGCCCCCGCCCCCTCGCCCCCCTCGGCACCTGCCTGCGAGGCTCCGGCCGGGCTCCGAGCGGCGGCGACGCGGCCTCCTCCTCCTCCTTTTCGTTCCGGCTCCCTGGCTGGCTCCGGCGGCGCTGGAGACGGGCACCGGGAGCCGGGGCGAGGGGGGAGGGAGGGGGAACCTGGAAGACGGGTGGGGGGGGAAGGGGCGGCTTGGGGGAGGGGTAAGAGCGAGGCGGGCTTACTTGCCTGCTGGGTCCTAGAGCCCGGCACTAGCTCCAGAGAGCAACCCCCCAGCCCCCATTTTCTTAAGATCCAGAGGGGATCCCCCACTTTTCCACCCATCTGCGCCATTGGTCTCTAATGCTATGAGGAGGGGACGGGGCAGGGACAGGGACTGGTCTCAAGGTTCTAAAGAGGTGGTGGTCTACGCTGTGGCTTGGGTGCCTGGCAGAGTTCGATAAGGGGTGGGGCGAGAGGGGAGCCTTCACAAGTGGGTGGGGTTGGAGGGCCTGGGTATAAGGAGGTTTGGATGCTGCAGGCGAGGACTAGTGCGTGCGTCACGAAGGGGCGGGCCCACGGTGGATGGGCCTTCTCGGCGCCCGGGGGGAAGGAGAGGGTCTTGAGAAGCGATGTTGCCGGGTCTTAAAAAGGCGGAGCTTAGAGGTAAATTGCCTTAGGGGCGGGGCAGATGAGAGGTCCAAAGGGGAGGAGCGACGCATCGGTGTTCGCGTGGGCGGGGCCTCGGGAGGGAATGAGAGGGGCGGGACATTCTAAAGGGGAGGGGCTAAGGAGAACAACCCAAAGGGGTGGAGCTTAGAACCAGAAGGCCTGGGGGCGAGGAACAAGACCTCGGAGTATTTCAAGGGGAGACCTAGGTTCGTAAGGGGCCGGGCTCCCGCGGGCTCGCAGGAGGGCGGGGCCTCGAGCTCCGGGGGCGGGGCCTACATCTCGGGGTCCGCCCTAGTTGTCTCGCCCACTTGCCTTCACCCGCACCCCCGTTCTTTTCGGTTATTTTCTGCTACGGCAGTTCCCTGCCCTGCCCCGGGCCCAGGGCGCCGCGGTCTGAACTCTGCTCGGCTGGAGGACTCGGTGAGTGGGTTCCTCTGGGGGGAGGCGGGGCCAGGGCGGAGCTTGGGGACAGGGGTGGAGCTTGACTGTGGATGCCAGCTAGTAGACCTGGAGCGGGAAGAGGTTTAGGGGTGAGGCCTGAGGATCTGCCCCTGCCTGGGAAGAGGGCGGGACCCAGGTGCTCTAGAGAGAGGCGGGGAGTCGGAGAGTTAGAGGAGAGGACTGAGGGATCAGCATGACCAGCCAAGGGGACAGGCATGGAACCTTAGTACATAATGGGGCTGGTAGTGAAGTATCTTAACAGCAGCTGTGTTGGGGACATGGGCAAGAAGGCGTGAGTGTCGAAGGTCGGGGAACAGGAGTGCGACCTAAGGACTTGGGCCTGATCGGATCTTGGAGAACAGGGGCGGGGCCGGTGCGGACGCATTAGATCAAGTACAGCCAGCCTCGTAGGGTCCCCACGGCCCTGGCAGGCTGACTGGAGTAAATTTTTCTGACTAGTCTCCGAGCTCCGTCAGAAATGGGGAACTTGCAGTCGGAGCCATCCGCGGGCGGGGGCTCCCGAAAAGTGCAGCCCTCGGACCGCGCCCCCGACTCCCGCCGGACGTCCCTGGTGGAGCCCGAGATGACCTCCCAGGCCATGCGCCTGACTCGTGGGCTGGGTGTCTGGTTCCCTGGCAGCGCCACACCCCCGGGACTCATGGTACCCCGGGAGCCCCAGGCCTCACCCTCGACCCTGCCCCTCACCTTAGAACGGCCCTCTCCAGTGATGCCCCCTCCTGAAGAGGCGGCCGCGGTCTCTGCACCACCCCCGGCCCCCGCGGGGACTCTGCTGCCCGGCCCGTCTAAATGGCAAAAGCCCGCGGGCACTCCAGTTCCCCGGATCCGCCGCCTGCTGGAGGCGAGCCATCGCGGCCAGGGCGACCCTCCGAGCCTCCGCCCGCTGAAGCCGCCGCCGCCGCCCCGGCAACTATCCGTGAAGGACACTGTCCCGAGGGCCCCATCCCAATTTCCGCCGCCCCTGGAGACTTGGAAGCCGCCACCACCATTACCTTCTGAACGGCAGCCGGCGGACCGCAGAATCACTCCTGCTCTGGCCACACCCGCCTCACCCCCGACAGAAAGCCAGGCTGGGCCCCGCAACCAGGGCCAGACGGCCGGCAGGGCTCGCGGAGGGGCGCCTCCCCATGCGGGCGAAGGCGAAATGGCCCAGCCTGCGGATTCCGAGTCCGGTCTGAGCCTGCTGTGTAAAATCACCTTCAAGTCGAGGCCCTCTTTGGCCCCTCCGGCAGCCTCGAGTTCCTTAGCAGCCAAAGCTTCGCTGGGGGGCGGCGGAGGCGGCGGCCTCTTTGCTGCCTCAGGTGCCATCTCTTACGCCGAGGTCCTGAAGCAAGGGCCCCTGCCTCCTGGAGCCGCTCGCCCCTTGGGAGAGGTTTCTCGAGGGGCACAGGAAGCCGAGGGAGGTGATGGAGACGGCGAAGGGTGCTCTGGTCCTCCCTCGGCGCCTGCGTCCCAAGCCCGGGCCCTACCGCCGCCACCCTACACCACCTTCCCAGGCTCGAAGCCCAAATTCGACTGGGTTAGCGCTCCCGACGGCCCTGAACGCCACTTCCGCTTCAACGGGGCTGGCGGAGGCATCGGGGCGCCGCGACGGCGTGCGGCCGCACTCTCTGGGCCTTGGGGCTCCCCTCCGCCACCACCAGAGCAGATACACTCAGCTCCCGGGCCCCGGAGGCCCGCACCTGCCCTGCTGGCGCCGCCTACGTTCATCTTCCCAGCACCCACCAATGGCGAGCCCATGCGCCCGGGGCCTCCAGGCCTGCAGGAGTTACCACCGCTGCCACCGCCCACACCGCCGCCCACACTGCAGCCACCAGCGCTCCAGCCAACGCCGCTGCCGGTGGCTCCCCCGCTCACCCCGGGTCTGGGCCACAAGGAGTCAGCCCTGGCTCCCACCGCAGCCCCTGCTCTGCCCCCAGCCTTAGCCGCCGACCAGGCCCCGGCCCCATCCCCGGCTCCAGCTCCCACCGTGGCTGAGCCCTCGCCGCCTGTGTCCGCGCCCGCACCCGCGGCTGCGCCCATCAAGACCCGCACGCGCAGGAACAAGGGTTCCCGTGCAGCCCGGGGCGCGACCCGTAAGGATGGCTTGCATGGAGATGGTCCTCGCGAACGAGCTACAGCTACCGTGCCTGACAGCAGTGGTGGAGGGGGTGGTGGCAGCGGGGCCTCTCAGACTGGGGCAGCTAACACCCGCGCTGCGCGCCACTGGCTGCCCTTCCAGGTGCTTAACTCCTGTCCCTGCAAGTGTTACTGCCACCACCAGCCACGCCATCGCCGCCTGCCACGCAACGTCTCTGCCTGGTGAGAGGGGAGAAGGGACAGGAGGGTGCCGAACCCCAGACTGCTGGATAGAGTCCTACTCAGCCCTTTGGCTTCCTGACCCTAGAATGACCCGTGGCCTTCATCTCTGCCACATCTCAAACCTAGCTGAGCTCCCACCCTTCAGGACCAAGAGGACCCATGATCCCATGCTGACCTTTGACGGGGAAAGGGGGACACCC
Source organism: Homo sapiens (assembly GCF_000001405.40). Taxonomy (NCBI): domain Eukaryota; kingdom Metazoa; phylum Chordata; class Mammalia; order Primates; family Hominidae; genus Homo; species Homo sapiens. Next base: position 38,385,220 of record NC_000019.10, on the reverse strand, counting down.
TGGCCCAGCCCTATGGCATCCAATCCCTAAGTGGACTCTTGGCCCTCCTGTACCTCTCTTGGAGCCATTAGAGAGGGAGGCTGGTCCCAGCTGGCCTGACCCTATACACTGCCTTGACCCTGTCCCTGAGGGTATCAAGGAGGACCACGTCCGAGGCCACTCAGGGATGGGGGTGAGGGGATGACTGTCTTCCTGGAACTAAATGGGGGTAGATGCACGCCTCCAACTTTACTGGGCACAGGGGCAGCCCTGGACTCCTGACCCCTCTAGCCTCTGAGGACTTCTCCTGACTCTGGGACTCAAGGCTTCAGCCGCCAGAGGGCACTGATGTCCCAGCCCTTGTGCTGGGGAGGCTCCTCCTGAGTCCCACATCCAGGGGGACAATGCATCCTCCAGCCACCCCCTACCCACACTGAATCACCAGATCTGGCCACTGGGGTCTGATACTGACTCCTGGGAGTGCTGAACCACTGGGAGACTGCCCTGGACCTCTTGAAGCTTAGCTGGGACACTCGCCAGCCCTCAGCTCCCTTTCCTATTAAGTGGCCACAGCCCTGCCCTAAACTGCCTTTGGGATATTCCAATATAGCCTTCAGAAGCTTCCCTATTCATATGGGGACAGGGAGGCCCTAGAAGGGCTAGAGGCCTGGTCCCATTGCTGGGCTTTGCTGACTCTACCCTCCCCCACTAGGCTGAGCACATCCACCAACCACCTGGGCGAGCCACCCTGGGTTGCCACCATCAAGCTGTCCGGCTCTCTGGTGGCCAAGCTGGAGCACTACGACTTGCAGGCCACCCATTCCAACTGAGTGTAGTCGGCTCAACACCCTCCACCTTCCCCTCCATGCCAATAAAATAACCAATCCAGATGCCAGCAGCCTGTCAATCACTCGCCAAGGCAGTGGGTAGGGTGCAGCAGGGCAGGATCGCCATTAAAGCACATCTTGGAAACAATCGTGAAGCTGGACCAGAGCAGCAGTAACTGAGGTTCCATTCACCCAGCACCCAGACTGATGGGTCCAGGGCGGGGGGGATCTGATTCCCCTTAATCCATAAGCCCCAATTCTGAGCTAACCTGGTACCAAGCTCACAGGCTCAGCACAAACCACTTTGCAAAGGAGTGATCATTCCCATTTCACAGTTGGGAAAACTAACTCTGGAAGACTTGTGAAATTTCCACATCCCACAAGGGATTCAGCCAGATTTGGACCCTGCGCCTTGAACACCTTCCCAAGAATTTCAAGGCAGGAAACCTAGGCTGGGGGGTGTGCGGGGAGGTCCTCAATCACATGCTGGCTCAGGGAGGGTGGGACCCACAAGCCCACACCAGGGCCCACACCTTTTGTTCCACAAAGAGCCCAAACTGGCAGCCTACAGATGGGTTCCATTTCACATGTCATTTGAAAAATTGTTTAATTCACTGCCAACATTTATTCTTTTTAGTAGGACACTTCACCCCCTTTGTTGAAAAAATCTGGTACCCTGGTCCAGCATTCCTATGTGTCCACAGCTGGCTAGAACAGTCCCCCTACCTGGGGCCATGCCCTCCTGCAGGCCACAGTGCTGCTGGGGCCCCACAGTGGGCGTCCATGTTTGAGACCCTGAGCAATGCCCACCAGACAGAGGCTGACCCAGTTGGAGGCTATCTCCAACTCCTGAATGCCCCAAAACCTCCAAGTTCTTCAGATATAAGAACTTGTCTCTCTGCCGTCCCAACTGGGGAGACAAGGGCCTGGAAGAGGGAATGTCAGTCCACCTTTATTGGGCGAAACCCTGCAGTGTAACTGTTTTAAATAACTCGTGCCCTGCCCCACCCAGTGCCCGGGGGGCTCAGACGATCATCTCCAGCTGCCGGGCATACTCGATGACCTGTTTGGCCAGTTCTGTGGAGGGAATGGTGGTGTCTTCCGGCTTCTGCTGCTGGCTGGCAAAACTGTAGTAGTTGTTGGGGCCCAGGACCCACCCTCGCTGCAGGAAAGGAGGGATTAGAGACGAGTAGAGTGATCACAAAGGCTCCATCCCCACCCTATGGGGCCAGCACTTGCCCACGTGTCCTATGCTCTCTTTTCTCACCAATCGTACTCTGCCCAACGACCCTTGACAAGTAACTTCACCTCTCTGTGCCTCAGTTTCTCTGTGTTGAGACTGGGACCCTAATTACACACCTCTCTGGGTCAACTGTGAGGATTTGGTGAATCAACATCTTTAAAGCACTGAGGATAGTGTTTGGCCTGAGTGACAGATCAGTTACCAGCTGTCACCATCACTAAAATTCAATTTCACCTTCTTCTTTTTTTTTTTTTTTTCCCCAGACAGAGTCTCGCTCTGTCACCCAGGCTGGAGTGCAATGGCGTGATCTCGGCTCACTGCAACCTCCACCCTCCTGGGTTCAAGCAATTCTCCTGCCTCAGCCTCCCGAGTAGCTGAGATTACAGGCACCCGCCACCACATCCGGCTAATTTTTTTTGTATTTTTTAGTAGAGATGAGGTTTCACCATGTTGACCAGGCTGGTCTCGAACTCCTGACCTCAGGCGATCCTCCCACCTCAGCCTCCCAGAGTGAGCCTAGGTGGGAGGATCCACCTTGGTGCGCGGGAGCCACTGCACCCAGCCCAATTTCACCTTCCATAGCCTGGTCCCAGCCCTCCTCCTGCAACACCAAGCGTTGCTCGTGCTCAAACGCCTGAGACCAAATGAAGCAAAGTCTTGCAGAAAAAGCTGCCACCTCTAAGAAATTTTGATAAAGACAGCAGCCAACATGCGTGCAGCGCCCACCTCCAGCTGCTGCCAGGTACTAAGCTCATCCCATGTATCTAGCCCCATTCTGTGGATAGAGAAACTGATGTCAGAGAGCTTTGGCAGCTTGCCTAGAGTCACACAGTTGAACTTAAACCTGGGCAGTCTTGTTCCAGTGTCCCTCTAAGCCACCCCACACTGTTGTTAGTGACTTCACCCCTTGGTCCCACGGCCCCTTGCCCTGTACCCCAGCCACCTTCTTGGCGTAGTCTGTCATCTTTTTGGGTGTGTTGAAGAAGAGGATCCGGGTGGCCTCAGTGAAAAGGATTTTCTCGTAGGCCTTCTCGATGCACCCAGCGATCTCATCCCTGGGGGAAGATGAGAAGCTCCTCATTACTGAGCATCAACAACCTCCCAGGACCTGTCCCCCCAGACCTGACATGTGTCAGCTCTGACCCTGGAGTTCAGCACTGATGGCAGGAATATGTGAAGGGCCCTGTTTTATTCATCAAGGCTCAGAAGGGGAGAAACTTGACCAGACTCGCAAAGCAAGCAAGGGCCACGGGTGATCCCCACTGAAATCTCTGACTCCTGGGCCCACACTCTGAATCCCACTCCCAGCCACAGGATTTCAGGTCTGAAACCCAGCTTGGGACTCACATGAGGGCATCTCTTCTCATAACACCCATCACCAGGGTGCTGCACCCCACTTCATAGATCCTGAGGGGGTTCCTTGTACCCATCAAGAGGCACCACGAACAACACCGAAGTAGAAATAGAGCAAGGCATGAAGTCACTGTAGTGAGGGAGGGGGTAAGCTCTGGGGAAAAGCCAGTGATGGGGAGGAGTGCCTCCAATATCGCTTAGGCCATGCGGTAGGTAGTGGGTACTGGCTACCACTCCTCACTCGAATGCCTCTGGGCTTGCCTTTGCACCTAAGGCATGGAAACTCATTCTGATTTGGTGCTCTGCCCGAGTGCATCAGCTCAGCCACCACTTCGACACCCTTTTACTCCTCAAGGGATTTGTATGTCACATCCATCTGCCCGTGGGATGTCACTTGTGCACACGGCAACCCAAGGGGCTGCTGGGATTTGGTCAACCCATTCTAGAGAAGGAGAAACTGAGGGTTCCACAGTTTTGGTGGCCGGAGGTGAAGTCTCATGACTCACTGGATGGGTATCTAGGACGGAAGATGGGCTAAGACAGGCCGCACAATCCCTGCCTGCTGAACCAATTCCATGCTCAGGTTTGACACACGTGGCCACACATGTCAACAGCCAAGGGTGGTGAGATGAGAGCCGTTATCCACAATCCCATGACCAGGCCCAATTCACTGAAAAGGAGAGCTGAGGTGCTAGGAGGATAAGAAACACACCTAGCCTACCCAGACAACCAATGGCTGGAATGAGATTCAGACTCGGAGCTGTCCGACTCAAGCCCAAGTTCTTTCCAAACTCCACAGGGCCCGGCCCCGCTACGCACCTGATAGTGTCGAGCAGGATGTCAATGAAGAAGGTGTAGCTCTCGGCGGGGATGTTACCCTTGGCCAGGAACACTTTGTTGTAGCTGCCCTCCATCAGGTACTGCAGAAGCCGGGAAGGGGGAAGAAGAGAGAATGAAGAGGAGGCTGCAAAGGGGCCTACCTGTGTGGGCCTCATCACACTCCTAGTGCCCCTGTAATCCCTTTGCCACACAGCCACACCCCTGCCCTGGGTACCCCCTCTTCCAGAAAGCCCTTGCTGGTTTATGCGCACACACACACACACACACACACTCTCTCTCTCTCTCTCTCACCCCCTCTTCCTCCCTCCCTCCCTCCCCCCAAGCCTGCTCTGGGCTGGCATCTCATTATCTCATCTACTGTCCAATTATCCATCTATTTTCCAGGAGGGAGACAGCGCTGGCTCCACCACAGGCTCATCCCTGTACACCTTTGCCCGAACTGTGCTGCCCGCCCTAACTGCCCTCTCTCCCATCCTCTCCCCACTGACCAAATCCTCCCATAAGATGTCAGCTCCAGGAACAACTTCCTAACCTTAGGTCCTAAGGCTTTGCCCTGGCCCTGCTCACTTTGTTCCAAAAACACTGTCTTCTTGGCTGTCCTTCGAACACAGCAGACACAGTACTGCCTCAGGACATTTGGACTGGCTGGTTCCTCTGCCCGGCTGTCCACAGGGTTCAGTCCCTTACCCTTTTCTTTTCTTTTTTGAGCCTGTTGCCCAGGCTGGAGTGCAATGGCACAATCTTGGCTCACTGCAACCTCCACCTCCTGGGTTCAAGTGATTCTCCTGCCTCAGCCTCCCGAGTAGCTGGGATTACAGGCACCCACCATCCGCCTGGCTAGTTTTTGTATTTTTATAGAGACGGGGTTTCACCATGTTGGCCAGGCTGGTTTCGAACTCCTGAACTCAGGTGATCCACCCGCCTCGGCCTCCCAATGTGCTGGGATTACAGGCGTGAGCCACTGTGCACGGCCACCCTTTTCTTTAAAAAATATGTTTTTATTCATTTATTTTCTAAATAGAGACAGAATCTCACTGTCACCCAGGCTAGAATACAGTGGTGTGATCATAGCACACTGCAGCCTTGAACTCCTGGGCTCAAGCAGTCCTCCTGCCTCAGCCTCCCAAAGTGCTGAGATTACAGGCATAAGCCAGTTCCTCACCCTTTTCAAGTCTTTCTCCAATTTCACCTTTTAGGTGAGGCCTTCTGACTCCCCGAGATAAATATCACCCATCCCTGCCTCTCCACCCTCCTTCCTGCTTTTTCTCCACAGCACTCAGCATCTGACAGACTGCGCAGGCCACTCACTCTTCGGGCTTACTATCTGCTTCCACACCCCAGTGTCATCACCACAAGATCATGAATTTCACCTGCTTGGCTCACTGCACAGTCTGACAACCTACCACAGTGCCAGGCACACAGCTGGGACTCAGTATTTGTTGGACAAACAAGAGGATGGGTCCGTGGGTGGAAAGATGGGTGAACCCTGGCCACTCCTTCAGGAAAGCCCTCCTAAGACCACCCCTGCACCACCCACTTTGGCCAGGTCCTCCCCTGCCCCTTGCCATCTCACTTGCTCCAGGGACACTGGGTGCTTGATGTAGACATTGGTCTGTATGTCCTTGGCAGGCAGCCGCTCCAACTCCGTGTGGAACTCAGCCACCCGGTTCTGGGACAGCAGGAAGAGGAGGTTGAGGCCCAAGAGCTGGTGCATATAGGCTGACTCGGGGAGCTGCTCCCTGTGGACGTGGGATGGGGAAGCAGGTTAAGGAGGATTTAAGGGCCTAGCGAGCCCTCTACCCCAGGCTCCAGGAATCCTCACAACGCCCCATGCATCTTCCTGAAGAGGTATCAGGTCCTGGGTTTTCATATGAGGAAACTGTGTCCCAAAGATGCATGAATAAGTCATTTACAAGAGTCATATTGAGTCATACAAGAGCGAGTGACCTCACTTCAGTGAAATGACAACCTCGGTTTCCCAAAGTGTAAACTGGGTATCACCATAGTATCCTTTTATTTATTTTTTGAGAAGGAGTCTCTCTCTGTTGCCCAGGCTGGAGTGCAATGGTGCGTTCTTGGCTCACTGCAACCTCCGCTTGCCGGGTTCAAGCGATTCTCCTGATTTAGCCTCCCAAGTAGCTGGGACTACAGGCACATGCCACCATGCCCGGCTAATTTTTTGTACTTTTAGTAGAGACGGGGTTTCACTATGCTGGCCAGGCTGGTCTCGAACTCCTGATCTCGTGATCCACCCACCTCGGCCTCCCAAAGTGCTTGGATTACAGGTATGAGCCACTGCGCCCAGCCCTTTTTTTTTTTTTCAATTCCGAGACAAGGTCTTGCTCTGTCACCCAGGCTCACTGCAGCCTCAACTTCCCACGCTCAAGCCATCCTCCCACCTCAGACTCCAAAGTAGCTGGGACTACAAGTGCACACCACCATGCCCAGCTAATTTTTTTTTTTTTTTTTTTGAGACGGAGTCTTGCTCTGTCGCCCAGGCTGGAGTGCAGTGGCCCGATCTTGGCTCACTGCAGGCTCTGCCTCCTCGGTTCATGCCATTCTCCTGCCTCAGCCTCCCGAGTAGCTGGGACTACAGGCGCCCACCACCACACCTGGCTAATTTTTGTATTTTTCTTTTAGAGACAGGGTTTCACCGTGTTAGCCAGGATGGTCTCAACCTCCTAAGCTCATGATCCGCCCACCTTGGCCTCCCAAAGTGCTGGGATTACAGGTGTAAGCCACCATGCCCAGCCTGCCCAGCTAATTTTTCAATATTTTTTGTAGAGACAGGATTTCGCCATGTTGGCCAGGCAGGTCTGGAAATCTTGGGCTCAAGTGATCCTCCTGTCTCAGCCTCCCAAAGTGCTGGGATTTCAGGCATGTGCCATCATGCCCGGCCTCACAGTATCCATTTCGTAGAGATGGGTTGAATGAACAAGGGTTAAGTGAATTAAATGATTCAACCCAGGTAAGGTGATTAGAACAATACCTGGCCCAAATAAACACAAAGTGTTAGCTATAACTATATTAAGAGTTACTGGCCGGGCGCGGTGGCTCACGCCTATAATCCAAGCACTTTGGGAGGCCGAGGCGGGTGGATCACCTGAGGTCAGGAGTTCAAGACCAGCCTGGCCAACCTGGCAAAACCCCATCTCTACTAAAAATACAAAAATTAGCTGGGCGTGGTCGTGGGCACCTGTAATACCAGCTACTCAGGAGGCTGAGGGAGGCTGAGGCAGGAGAATCACTTGAACCTGGGAGGCGGAGGTTGCAGTGCACCGAGATCCAGCCGTTGCACTCTAGCCTGGGTGGACTCTAGCAGGGCGTGGTGGCGCATGCCTGTAATCCCAGCTACTTGGGAGACTGAGGCAGGAGAATAGCTTGAACCCGGGAGGCAGAGGTTGTGGTGAGCCGAGATTGCACCATTGCACTCCAGCCTGGGCAACAAGAGTGAAACTCCGTCTCAAAAAAAAAAAAAGTTATTGGAGTCAGATGCAATGACTCAACACCTGTAATCCCAACACTCTGGGAGCCCAAGGCAGGAGGATCACTTGTGGCCAGGAGTTCGAGACCAGCCTGGGCAACAAAGCGAGACCCCCATCTCTACAAAAAATTAAAATAAAAGAGCCAGGAGTGGTGGTGTGCACCTGTAGCCCTAGCTACTTGAGAGGCTAAGGTAGGAGTACCGCTTGAGCCCAGGAGGTCAAGGCTGTGGTGAGCCATGACTGCACCACTGCACTCCAGCCTGGGCAACACAGCAAGACCCTGTCTCCAAAAATAAATAAATAAAAGAATCACCACTCCCTACTTTAACAGGGAAACTGAGAGAGGTAAAGTCATTTGCCCAAGACCTCATAATCAGGAAGCGGCTGGATGTTTCAAAGCCAGATTTGTCTGATGTCAAATTCCCAATCATTAATCTGTGCAGGTATCATTCAGTTTTATATTCAACACATATCCAGTGAGTCCCTGTTCTGGGCCTGGCCCTGTGGTAGGCAGTGCTAGGGACATAGCAGTAACTGAGACAGTTCCAAGCTCTGCCTTTAGAAAGCTCACAGTCCAGTGAGAGAAAGGGCTGGGATGAGCAGGCACAGGCAGAGGGGTGTGAGCTGGAACTGCATTGGAAGCCACAGGAAAGAACTTGGTCTTGTGCCTGAGGACCATGAAGAGCCACGGCAGGTTCTGAGCGGGGTATGGACAGTGTCAAATTTTAGTGTCACATGATCCTACTGGCTGCCACAGGGGTTTGAGTCAGAGGGGCAAGGCTGGGGCCAGGACACGTGAAAGGTGATGGCAGCCCCACTGGGCAGAGGGGGTGCAATGTGGGAATGGGTAGGGGGAGACTGACTAGTCAAGCCAAGTCTCAGGACCTCCAAGCCAAGCCCTGACCCTGCACCACTGAGGAGAGAACTAAGCCAGGAGGAGTTCCCAGATGAAGGAAGAGGACCCAAGCAGCCAGAGCTCCAGAAATAAAGGAGCTTCCATGCAACCACCCCCCCAGTTGGGGGCAGGGCCCATTCTCACTTGTAATCAAAGTAGTAGCATTTGAGCTGGGCCATGTAGCGCTCGAAGGAGGGGATGTCCTTGCGTAGGATGCTCCATTGGGCCCCGATCTCCAGTATGTCACCTGTGGGTGACAGAGTGAGCTCTCAGGAGGTGACTGAGGTCTCTTCCCCAACCACCAGTGCTACCATTCCTGCCATGACCCCCAGATTATCACCCCCAACCAACCCCAGTGACACTCACGGGCCAGAATTAGCTGCTGTTTGGTCAGCTTGGTCCCTGTGGTTGGCAAGAAGTTGAGCTCCAGAAGAACTAGCTGATGGGGAGGGGAGGGAGGGAAGAAAGAAAAGAAGGGAATTCAAATACAGATGACTTACCTGCTCTACGCTCTGGTCTTCCCACTTGGAAAATGGAGCTAACCATCATCCAGACTCATGAGGAATGCTTTCTCATAAAGCACTCAGAACAGGGCCTGAGCACGCAACACATGCCCATTTAAGATTACATCACATTACAATTATTAATAGCCCCACTGGGGAAACAAGGAGGGACACTCAGTGCCTGACCCAGTGGAATCACGCGGCGGTGGGGACAGGAGTACATTCCATTCTTGGCCCATCTTCCCCACAATCTATTGGGGAAGGGGTAGCTGGGCTATCCCCAAAATCTATATCTGGGAGGGGGAGGTCCAAATCTCCCCCCACAGTTCAGCCCATACATCTTTCCTTAGCAGGCTCAGCAGCTTGTTCCAAGCCACTGGATTTACACTCCCTCCCAACAGATGTTTGGTCTGAAGCACTCTGGGCCCCGTATTCTTGTTCTCTACTTGTAAGAATATTTCTTCTAGGTTCAGTCCTGCCTTCACAACTAGGCTGCCCCCTCTCCCAACAGATGCGAGCCTAAGCCCCAGATCTCTCAGATCCTAACCCAGCCTGGTCTTAACCACACACCCTCTACACAGCCCACCTTTTCAGCCTCATTCTTTTATCACTCCGGGCAGTCCTCACTTCCCACTTGGTCTTGCCTGGAATCCACCATCAGGAAAAGCCCGAATCCCAATCCTGCCACTCCGACCAGTTAAGCCTCCACGCACCAAAAATCTAACCCCTCACTCAGTTCTGCCATAAGTCTTCCAATCATTCCCCCACCACCCCCGCGTGGGTCCATTCCAGTCATCTCTCACTTAAAAAAAAAATGTAGAGACAGAGTCTCGCTATGTTGCTCAGGCTGATCTTGAACTCCTGGGCTCAAGCGACGCTCCCCCGCCTCGGCCTCCCAAAGCGCTGCGATTACAGGCGTGACCATCAACGCTCCCTGTCCCTCTCTCGCTTCTTGACGCCCTCCGAGCCCCCACTTTGGCTGTTCCAAATCTTTCACCCCATCGGATCCCCCAGCCCGCCTCAGTCTCGCTGGCACCGAGGTGGCTTCCGCGGCCCGGGACTTGGTTGGGTCCAGACACCTCGTAGCGCCTCCCACGCCCGCAACACTCGGTTTCCTGGGCCTGCCGACTTTACCTTGAGTCGACCCAGCTCTTCCCCGCACTTGCTAAGATTGGGGCTTTTACGGTTCCACTCGCCCTTGAGTTGCTCGTACATGCCGGTCGCGGCCTGCAGAACAGCGCCCGAGGTTGCCGCGGGCCCGGAGCTCGAGAAGCCTGCCGCCCCGTTCACCGCCGCGGCCGCCATCTTGCGTGATGCGGCAAGCAGACCGCCTGATTTACGGCAGCGCCGCCTACAAACGCTTGCCCGGCGGAAGTGGGGCCGAGAGGTGGAGCCCAAGGCCCGGGGCGGGGCTACAACCTGCCTCAGCCCGCCCCGGGTAGCCCGCCGTCGCTCTCGAGGTGGCGCCCTCGGAGCCCTGCCCTTAATGAACATGTCAGTTGGAGCTCCGCCTCTGTCGTCACTCAAGATGGTGACCGGAAGTTGGCTTTTGCCCTAACTGAAAATGACAGCTGTCTCAACACCACCCCCCCTACCCACCTCACGGTTCCAATAATGAACATGGCTGCCCTGGCTTCAGTCTGAGTGCTCGGGACGCTACGTAGCTGTCCTGGAGGTTCCGCCTTCGGGGCAGCGTCTCCAAGCCAAAAGGTAGCGGGTGTCGTGCCATTTGGAGAGCTGTGTTATTCTCATTTTATAGACAGACTGAGAGGCTGGGTAACCTTCCAAAGGACTAACAGCTAGGATGTGTACCTGGGGCTCCCTCTCCAGTCTTTTTCAATGCATCCTTCCACATTTTTTTCCCAAGCTTATATGAACTAACTAGTTACAAAACTCATCCAGCTCTATGGCTTTCAATGTCATGTGTAAGTGGAGGATTCACAATTTTTTTTTTTTGAGACGGAGTTTAGCTCTTGTTGTCCAGGCTGGAGTGCAATGGAGCAATCTTGGCTCACTGCATCCTCCGCCTCCTGGGTACAAGTGATTCTTCTGCCCCAGCTTCCCAAGTAGCTGGGATTACAAGCATGTGCCACCACGCCTGGCTAATTTTCGTATTTTTAGTAGAGACGTAATTTTAGTATTTTTAGTAGATGTTGGTCAGGCTGGTCTCCAACTCCTGAACTCAGGCGATTCCCTGGGCCCTGGCCTCCCGAAATGCTGGGATTACAGGCATGAGCCACCTTGCCTGGCCAGTATTCACAACTTCTTATACCAACTTCTTCCTCCACTGATTGATATTACATCTGCACATTCAACATCGCTTTTTCTCTCTTTTTAAAAAAAATTAAATTTTTTATAGAGACAGAGTCTCATTATACTGCCCAGGCTGGTCTCGAACTCCTGAGCTCAAGCGATATTCCTGCCTTGACCTCGCAAAGTGTTGGGATTAGAGGTGTGAGCCACTGCGCCTGGGCAGCACGTTTTTCTCAAACCCGACTTTCACTCTCCGTCTCCACCATTTAGAATGTCATCTCCATGAAGGCAGGACGATTTCCTTCACTACTGAATTCCCAGTATCTCAGTGCTTGGCAAATATTAGTAGACAGTCAATAAATATTTGTTGGCCAGGCATGGTGGCTCATGCCTGTAATCCCAGCACTTTGGGAAGCCGAGGCAGATAGATCACTTGAGGTCAGGAGTTCGAGACCAACCTGGCCAACATGGCGAAACCCCATCTGTACTGCAAATACCAAAAAAAAAAAACAAAAAAACCAGCTGTGCGTGGTGGCACACACCTGTAATCCCAGATACTCAGGAGCCCGAGGCAGGAGAATCGCTTAAACCCAGGAGGTCAGCTTGTAGTGAGCTGAGATTGTGCCGCTGCACTCCAGCCTGGGTGACAGAGTGAGACTCTGTCTCAGAGAAAATAAATAAATAAATGTAAAAATACCAAAAATTTGCCGGGCGTGGTGGTGCACATCTGTAGTACAGCTACTTGGGAGGCTGAGGCAGGAGAAGCACTTGAACCCGGGAGGCAGAGGTTGCAGTGAACTGAGATCGCCATTGCACTCCTGCCTGGGTGACAGAGCGAGACTGTGCTCAAAAAAAAAAAAAGAAAAAAGAAAAAAAGAAAAAGAAAGAAATTATATATGTGTTGAATTAATGAGTAAATTAATATGTGAAAGAAGTTGTGGTGGTAAAAAATGTTTTAAACAAAAATGATGGCCGGGTGTGGTGGCTCAAGTCTGTAATCTCAGCACTTTGGGAGGCTGAAGTGGATGGATCACCTGAGGTCAGGAGTTTGAGACCAGCCTAGCCAACATGGTGAAACTCCGTCTCTACTATACAAAAAATTATCTATCCAGGTATGGTGGCGGGTGCCTGCAATCCCAGTTACTCACTCGGGAGGCTGAGGCAGGAGAATCACTTGAACTTGGGAGGTGGAGGTTGCAGTGAGCCAAGATCGCACCATTGCACTCCAGCCTAGGCAACGAGCAAAACTCCATCTCAAAAAAAAAAAGAAAAAGACACAAATAAACAAAATACCACGTTGATATGGCCAGGCCAGGTGGCTCATGCCTGTAATCCCAGCACTTCGGGAGGCTGAGGCGGGCAGATCACGAGGTCAGGAGATGGAGACCAGTCTGGCTAACACAGTGAAACCCCGTCTCTACTAAAAATACAAAAAATTAGCCGGGCATAGTGGCATGCGTCTGTAGTCCCAGCTACTCAGGAGGCTGAGGCAGGAGAATCGCTCGAACCCAGGAGGCGGAGGTTGCAGTGAGCCGAGATCACACCACTGCACTCCAGCCTGGGTAACAGAGCGAGACTCCATCTCAAAAAACATAAATAGTTTCAAGTATGAGGGGAAATCCAGTCTCTGTCACTCTATCTTGGCTGGAAGTGCAGATGGTGATATTTAAATAACATGTTGACTTGGCTGATACAGGATTATGATGTGTTCACCTGGACCATGAGGTGACTCGGTAGAATCTTGGTGGTGGAAACAACCTTAGCCAGCAGCCCTTACACACATGAGTGTTGCCAACTCTTGTTATTGTCAAATTTCATCAGGTTTTTGTGCTACCAACCATGCCTAGTCAATGCCAACCCCAATGTATTCCTCCAACCCAACACTCTGGGTGAGCACCAACTAGGTGCAATCTCATACCTTTCCTCATTCGCTCCTTCATTCATTCATCTATTAATGCTGACCAAATGCCTACCATGCAACAGGGTATTTTTTTACTCATTTATTTCCTCCTGCCTTCATTCCTCCATCTTGTCAATTCATTGGTCACTACGCATCCATCCAGATTATGGACTGTATAACTAGCCTCAGATGGTGAGGGGAGTTGTCCTGAGGTCAGAGACTGCACTCTGAGGAGGACAGAGAAGAAAAAACTACAGAGAAATGAAGGCTGAATCCTGTGGACCTTGGGACTTTGGATCAAACTGTACCTGAAGCCTGTAAATTACCATTTTCATGTAGACCATTTGAGGGAAATATTTGCTACTTGCAACTAAAATAAGAATCCTGACGTCTCCAGGGTCCCCTCCTTAAGACATTAGATAGGTGTTGACATTCAGAATATTTAACACTGAACAATCAGAACAGATGGTCGGCCATAGCAATGGGCCTGGATTGTGGAGGATCCTGCTGGACCACAGGGAGGTCTGGGGTACACTGGGGAGAGGCTCAGCCAACAGGCACACAGAGAAGCCACTATTTAACAGGTGGCCTAGAAGGTTTTTGATATTTTATTTATTGTTTTGTTTTGTTGAGTCGGAGTCTTGGTCTGTTGCCCAGACTGGAGTGCAGTGGCGCAATCTTGGCTCACGGCAACTTCTGCCTCCCAGGTTCAAGGGATTATCCTGTCTCAGCTTCCCAAGTAGCTGGAATTACAGGTACGCACCACCATGCCCAGCTAATTTTTTGTATTTGTAGTAGAGACAGGGTTACGAGTTTTCACCATGTGGGCCAGGGTGGTCTCAAACTCCTGACCTTAAGTGATCTGCCTCCTTCGATCTCCCGAAGTGCTGGGATTACCGGCATGAACCACCATGCCCAGCCAGGTTTATGATATTTTAATGTGCAGCTATGCTGGTACAAACCTTCTGAACTCGAGCTTTTAAGAGAGCCCACTGCTGGTCCTGAAAAAAGGCTTTATTTGAGTCTGAACGAGAAGTAAACATCAAGCAAAACAGAAAGAGAGGCCTGGGCTGGGTGACAGGTTGCATCTTCAAGATGGGCCTCATAAGAGAGGCGTGACAGTAACTGGGGGCTGGGGCAGGTGGGACACTCAGGTCATCAACTGTCTCTCCACGGCTTCCTTGGGTTCAGCCCTGTCCTCTGTCATCCTGGAGCTGAACATGGAGCCCATCCTGGAATGTCTCAGAGACGGCATGCTCGAGATTCCGGAAATGGAGGCGTAGGTGTAGTAGGATTCTGAGGCAATGAGGTTGTTTATCTTCCACCGGATCATCGTGCAGCCCTTCACCACGAGGGGCCACAGGAGGCAGAAGGCGATGTAGAAGATCACCAGGCCCACAAACACGCTAGCTGACACCTGCAGGGAGCAAAGAATGAGTAAGGAGTTGGCACATGATAAGGTACACAGTCCACAATCTGCATCCACAGTGACAGGGAAATTGACAGATGGAGGCATGACAGCAGGAGGAAATGAATGAGTAGACAGCCTGTGGCATGGCAGGCGTTCAGTCAGCATGGCTAGATGAGTGAATAAAGGAATGAATGAGCGAAGGTATAACAAGCATAGGTATGGAGGCGTGGGCCCCTGCCCACCCAGTAGGGCAGCTCCCGGACAGCCACTCACCATGATGATGAAAAGGGCCCGCTTGGGACTGAGTGGCAGCCCGTGGATGTGCAGCAGGAAGGTGAGCTGGTAGTTGCAGTAGGTGCTCGTGTCCACTCCTCTGCAGGGGTTGGGAGGGGATCCAGGATTAGAGGAGAAGCCAGGCATTCCATGGGCAGCCCCTGACCCGCACCTGGGCCACTTGCCTGGCTCACCTATTGCTCACCAACACCTTGAAGAAGAATTCAGGGGCAAAGATGCCTTGGGGAACATTGTCATAGCATGGGGCATTCTCCAGACAGAGCCACCTGCAAGCCAAAGATCAGGCAGTTGTGCTACCAACCATGCCTAGTCTGTGCCAACTCCCAATTTCTTCCTCCACCCAATGTTTTCGGTGAGGACCAAATGGGTGCAATCTCATGCCTTCCCTCATTCATTCCTTCATTCACTCATTCATTCATGCTGACTGAACGCCTACTGTGCCACAGGTTGTCTACTCATTCATTTCCTCCTGCCTTCACACCTCCATCTGTCAATTCCTCTGTCACTGTGCATCCATCCAGATTACAGGCTGTGTATCTATCATATGCCAAATCCTTATTCATTCTTTGCTGCTTGCATTCCTTTATCCCATAAATATAGCTTGAGCACTTACTAGGTACAAAGTCACATCTTTCATTTATTCCCTTCTTTATTCATTATCCAATAAATGCAGGTTAGGCCAGGCATAGTGGTTCACACCTATAATACCAGCACTTTGGGAGGCCGAGGCAGGTGGATCACTTGAGGTCAGGAGTTCAAGACCAGACTGACCAATATGGTGAAACCCCGTCTCTACAAAAAATACAAAAATTAGCGGGGCATGGTGGCATGCACCTGTAATCCCAGCTACACAGGAGGCTGAGTTGGGAGAATTACTTGAACCCAAGAGGCAGAGGTTGCAGTGAGCTGAGATTGTACTACTGCACTCCAGCCTGGGTGACGGAGCAAGACTCTGTCTCAAAAAAATAAATAAAAATAAAAAATAAAGCAGGTTAAATTCTGACTAGGTGCAAGTTGTTCGTTCATTCACTGCCTTCATTTGCTCATGGCTTCATTTTTTTCCTTTCATTGAATGAAACTTACTGAGCCCCTATATATGAATTTGTTTCTCCATTGTTTTATTCATTCATTAATACCCCCATTCAGATATCAATAAATGCCTGCCACGAATTGATTTATTCATTTGTTCATTCTTTCATTCAATACATGCTATGTTAACCAGCCTGGCCAACATGGTGAAACCCCGTCTCTACTAGAAAAAAAAATACAAAAATTAACCGGGCATGGTGGCATGTGCCTGTAATCCCAGTACTTTGGGAGGCTGAGGCAGGCGGATCACCTGAGGTCAGGAGTTCAAGATCAGCCTGACCAACGTGGTGAAACCCCATCCCTACTAAAAATACAAAAATTAGCCAGGCATGGTGGCGGGTGCCTGTAATCCCAGCTACTTGGGAGGCTGAGGCAGGAGAATTGCTTGAACCCAGGAGGCAGAGGCTGCAGTGAGCTGAGATTGTGCCACTGCACTCCAGCCTGGTGGGCCACAGAGGGAGCCTGTCTCAAAAAATAAACAGGAGGCTGAGACAGGAGAATCGCTTGAACCTGGAAGGTGGAGGTTGCAGTGAGCTGAGATCTTGCCACTGCATTCCAGCCTGGGCAACAAAGAGCAAAACTCCATCTCAAAAATAAAAACAAATTTATGAGTCTATTCAGGACCCAGTTCTGGAGGAGAGACAGACCCCACACCAGACAGTGACTGCCCAGAGCTGTCCACTCTGGGATGGGGACGCACAGGTAGGGGGCTCAGGGCCAGGATGGGAGAGCCCCAAGAGGCCATAGGAGCCATGAAGGGACAATTGTCCCATCTTGAAACAGAAAAGTCCTCCTGGCTGAAGGGGCATCTGCCTAAGGCCTGAAAAGAGTCGGAGGGAGCAGCATTCCAGGCAGAGACTTCAGCTTGTGCAAAGTTCAGCCCCATTTAAGTAACACAAAGGCAGTCAGTGTGACTTGGGGATCAAGAGGCCTCCTAGGGGCAGAAAGGATAGGTGGGCCCAATGGACTACCGACAGATGGGGGCCAAGAGGGGCCAGGCTACGCACTCACTCGATGCCTGGGCTCTCGTGGGACATGATGTGAAAGGCTGAGTCTTTGGTGGTCCTTGTGGTCCTCGTGGTCCAGATAAGGCTGTTGGTCCTGTGCAGGCCCAGGTCATCTCAGCCAGGGGTTGGGGGGCGGTGTAGGGGAGGTATGACCTCAGTGGTCAGTGTGGAGGGAGGCCACAGGTGGGTGCAGGGGACATGGTGTTAGGGGCGGGCAGGAGTTTGCCTGTGAGATCCTAAGAGCCCCACTGTGGGCAGGGCCTGAGACGCAGAGGTGGGGGCTTGCGAGGTGGGCTTGGCTTGGAAGTGGGAAAGGCCTCCAGGGGAAGCAAGGTGGATTACACGTGGGACCCCACGGGGATTACTTGTCCAGGGGGCTGTTGAAGCGGTAGATTTCGTCCTCACTGTAGTCCTTGAGGCTGTCCAGTGTGGGCCCGCCACCCACCACCAGCAGAACATAGCTACCAGGGACAGAAGTGCACACAGACTGGCCTCCGGGTCTCGAGTCCTGCACCCATCTCCTTCCACTCCCTCCACCTGCCCTAGCTGCAAGCTGGCCACGCCTTTACCTGCCCTGGAAACTGCCGGAGTCTCCTGTCACCAAATCTTGAATCAAGAAGAAGGGGTAGAAAACTATGGGGTTGGAGGGGATTGAGACCAGAAGAAGAAATTAGCTTGGCCCGAGAAGCTGAGGACCGAGACGGGGGAAAGTGAGATGCCGCAGGAAAAAGGGTGGGTAGTCTGCGGGGAGAGGAATGGGGAGGGAGAGCACAAAGTAGTGGGGGCAAGAGGGCAGTGAACTGTGCAGGGGAAGGGACTGGACACACACTGTCCCGGAAGAGAAAGCAGGGCATCTCCGGGTTCACGTTAACGCAGTCAAAGTAGTGTTTGTTCTTCAGGCGGCTGTATTCCAGCGTGTAGGTGATGTCGAAGGCCAGGCGCTTGCCTGGGGGGCAGCCAATGAACACTGGCACCATCAGGTTGCCCTCGGTGGGAGGAAAAAAGGCTCACAGGGGTGGCCAGGGTCTCCTCAGGCCCCTGGAGGGGTAAGGGGCAGGAAGGACAGTCCCCCTCCCACAAACACCACCACCAGCTGCCTGGCTCTCCCTCACCCCCAAGGGCAATATGGTCATTAATATCATTAACACGGCCTGGTGCAGTGGCTCATGCCTGTAATCCCAGAACTTCGGGAGGCCGAGGCGGGCTGATCACTTGAGTCCAGGAGTTCGAGACTAGCCTGGCCAGCACAGTAAAACCCTGTCTCTACTAAAAATACAAAAAATTAGCTGGGTGTGTGGTGGTGCATGCCTGTAATCCCAGCTACTCGGGAGGCAGAGGCTGGAGAATCGCTTGAACCAGGGAGGTAGAGGCCAAGACTGCACCACTGCACTCCAGCCTGGGTGACAGAGCAGGACTCTGTCTCAAAAAAAAAAAAAAAAAGACCGAGAGCCTGCCTGTTCTCTCCCCTAAACCTCCAACTCCTTTGCCCCCACCCTGTTTTGTCCAACCTTGTCTCTTCCAGAGTCTCCCTGCTTCCAGTCCCCTCATTGATGTCCCCCCACCCCATGCAGCCAGATGGGCCCTGGGGACACCCGAGTCCCTCCTCTGCTTAGAGCCCTCCCGAGGAGCCAGCTCACATACCATGGCCCATAAGGGCTCCGCTTACTCTGCCCCATCACTGCTCCGAGCTCATCCCACCACGTTCCCCCTTGCCCACCCTGATGCAATCACACTTCCTCCTTGTTTATTCAGTCTAGCACATGAAATCTCATGTACTCTAAGGAGGTGGGGGCTGTTACAACCCCTTTTGACTGCCCAAGGTCATTCTAAGCCAGGAGGGAGGAACACCAGGATCTGCATGCCAGGGAGTGGGTAGGGAAATGGGTGAGAACAAGAACTCTGGGGCACGCCCCTCCTCTACCACTTATTAGCTCCCTGGGTTACTCTGCACCTCTCTGAGCCTCAGTGTCTGCCCCGGGCAAAGGCGATATCACGTGTATAAGCAAGTGAAGCACCAAGCACCCAAAGAACTGAATGAGGAATGTGTGAGTGGGCAGAAGAAGAGAGAGATGTGAAAGCAGGGCCAGGCCAGCCCTTATGCCACCTTTGTGCCAATTGCAAAAAGTGGCCCTAGGTCGGGCACGGTGGCTCACACCTGTAATCCCAGCACTTTGGGAGGCCAAGGCCGGCAGATCACCTGAGGTTAGGAGTTCAAGACCAGCCTGGCCAACATGGTGAAACTCCGTCTCTATTTAAAATATAAAAAATTAGCTAGGCATGGTGGTATGCAACTGTAATCCCAGCTACTTGGGAGGCTGAGGCAGGAGAATCGCTTGAACCCGGGAGGTGGAGGTTGCAGTGAGCCGAGATTGCACCATTGCACTCCAGCCTGGGGGACAAGAGTGAGACATCGTTAAAAAAAAAACAAAAAACAAAAAAAAAACGGCCCTGTTGCTCACTCTATTCTCCCTCTGAAGAAAAGTTATCAGAGGGAACATACCAGTTTGTGTGCAACCTGCACAACTGGGAAGGTGGCCCTTTCTGAAAACGTGAATGAATGAAAGGAGTTAGGCCGGGCATGGTGGCTCACACCTGGAATCCCAGCACTTTGGGAGGCTGAGGCGGGTGGATCATTTGAGTTTAGGAGTTTGTGACCATCCTGGCCAACATGGAAAAACTCTGTCTCCACTAAAAATACAAAAAATTAGCCAGCCGTGGTGGCGGGCGCCTATAATCCCAGCTACTTGGGAGGCTGAGGCAGGAGAATCACTTGAGCCAAGGAGGCAAAGTGAGCCAAGACCGCGCCGCCGCACTCCAGCCTGGGCAACAAGAGTGAAACTCCGTCTTAAAGAAAAAAGAATGAAAGGAGTTAGTGGGTGGTAGTGGGTGGGTGGATGAATGTTGAGAAAGAATGAGAAGAAAGGAAATTATGAATGCATTAGTGGGATTCTCAGGGGGATTAGCCCTGTTGAGACCCGACCCCAACCTTCCCCTCCCAGGGCCCAGTATCCCAAGCTCCAATACTTGCATATGGGGCCCCAGGTGTGTTTCCTGGAAGCAGAGCCCGGATGAACCCACCACCTGTGGGTAGGAGCAGGTGAAGATGGTGATCCCCGCCGGCCCAGGCTTTCCCACCATCCTGCACCCTCCCCTCCAGGCTTGGACCTCACATTGACCGTCATGGAAGTCTCCATAAGGTGATGTCCACTAATGCCTTGGTCATAGCAAAGCTTTTTATCCTTGAGCGTAATCTGGGGTTGAAGGAGGGGAGAGGCAGAAATGAAGGGGTGAACAGGTCTCCCCAAAGTCCAACAAACAGTTCAAATAACCCATAGCTGGGGCGAGGTGGTGGCTGGTAGGAAAACGGAAGGCTGCCATTTTCTACTCAGGAATAGGCTAACGGGGTGTTGGCCGGGCTGGTCTCCAGCTCCTAACCGCGAGTGATCCGCCAGCCTCGGCCTCCCGAGGTGCCGGGATTGCAGACGGAGTCTGGTTCACTCAGTGCTCAATGGTGTCCAGGCTGGAGTGCAGTGGCGTGATCTCGGCTTGCTACAACCTCCGCCTCCCAGCCGCCTGCCTTGGCCTCCCAAAGTGCCAAGAGTGCAGCCTCTGCCCGGCCGCCACCCCGTCTGGGAAGTGAGGAGTGTCTCTGCCTGGCTGCCCATCGTCTGGGACGTGAGGAGCCCCTCTGCCTGGCTGCCCACTCTGGAAAGTGAGGAGCGTCTCTGCCCGGCCGCCCATCGTCTGAGATGTGGGGAGTGCCTCTGCCCCGCTGCCCCGTCTGGGATGTGAGGAGCGCCTCTGTCCGGTCGCGACCCCATCTGGGAGGTGAGGAGCGTCTCTGCCCAGCCGCCCTGTCTGAGAAGTGAGGAGACCCTCCGCCTGGCAACCGCCCCGTCTGAGAAATGAGGAGCCCCTCCGCCCGGCAGCCACCCTGTCTGGGAAGTGAGGAGCGTCTCCGCCCGGCAGCCACCCCGTCCTGGAGGGAGGTGGGGGTCAGCCCCCGCCAGGCCAGCCGCCCCGTCCGGGAGGGAGGTGGGGGGGTCAGCCCCCCGCCCGGCCAGCTGCCCCGTCCGGGAGGTGAGGGGCACCTCTGCCCGGCCGCCCCTGCTGGGAAGTGGGGAGCCCCTCTGCCCGGCCACCACCCCGTCTGGGAGGTATGCCCAACAGCTCATTGAGAACGGGCCATGATGACAATGGCGGTTTTGTGGAGTGGAAAGCGGGGAAGGGTGGGGAAAAGATTGAGAAATCGGATGGTTGCCGTGTCTGTGTAGAAAGAAGTAGACATGGGAGACTTTTCATTTTGTTTTGTACTGGGAAAAATTCTTCTGCCTTGGGATCCTGTTGATCTGTGACCTTACCCCCAACCCTGTGCTCTCTGAAACATGTGCTGTGTCCACTCAGGGTTAAATGGATTAAGGGCGGTGCAAGATGTGCTTTGTTAAACAGATGCTTGAAGGCAGCATGCTCGTTAAGAGTCATCACCACTCCCTAATCTCAAGTACCCAGGGACACAAACACTGCGGAAGGCCCCAGGGTCCTCTGCCTAGGAAAACCAGAGACCTTTGTTCACTTGTTTATCTGCTGACCTTCCCTCCACTATTGTCCTAGAAACACCCAAGAATGATCAATAAAAAAAAAAAAAAAAAAAAGGAATAGGCTAACGGGGCCAAGCACAGGGTGGTTCATGCCTCACACCTCACACCTCACGCCGAGGCATGAGGATCTCTTGAGTCCAGGAATTCGAGGCCAGCCTGGGCAACATAGGGAGACCCCCGTCTCTACAAAAAATAAAAAGTTAAGGCTGGGTGCAGTGGCTCACGCTTGTAATCCCAGCACTTTGGGAGGCCAAAGTGGGCAGATTATTTGAGGTCAGGAGTTCAAGACTAGCCTGGCCAACATGGTAAAACCCCATCGCTACTAATAATACAAAAAATTAGCTGGGTGTAGTGGCATGCACCTGTAATCTCAGCTACTAGGGAGGCTGAGGCAGGAGACTCGGTTGAATCTGGGAGGCAGAGGTTACAGTGAGCCGAGATCGTGCCATTGCACTCCAGCCTGGGCGACTGAGCAAGACTCCGTCTCAAAAGAAAAACAAAAAGTTCACTGGGCACTGTGGTGCGTGCCTGCAGTCCCAGCTACTCAGGAGGTTGAGGGAGGAGGATCGCTTGAGCCCAGGAGGCCAAGAATGCAGTGATCGCTCCACTGGCACTCCAGCCTGAGCGACAGAGCAAGACCCTGTCTCCAAAAAAAAAAAAAAAAAAAAAAAACAAAACCTCCCTTGATCCCAACTCCCCGGGGGGCCTCACCGAAAATAGCACCGAGTTGCGATTAATCAGGACCTCCTGCTTCACCGAGGCCTCGATGCAGCCGGGGTCGGCCAGCACCACGCCCACGTCCACCTGGCTATGCAGCTGGAAGGCGGTGCCTGCTCCGGGCAGTAAACGGGGTTAAGGCCTCCCTCACAGACAGGCCCCGCCCCTCCGATGGTGTCCCCGCCCCCCAGGCTCCCAGATTCTGGTAGCCCTCGCCCCGCCCTTCGGGCTCCACTCTGGTCCCGCGCAGACCGAGTTCTGACTGCGTCCGGAACGAGTGGCCCTGCGCCGACAGGAAGATGGCGAAGCTGTACTCAGTGCCCTTGTCCAGGAAAATGCGCTCCGGCAGCTCGTACGCGGACTCGAGGTTGTAGATCTTTTCGTAGCTGTCCATTTCTATGGACACGCCGCCCGCGCTTCGCCAATTGCTCGCCAAGAAGAAGTAGTAATCCTGGGGTACCGGATGCGCGGGGCAGAGTCAGCGCCGGGGGTGGGGCACGGTGAGGGGTGTCCGGGCGCCGCCCCTTTCCCGGCTCCCAATCCGCTCCGCCTACCTGGTCTTGTTTGTTGTTCGCCCACCAGCGCCAGGTGGGGTCGTGCACCGGGTCCGCGTACGGCTGCAGGGATCGCCCGGCACCGTGAAGGGATTGGGCAGCGGGGCGAGAGCCTCCAGGCAAGCGGCATCCCCAGACCACCTCCTAGCCTCAAAGCCAGCCCCCAACCCAGAGCAGAAGATACACACCCCAGCCCATCCCCAAACCCTGCTTTCAACCCGGCCACACCCCCAACGCCTTCCCCTGGAAGTCCTGCTCAAGCCAGGCCCCGCCCCCAGGTCCCCCGCCCACCCACCACCAGTCCTGTTCTCCAATCCCGCTGCGCTCCGCTCCACAGGCCTCGCCCTCTAAGCCAGCTCCCGGCTGCCCCAGTCCCGTCTCAGGCCTGCCCGCCCGCCGCCGGACGCCCACCTTGTCGTACACGGAGTGCAGCCACAGCAGGTAGTAGACCAGGCCCTGGTAGATGGCGAGCGAGTTCTCGTTGTGGAAGCCCGAGCGCTCCAGGACGCGCGGCGGCCGCGCCCGGTAGCGCTCCTGGCGCGTGTATCTCTGCGGACTGGGCAGGCTCCGCAGGCGCATCACCGAGAAGGGGCAGAAGTCGATGAAGGAGAGCATCAAGTAGCCCCTGGGCAGTGGCAAGGGGGAAAGGCTGCTGGCTCTAAGGCACCCCGCGCACTGGAAGCTTCCGCAGGCCTCTTTCCCACCCCACCCACTTCCCGTATCGAATCCAGCCCGAATCTTCCTCCTCAGCGTCAGCCCCTGCTGCCCAGAGGCCTCTGCACACATCCCCTCGGACGTCCCTCCCTTGATCCCTGAGACCAGAGTCCTCCCTACTCAACGGGCAGTCGCCATCTGCCTGTCCACTTGACCTCTTATCTTTATTCCATCTCCTGCTTCCTCCTTCCACCCCAGCGCCCCTTCCCTGTCCCGACTCCAGCTGCCTCCCTGGGTTGCTCTGATCCACCCTCCGCAGGACGATGACCGGAGGCATCATTACGGCACGCGGTAAAATCCGATCCTGCAGTCCTTTCCCTTAGTCCCATCCATGGCTCTCCCAAGACCCTCAAGATGAAGCCCAAGTTTCTCCCCATGACCACCAGGCTCACTTTGTCCCCCTCCCATCAGGGCCTCTGCACAGGTGGTTCCCCCTTTCTGGAACACCCTTCCCCACCTTATCACTTGGCTAATCCTTCCTCACCCTTCTTGCCACAGTGCATACACCTCCTCCTCCTTGAAGCCCTCCCTGATGCACCTTCCCCCCACTAGGTTGGGCTCCTCCTCTGAGCTTCCATAAGTGCTGAACTCCTGCCATCATAGCCCTGAGGTTTTCACTGGGGTTAGCTCGGTCTCCCCTCTCTCAAGAATGGTAGCTTCAGGAGGGCAGTGCCGGGAGCCCTCAGACCCCTGTCATGGTCCGGTGTCTTCTCACCCTTTCCGCTCCAAGTCATAGTGGCTGGTGTGCTGTTGATACATCAGAAGCTGCTCCACGGGCACGAGCCTCTTGACCAGCTGGCCCTTCTGGTTGTTCATAAGGTACACCAGCTGCAGGGGGAAGGCAGGGCCAGGTGAGCTGGGGTCAGCCCTCCTGGGGTGCCCCGATGTCCCCGCATAGCTCCACCGGGCACCTGGTACAGTTTGCTGTCTTCGTAGAAGAGGGTCAGCATGGTCTCATTGGATGCGTAGAGAGAGGACTGTTGCATCAGCTTTAAGCTGATGTGCACCTGCCAGCCCTTGGAAGGGAACAGCTGGTAGACCCGGTAGCTGCCCTCCAGGAGGTACCAGATCTGCGGGTATGACAGCCGGATGTGTGTGTGTCAGGACCATGGGGTCCTCTGATCCCACCTCACCCTCTGCCCAGTGTGGTGGCCCCATTGTTTGAGGGATGAAGTTTGGAAACTCACCTCCACTGGGACCAAGGGCGCTCCCCTTCCTTTTCTCTGTGGTGCCACGGCTCTACTTCCCTGAGCCCAATCACCTCTGGTTCCAGCCCTCACACACTATGATCACTTTTTTCAATGTTTTCGGTCTGTTTGGGTTTCTGGCACTTGCGACCTAAGCATCTCTAACACACACACTCCCTAACAGCCACGGTTCCTAGAGCCGAGACCTCTTTTCTTCTCACTCTTTGCAGCTTCCAGGGTCTCACCATTTCCCTGGCCTCAGTTTCCCATCTCTGCACTGATGCCCACCCCCATACACATCTGAAGGGAACCTTCACTCCCCTTCCTGAGCCACAACCTGGGGGATCCCCTCCAGCCTCCAAGATGTCCCCCTCCATGTGGTCTCCCCCATGAAGCCCTCCCTGACATGCACAAGCCCCCAGACGGGGCCAGGTCCCCCTGCTTCCATAGGTAATATTTTCCCCATTGCAGCCCTGATCACTCTGTGTTCTCCAGCACGGGGGCAGGCACACAGTAAATGCTCAATATTTATGAAGTGAACGACCACACTGTGGGATGAAAGAGGGCCGCCTCTGAACATCGGATCATAGCTCCGGTCTGCGTGACTTTGGAGCTGACACTTACCCTGAGTTCCAGGAGTTTCAGTTATAAATGGAGCTTCACTGCCCTTTCTCAGGGTCCCCGAGGGTGCCCCCTTCCCTTGGCTCCTTTACTGTGACGGGGGAAAGAGGGGCCCCTGGGGTTTGGGGGTGGGCAGAGAGGGAACGGGGAGAGGGGCGGGGCAGCCCACCTCCTCCGTCTCTGTGACAATAGCCACAGCCCCACGGAACGATCTGGCCATGTATTTGATGGACAGTTCCTTGGGGAAGTCTGCCAGGTAGATGAAGTTTTCCTTGTTAGAGCTGCAGGGACAGAGATGGAGAGCTAGGCGCATGCTGGACAGCCGCTTCCCCCAATCCCAGGCCTAATAACACGGGAGCCACTTACTGTTTCTCCACTTGTAAGAACATGCAAAGGAAGCTTGAAATCCTAGCTCCCGCCCCCCACCCCAAACCCTTTGAGAATCTTCAGCTCCCCATCTGTAAAACAGGAGCATTGGGCCAACCTGGCAGTTTGCCAGCCACCCAAGAAGGTGGCTCAGGGGCCCCTAGGTTCCTGAGGGTCGAGAGGGTGGCTGGGGTGGGGAGGATCCTAAACTGTCCCTAGAAAATGTTTGTCAATTAGCCGGGCATGGTGGTTCACACCTGTAATCCCAGCACTCTCGGAGGCTGAGGCAGGAGGATCACCTGAGGTCAAGAGTTTGAGACCAGCCTGCCCAACATGGTGAAACCGCGTCTCTACTAAAAATACAAAAATTAGCCAGGCATGGTGGCATGCAGCTGTAATCCCAGCTACTCGGGAGTCTGATGCAGGAGAATCGCTTGAATCTGGGAGGCGGGGGCTGCAGTGAGCCGAGATTTTGCCACTGTCCTGTAGCCTGGGTGACAGAGTGAGACTCTGTCCCAAAACAAAAACAAAAACAAAAAAAAACCCTAGAAACTGCTCATCTATTGCTCACACAGGCTGGGTCTTTATATAAGGTTTCATTTTAAGAAAAGGGCTCCCACAGCTTTAAAACATTGGCTTCCCCCATCCCAGCACTGACTACCCTAACGGTGTGTTCCTCATCACAGTCCTGGTAACTTCTGGATTTGTGCATCCTTTGAAGGCTTGGTGAGACTTGCCTAGCCTGGGCTTGAAAGGGTCCCCACCGTAAAGTTGCTGGGGAGACAGAGTATGCCTGGCCCACCCAGGGGTGGTAGAGGCCCACCTCTGCAGGAGGAAGTTGCCCCAGATGAAGATCAGATTGTTGTACGGGTTACAGAAGATGCCCTTGGGGGCCATTGCAGTGCTGGTGTAGGACTCTGTCCCTAGGATCATCAGGAACTCCAATCCTCGAGCTGACCGGAGCAGAGGAAGAGAGGACACAGCAGTGAAGTGGAGTCACCTGGGCCCCTCCTGGCCCACAGCCACCCTGAGGCCACGTCTGCCTTCCCTTCCTACCTTCAGGGATGAATTCTGGGATGTGGTAGAGAAGTTCCAGGTCATCACTAGCTACAGGTGGGGAGAACACAGCAAAATCTCCTGAGGCCCTGCACTTTCAAAACCTGGAGCTGGAGCAAGTTGTTTGCTTCTCAGCCTCCTGTAAAACCCTCCAAAGAGCTTCCCACTCGGGTTTGCTAGTCCTTAGAGTTTCTTTTCTTTTATTTCCCCCCTGAGACAGGATCTCCCTGTCGCCCAGGCTGGAGTGCAGTGGTGTGATCTCAGCTCACTGCAACTTCTGCCTCCTCGGTTCAAGTGATCCTCCCACCTCAGCCTATGGAGTAGCTGGGATTATAGGCGCACACCACCACCATGCCCAGCTAATTTTTTTTTTTTTCGAGATGGAGTCTCGCTCTGTTGCCCAGGCTGCAGTGCAATGGCATGATCTCAGCTCACTGCAACCTCTGCCTCCCAGGTTCAAGTGATTCTTCCACCTCAGCCTCCTGAGTTGCTGGGTTTATAGGTACCCACCATCATGCCCGACTAATTTTTGTATTTTTAGTAGAGACAGGGTTTCACCATGTTAGTCAGGCTGGTCTTGAACTCCTGACCTTAGGTGATCCCCCCGCCTCGGCCTCCCAGAGTGCTGGGATTACAGGCGTGAGCCGCCGTGCCCGGCCAATTTTTGTATTTTTAGTAGAGATGAGGTTTCGCTATATTGCCTAGGCTGGTCTTGAACGCCTGAGCTCAAGCATTCCACCCACCTTGGTGTCCCAAAGTGCCAGGATTATAAGCACGAGCCACCACGCCTGGCTCTGCTCTTTTTTTTTTTTTGAGACCGGGTCTTGCTCTGTCACCCAGGTAGTAGCATGATCATAGCTCACTGTAGCCTCAACCTCCTGGGCTTATGCTATCCTCCCACCTCAGGTATATTCCAAGTAGCTGGGACTACAGGTGCGACTCCATACTCAGCTACTTTTTTTTTTTTTTTTTTTTTAATTTGTAGAGACAGCCTCTTGCCATGTTGCCCCAGGCTGGTCTTGAACTCCTGGCCTCAAGGGATCCTCTGGCCTTGGCCTCCCAAAGTGCTGGGATTACAGGTGTGAGCCCCTTGCCTAGCCCTTTAGAATTTCTTCATGTGAATTATAAAAAGGCACTGCCTGAGAGGAAACAGTCCTGTTAAGGCACAGGACCTGTCTCCTCTGACCCCTCGGTTGGGGGTTTTGTGCACTGCACAGCCTGCACAAATCTACATAGGGGCCCTATTCTCACTGCAGGTAAAATAAAATCTCTTTATTGTGAGCCACAGGGCCCTTTCAGATCACCAAGCCTATATCCTGTTCTCCACTGCTACTCCTCAACCAGGAGTGACACAGGTAATGTTGCCCTCCCTCTGTCTGCTGGGCACAGATCCCTCAGGATGGGCATGCAGTCCACAGTCTGGGATCCTGCCCCTTTGTGCCCAGCCCCTTGCATCACCCTCATTACCTGTGTTGTAGCTGACCACCTGGAAACGTTTACTTGCATTACCATATCCACTCTCCACCAGCAGCAGTAGAGTATACTCACCCGCGATGTATTCAGACCAAATTATGGAGCAGGTGGTAACTGAGAGGGAAAGGGGCAGTCCAGAGCCGCCCCAGGGCTCAATAGCCTTGGTCCTGTGCCAGCTGTACCCCTCCCCATAACTCACCCCTCCCTAAGACACTGCCCATTCTTTCCCATGACCCCTGCCACCCTCCCCTGCTCTTCTGCATCCTCAGTTCCCCCAGCCTCCCACCGCAGACCCATCGGGGTAATGAGTACCTCCTATCTGCTCGCACACAGACCACTGCCTGGGCAGCATCTCAAAGGACACCTGGCCATCTGCAGAGCAAGGTCGGGTTCATGTTCAGGCCCTCTCCCTCCTGTCTGGCAGCCCATCAAGCCAACTCCGATTGCCCTCCTTATGCCCACCAGCCCCTCCGTCCTTGGGATCTCATTCTCTGGCCTTTCGTCACTCACACCTGGCCTATCAGAGCATGTCTGTCTTTGGTCACAGTCATGAGACTGTGGGTCTCATGCCTCAGGTCTGGCCATGTGACCCACGGTGGGCCGATCAGAGTTTACTCTGGGATTTGTGTTAGAATTAATGGGAAAGATGCTGTCTTCATTCTCTTGGCGTGACTCAGACTAGTAGGTGACTTGAGTCTGAAGCTTTAAGGGGCCACCTTTAACCTCCATGGAGGAATAGCTACCTAAAAATGGACCCAAATTATAGGACCAATAATAATAAACTGTTTGTAACACTCACCACATCACTAGCACTAAGACCTTTACAAAAACCAACTTATTTAATCTTTATATCAACCCGGTGACCTAGATGCTAGTACTACCATTAGCCACATTTTGTAGGTGAAGAAAACGAGATCAGAGAGGTCAAGTTACATATCGAGAGGCACACAGCGAAGGTGTGATGGAGCAGTCTCTCTCCAGAATCTGTGCTATAATTAATTACTATGCTGCACTACCTTACCAAGAGATGGAGTCCTGATGACCTACCCTGTGGGCCCCTGGATCCAGCCATACCTGAAGTTGAACCGTAGTCTTTTCATTTATGTAAGTCCACAAATTCTTTGTGCTTAAGTTATTATTATTATTACTATCATTATTATTAAGACAGTCTCACTCTGTTGCCCAGGCTGGAGTGCAGTGGCATGATCTTGGCTTACTGCAACCTCCGCTTCCCAGGTTCGAGCAATTCTCATGCCTCAGCCTCCCAAGTAGCTGGGACTACAGGTGCATGCCACCATGCTCAGCTGATTTTTGTACTTTTAGTAGAGATGGGGTTTCGCCATGTTGGCCAGGCTGGTCTCGAACTCCTGACCTCAGGTGATCCACCCACCTCAGCCTCCCAAAGTGCTGGGATTACAGGCATGAGCCACTGTGCCCAGCTGTACTTCAATTATTTTTGAATTGGGCTTCTGCTATTTTTGTTTTTTTGGGGGATTTGTTTGTTCGTTTTTGAGACAGAGTCTCACTCTGTTGCCCAGGCTGGAGTGCAGTGGTGCAATCTCGGCTCACTGCAACCTTCATCTCCTGGGTTCAAGTGACTCTCCTGCCTCAGCCTCCTGAATAGCTGGGATTACAGGCGCCTGCCACCACGCCCAACTAATTTTTTTATTTTTAGTAGAGATGGGGTTTCACCATGTTGGCCAGGATGTTCTTGAACTCCTGACCTCAAGTGATCCGCCTGCCTCAGCCTCCCAAAGTGCTGGGATTACAGGCATGAGCCACTGTGCCCAGCTCTTCTGCCCTTTAAAACCAAGTACATCATGAAAGATACATAACATACCCCCAAGCCCTACCCCTACAAACGCATCCCTCCACCACCACCATCACCCTCAGCCTAGGGGCCCTCCTCAGGGCACATGGTAATGAGTGAGGGCCCAAGGTTAGAATTCTCGGAGGTGAGAGAGGGTATGGAGGGGTCCCTGGGGCTGACAGAGGCCCACACCCTTACCTCTGATGGTCCCGAAGTGTACATAACCCTCATGCTTGCCCGTGGTGAGGGCCATTATGTACTCAGAGCCATTGCTATGGAAATACACAGGGCACAGCTTCTTGATGCACTCGCTGGCCAGGACACGAATCCAACTGCCTAGTGAAGTCAGTATGGGGCCTCAGACCCAGGTGGTTGGATCTGGGGCCTCTGCCCCCTGCCCACATTTCCCTGGCTTTAGTGAGCCTGTTATCTGTCCTCTCATGCTGAAGCACCCGTTCAGTGTGGTGTCAGGGAGCACCTGGCAGAGGGCACCCGCTGCCTTTGAGAAAATCCTCCTTGCTCACACTCTGTCCATGAGGGTCAGATTGGGCTGACACCTCCCTTGCACTCCCTAGGCCACAATGATTAGCATGTGACCAAGCCGGCCAAATCAGAGGCAATATCAGCTTGCAATCCGCAACAAGATGCTCTTTTCTGGGGCTACTGAGGGGCATAAAAGTCTACAGTTGCTGCGTAGAGGCCTGAATCACCGTGGCATGCACAAGGAGGTGACTGTCTAACCGTGACAGTGACCCCATGGTGCAGCCTTTCCTGAAACCAACATGCTCCTGGGCTTTTCAGCCACGGAAGCCAATAAACACCACTTTTCTTTGGATTAAGCCAATTTGAATTTGGTTCCTCCCACTGTCAAAATGCCCAAAGTAAGAAAGAGACTAAGCAAAGCTGCTGGGAACACGCATTCACTTATGAAATGTAAGTTACAGTCCAATTTCCAGTGACTCTGTAAGCTGACAGTTCTCACTGAGATGGCGGGAGAAACTGGAAGAAATAAGAGAGCTTTGGTATCTTTTTTTTTTTTTTTTTTTTTTTTTTTTGAGACAGAGTCTTACTCTGTCGCCCAGGCTGGAGTGCAGTGGCACGATCTTGGCTCACTGCAGCCCCGCCTCCTGGGTTCAAGCAATTCTTCTGCCTCAGCCTCCTGAGAAGCTGGGAGTACAGGCACATGCCACCACACCCAGCTAATTTTTGTATTTTTAGTAGAGACGGGGTTTCACCATATTGGCCAGGCTGGTCTCAAACTCCTGACCTCGTGATCCGCCCTCCCAAAGCGCTGGGATTACAGGCGTGAGCCACCGCGCCTGGCCTTTTTCTTTTTTTTTTTTTTTTTTGAGATGGCATCTCGCTCTGTCGCCCAGGCTGGAGTGCAGTGGCACGATCTCAGCTCACTGCAAGCTCCGCCTCCCGGGTTCAAGCGATTCTCCTGCCTCAGCCTCCCGAGTAGCTGGGACTACAGGCATGTGCCACCACGCCCAGCTAATTTTGCTAATTTTCTGTATTTTTAGTAGAGACGGGGTTTCACCATGTTAGCCAGGCTGGTCTCGAACTCCTGACCATGTGATCTACCTGCCTCAGCCTCCCAAAGTGCTGGGATTACAGGTGTGAGCTACTGCACCCAGCCACGGTATCATTTAAAGATTAAGTTGAATAGTCTCTCTTTTTCATCTCTCTCGCTTTTTCCTCTCTCTTTTTTTTAAACTGAGTCTCGCTCTGTTGGCCAGGCTGGAGTGCAGTGACGTGAACTCAGCTCACTGCAAGCTCTGCTTCCTGGGTTCAAGCAATTCTCCTTTCTCAGCCTCCTGAGTAGCTGGAATAACAGGTGCCCACCACAATGCCCGGCTAATTTTTGTATTTTTAGCAGAGATGGGGTTTCACCAGGTTGGTCAGGCTGGCCTTGAACTCCTGACCTCAAGTGATCCACCCGCCTCGGCCTCCCAAAGTGCTAGGATTACAGGCATGAGCCACCATGCCCAGCTTTTTTTTTTTTTTTTTTTTTTTTTGAAACAGGGTCTTGCTCTGTCGCCCAGGCTGGAGTGCAGTGGTGTGATCATAGCTCACTGCAGCCTCAAACCCCTGGGCTCATGCGATGCCCCCTCCCGTCAGCCTCTTGAATAGTCTGGCCTCCTGAGCCACTGTGCCTAGACTCTCTTTTTTCCTCTCCAATGAGTTTCCCTTGAGGCTTTGCCCATCTGTTTCTCTCTCTCCTCCCGCTCTGTCTTTCTGATTTGCCATGCCCCTCTCCCTCTGACTTTCTCTCCCCGTCTGGTCTGTCTTGGCAAGTCCTTCTGCCACTGTGTGTGGGCACACGCGTGGGTCTGCCTCTCTCTACCTCCCTTTACTCTCGCACCCCCTCTTCTCACAGCTGCTCACAATTCCCAGGAGGGTCTGGGTGGAAGCCTCATCCCAGCAAAAAAAAAAAAAAAAAAAAAAAAGGGCAAGGCAAGGCCCATTCGGGGTGGGCAAGGGTGATTTGGGGCCTTGGCAAGTTCCTTCCCCAATGCCTCACCCACAGCAATTCCAGCCCCCAGCCACCTTCAGTGGAGGGGTTCACCAGGGTGCCCTCCCCAGGCGTGGGTCCAGCCACAGCACACTCACCACTGCCGCGGTTTCTCTCATAGAGTGTGGTATAGGTGCCTGTAAAATAGTAGACCAGCTGGTTCTGCCGAATGAAGAGGGTGCTCTCGGTGGCAATAGTGTCATAGATGGTGGCTGTGAAGCCAGAATGGGGGCAGTAGAAGGAGCCCACCCAGCAACTGTCAATGCTCAGCTGCAGGGGAGCAGAGGCTAGTGGTGAGCAGGTGGCCTTGGCCTCAGCCCCCATGTCCTGCCTTGCGGGGAAGCTCCTGCTCTGACAGCTGCTTGGGAGGGACACATGTAGCTGCCCCAGGGCGCTCTCCCTGCTCACCCCGCAGCAGCACCTTGGTAGCCAAACCTCCCCCATATGGACCAGAGAAGCAGGTGACCCAGGCCTGAGCCAGTTCAGGCTTCGTGTGCCCCCTGGAGTTGGGCAGTGCACAGCATGCTCAACGGTCCTTAGCGGTCCTTGTGCCCTTGGCTACAGTCAGTGTTATACCTACATGGATACAACACCCCATGCTCGCCCCAAGGGACATTTTTTTTAAAGGCTGGATCTGGCTCTGTCACCCAGGCTGGAGTGGTATGATCATAGCTCACTGCAGCTTCAAACTCCTGGGCTCGAACGATCCTCCCACCTCAGTCTCCCGAGTAGCTGGCAAGAGAGGTGCTCACCACCATGCCTAGCTAATTTTTTAATTTTTATTTTTGTAGAGGTGAGGTCTCGCTATGTTACCCAGGCTGGTCTTGAACTCCTGTGCTCAAGCAATCCTCCCGCCTCAGCCTCCCGAGTAGCTGGAACTACAGGTGCTTGCCACCATTCCCAGCTAATTTTTTTTTTTTTTTGAGGCGGAGTCTTGCTCTGTCACCCAGGCTGGAGTGCAGTGGCGTGATCTTGGCTCACTGCAAGCTCCGCCTCCCGGGTTCACGCCATTCTCCTGCCTCAGCTTCCCGAGTAGCTGGGACTACAGGCACCTACCACCAAGCCTGGCTAATTTTTTGTATTTTTAGTAGAGACAGGGTTTCACCATGTTAGCCAGGATGGTCTCGATCTCCTGACCTCGTGATCCGCCCACCTCGGCCTCCCAAAGTGCTGGGATTACAGGCGTAAGCCACCGCACCCGGCCTCCCAGCTAATTAAAATAAATAAATAACTGTGTAGACGGGAGTCTTGCTACATTGCCCTGGTCTTGAACTCCTGGCTTCAAGCAGTCCTCCCGCCTCAGCCTCATTGGAAAGTTCTGACTCATTTAATTCACTAGGCATCATGTTGGGCATGGTGATTGTGTTGGCTTTGTTGGGGTGGTAGGGACCTGAGCTGTACCAAGTGGAAGGAATCTTGTGACTTTGGGGATGTGGTGATTCTTGGGAAAGATCTTTCCCACTGAATGTGGGCTTGAGAAGATGCAGCCTCTGTAGTCTTCAGTTCCAGAAAACAGGACCATTTTTTGTTTGTTTGTTTTTTGAGATAGGATCTCACTCTGTCACCCAGGTTGGAGTGCAGTGGCACAATCCTGGCTGACTGCAACCTCTGCCTCCCGGGTTCCAGCGATTATCTTGCCTCAGCCTCCCGAGTAGCTCGGATTACAGGTGCCCACCACCATGCCTGGCTAATTTTTGTATTTTTAGTAGAGACGGGGTTTCACCATGTTGGCCAGGCTGGTCTCGAACTCGTAGGCTCAAGTGATCTGCTCACCTTGGCTTCCCAAAATGTTGGGATTACAGGCCTGAGCCACCACACCCAGCCAACAGGACTGTTTTGAGCATCAAGTCAATACAGAGGAATGTGGCCGAGTGCCTGTAATCCTAGCACTTTGGAGGCTTAGACAGGTGGATTGCTTGAGGCCAGGAGTTCAAAACCAGCCTGGCTAACATGGTGAAATCCCATCTCTACTAAAAATACAAAATATTGGCTGGACGTGGTGACA
The DNA here is from genome assembly GCF_000001405.40 of Homo sapiens. NCBI lineage: Eukaryota > Metazoa > Chordata > Mammalia > Primates > Hominidae > Homo > Homo sapiens. The sequence goes on along the minus strand of NC_000019.10, from coordinate 38,350,525 downwards.
CGTGCCTGTAATCCCAACTACTTGGGAGGCTGAGGCAAGAGAATCGCTTGAACCCAGGAGGCAAAAGTTGTAATGAGCCAAGATTGCACCACTGCACTCCAGCCTGGGTGACAAGAGCGAAACTCCGTCTCAAAAAGCAAGCAAACAAACAAAAAACAGAGGAATGTGGTCCAAGAGATGAGGCGAGAAACCCCGTCTCAGTGATACTGTTTGAAATCTGGTCTCGTGAACCAATAAATTTTCTTCTCCACTTTTAGGAGATGGCTAGTAAAGCTCTCAAATCCATTTCCCCATATTTTTTGGTGATTGAGTTTAGCTGGGCATGTACCACCCAGTGTCCCTTGCAGTTGGATGTAGCCAGGTGACCCCTTCTCACTAGTGGAATGTCAGTGGAAGTGAAGTTTGCTTAAAAGAAAATGGCTTGCCCTCTACTTCTGCTCCTCCCCTTTCCCAGTGGCTGCCATCATACAGAGGCCAACACCTTGAGCCCAGGGGATGGTGAAGAGAGAAAATGGAAGGAACAAGGTTCCTCATCTCCAGACTGTTACGAGAATGAGCAACGGCCGGGTGCGGTGGCTCACACCTGTAATCCCAACACTTTGGGAGGCCAAGGCGGGCAGATCATTTGAGGTCAGGAGTTCGGGACCAGCCTGGCCAACATGGCAAAACCCCATCTCTACTAAAAATACAAAAATCAGCCAGGTGTGGTGGTGGGTGGCTGTAATCCCAGCTCCTCGGGAGGCTGAGGCAGAAGAATCACTTGAACCTGGGAGGCAGAGGTTGCAGTAAGCCAAGATTATGCCACTGCACTCCAGCCTGGGCAACAGAGCGAGACTCTGTCTCAAAAAACAAACAAACAAACAAACAAACAAACAAAAAAAAACAATGAGCAACAGTCTCTGTTTAAGTAATTCCCTTCCAGGGTCTCTTTGTTACAGCATCTATACCTGGACCCCAACCATGAGCCAGGGGAGGATTCGTTTCCTGGGGGCAGTGTGGAAGGGAGTGGTGGAGAGAGACAGGAGCAGGGAAGAGAGGAGACAAACAGATGAGGCCATCAGGGAGAAATCTCCTTGGTTAGAGAACAAGAACAAGGCTGGGCACGGTGGCTCATGCCTGTAATCACAGCACTTTGGGAGGCCAACGCAGGAGGATGGCTTGAGGTCAGGAGTTCAAGACCAAGCTGGGCAACATGGCAAAACCCCATCTTTACCAAAAATACAAAAATTAGCCAGGCATGGTGATATGCGCCTGTAGTCCCAGCTACTAGGGAGGCTCAGGTAGGAGGATGGCTTGAACCCAGGAGATGGAGGCTGCAGTGAGCCAAGATTGCATCACTGAACTCCAGCCTGGGTAAGAAAGTGAGACCATGACAAAAAGAAAAAAAAGAAAAAGAACTAAAACAGGATCATAGGATCTTCTTGTAGTTTCTACGTGTGGCGATTGGGTTTTCACCGTCATCTGAGATGTGTCTCCCTCAAGCCTTGTTATGGTGTCGGCCCATTACCTGTCTGACATGAAATAAAAACAAACCCAGGGTTTATTTTGGAGTGATGGAAATTTTTTGGAAGTAGATAGTGGTGGTGGTTGCATAATATTGTGAATGAACTAGATGCCACTGATGTTCACTTTAAAATGGTTAAATTTATGGATTTCACTTCAACAAGTTAAAAAAAATAAGGAACAAGAATTTGGATGCCTGAATTCACATTGAACTTGTTTTCATTCCTGTGAATATAAACACCTTCTCTATGACCAGGTGCGATGGCTCACACCTGTAATACCAGCACTTTGGGAGGCTGAGGCGGGTGGATCACTTGAGGTCAGGAGTTCGAGACCAGCCTGGCCAACATAGTGAAACCCCATCTGTACTAAAAATACAAAATTAGCTGGGTGTGGTGGTGCATGCCTGTAATCCTAGCTACTTGGGAGGCTGAGGCAGGAGAATCACTTGAACCCGGGGGGTGGAGGTTGCAGTGAGCTGAGATCACACCATTGCACTCCAGCCTGGGCAACAAGAGTGAAATTCCATCTCAAAAAAAAAAAAACAAAAAAAAAAAACGAAGTTTGTGGAAATTGGCCAGGCACGGTGATCCCAGCACTTTAGGAGGCCTAGATGGGAGGATTGCTTAAGGGCAGGAGTTTAAGACCAGTCTGGGCAACATAGTGAGACCGTGTCTCTACAAACAATTTTTTAAAATTAGCCAGGTAAGGTGGCGCATGCCTGTAATACCAGCTATTTGGTAGGCTGAGGCAGGAGGATCGTTTAAGTCCAGGAGTTGGAGGCTGCAGTGAGCTATGATCACACCAGTGCACTCCAGCCTCGGCAACAGAGCAAAAGCCTGTCTCTTAAAAAAAAAAGTTGGTGTAAATTAAACAATGTCTGAATAGACTTGGCTCAGAACAGAGAAAGCTGACACAGGACAGGAAGATGGTCCACAAACTGAACAAATTCCACATAAGCAGGAATTCAGAGCCAGAAGGGGTCAGGAGAATACTAATCCACGTGGGATCCTCAGAAATTGTGAGTAGGGCTTTTGACCTTGATGGGAGGAGGTTAAGGCAATCTTTTTTTTTTTTTTTTTGAGACAGAGTCTTGCTCTATCGCCCAGGCTGGAGTACAGTGGTACGATCTTGGCTCACTGCAACTTCCGCCTCCCAGGTTCAAGCGATTCTCCAGCCTCAGCCTCCAGAGTAGCTGGGATTACAGGTGCCTGCCACCATGCCTGGCTAATTTTTGTACTTCTAGTAGAGACAGGGTTTCACCATGTTGCCTAGGCTGGTCTGCAACTCCTGACCTCAGGTGATCCACCCGCCTCGGTCTCCCAAAGTGCTGGGATTATAGGCGTGAGCCACTGCACCGGCTGTGGGTGCACTTCTTAAAGCCAGTTCTCTGGGTAAACCAACCTGCCTTGGCGTTCTCCTGTAGCTGCACTAATTCCAACATAGTTCTGTCGCTGAAGCCAAAAGATCCTTACTTCAGACACTCCCTCCCTATTCTGGGATAATATAGGCTCTCAATGCCTAATAGGAAACCCTTGGGCAGAGATGTATATTGCAATGCAGAATTTTCCAGAGTGTAGAATGTAATGGCACATATATACCATTGGTTATGGAAGCTATTAACTTTTTTTTTTTGTTTTTCTTTGAGACGGAGTCTGGCTCTGTCGCCCAGGCTGGAGTGCAGTGGCACAATCTTGGCTCGCTGCAAGCTCCGCCTCCCGGCTTCATGCCATTCTCCTGCCTCAGCCTCCTGAGTAGCTGGGATTACAGGCGCCCACTACCACGCCCAGTTTTTTTTGTTTGTTTGTTTTTGAGACAGGGTCTCGATCTGTCTCCCAGGCTGAAGTGCAGTGGTGTGATCATAGCTCACTGCAGCCTCAAAGTCCCAGGCTCAAGCAATCCTCCTGCTTCAGCCTTCTGAGCAGCTGAGACTACAGACTCATGCCACCACCCCTGGCTAAGTTTTGTATTTTTGGTAGAGATGGGGTCTCACTATGTTGTCCAGGCTGGTCTCAAACTCCTGCTCTCAAGCGATTCTCCTACCTCAGCCTCCCAAAGTGCTGGGATTATAGGCATGAGCCTCTGCACCCGGCCAGAAACTATTAACTTATATCATCCTCACAACAATCCTATGAAGTAAATATAAATATTACTCCCATGTTACAAATGGGAATCTGAAGACCGGGTCGTTGAACTGCCAGGTCCAGGGTCAGGCAGCCAGGAGGTGGCAGAACCAGGGTTTGAACCTAGGCCCTCTGGCTGTAGAATCTTGTGTTTTTTCTTCATGCTATCTGCCTCTCATGGGGACAGATATGTCTTTGGGGACTTCTAGAGCCCCAGGCCCCTACCTTATTTCAGGGGCTGAGGCCCAGCTCCCTCCAAGACGCCCCGCCCACCATCTGCCCCACACCGTTCACCTCCACGAGAGAGAAGTCCTTGAAGCTGGTGTCAGTCATCAGGACGTACTTCTCATTGGGAATGCCTCCCAGGATAAGCACAGGTGACTGGTCCACAGTGTGCCACAAGGGCCTCGATGAGACACCCACAAAGTACTGGGGCATCAGGTTGAAGAGCTGCCAAGGAGGGACAGGAGGGACGCCAACACTCTCCCCACTCTCCTGAGACTCCATCTCATTTAGGTCCAAGGCCTGACCTGGACCCACAAGGCCCCACGCGATTTGTCCTTCTCACTTCCTTGACCTCATTCCTTACCATTCTCCCCCTCGGTCCCTCTCTCCCAGCCACAAGGCCTCTTCTCTGCTTCTCAGACCTCCCAGGAACATGCCCACCTCAGGGCCTCTGTTTCTCCTGATGAAATGCTGTTTCTCCTGATGAACTGCTCTTCCCTTAGTATCCATGCAATTCTCTCCTTGGAAGCTTAACCTCCTCAATGAGGCCTTTCTTGACCATCCCATTAAATATTGCACTCTTCTTCTGCACAGACCCAACTCCCGTTGCCCTGTTCCATTTCTCTCCAGAGCGCTTACCGCCCTTTACCCTACTACAGAATTCACTTGATTTTCACATTACCAGTTTGCCGGTTTGCCATCTGTCTCCCCCACTAGAGTGTCAGCTCCAGGAGGGCAGAGATTTGGGTCTGTGTGTTCACTGCTGTGTCCCCATGATGCAACAACGTGTGCTCAGTAAGTGCCTGCTGAGTGACTGCATCAATGAATGGGTGAATGCATCGGGATTAAGAATATGGGTATGAGGCCAGGCGTGGTGGCTCATGCCTGTAATCCCAGCACTTTGGGAGGCTGAGGCAGGTGGATCACCTGGTTGGGAGTTCAAGACCAGCCTGCCAACATGGAGAAACCCCATCTCTAATAAAAATACAAAAAAAAAAAAAAATTAGCTGGGTGTGGTGGCACGTGCCTATAATCCCAGCTACTCAGGAGGCTGAGGTAGGAGAATTGCTTGTACCCGGGAGGCAGAGGTTGCGGTGAGCCGAGATCGCACCACTGCACTCCAGCCTGGGCAACAAGAGCGAAACTCTGTCTCAAAAAAAAAAAAAATTGAATATGGGCATGGGCCGGGCACAGTGGCTCACGCCTGTAATCCTAGCACTTTGGGAGACCGAGGTAGGCGGATCACTTGAGCCCCGGAGTTTGAGACCACCCTGGCAACATGGTAAAACCCTGCCTCTACTAAAAATACAAAAACTGAGGTGAGAGTATCACCTGAGCCTGACGAGGTCGTTCCCCTGCACTCCAGCCTGGGTGGCAGAGTGAGGCCTTGCCTCTACAAAAAATAAAAAAATTATTAGCAGGGCGTGGTGATGGGTGCCTGTAATCCCAGCTACTTGGGAGGCTGAGGCAGGAGAATTGCTTGAACCTGGGAGGTGGAGGTTACAATGAGGCAAGATCGTACCACTGCACTCTAGCCTGGGCGACACAGCAAGACTCTGTCTCAAAAATAATAATAATAATAATGATAATTAATTTAAAAATTAGCTGGATATGGTGGTACATGCCCGTGGTCCCAGCTACTTGGGAGGCTGAGGTGGGAGTATTGCTTGAGCCCAGGAAGTCAAGTCTGCAGTGAGCCATGATTGCACCACTGCACTCCAGCCTGGATGACAGAGCGAGGCCCCGTCTCAAAAAAAAAAAAAAAAAAAAAAATATATATATATATATATATGTGTGTGTGTGTGTGTGTGTGTGTGTCTGTTCATGTACAGGTATATACATATATATGTATGTACAGGTATGTACTATATATGTATGTACAGGTATGTACTATATATGTATGTACAGGTATGTACTATATATGTATGTACAGGTATGTACTATATATGTATGTACAGGTATGTACTATATATGTATGTACAGGTATGTACTATATATGTATGTACAGGTATGGATGTACAGGTGTGTATAGGAGTCAGACAGATAACTTCAAGACTCCCTCCATGCTGAGGGACTATGGGAAAATGGTTCCATCCCTTTGGGACCTCAGTTTTCTCCTCTTTATAATGGAGTATGTGAGAGTACGTCCCCTCGACAGGTCACTGGGGAGATTAATGGGATCTTCATGTGGGGCCTGGCATGAAGTTGGTGCTCCCTAAATGGGATCTGCTGCTTGTCTGGGAAGTAACCAGGGCGTCAGCCTAAGGCCCAGACCATTGTCTTTTTCCCCTGCCATATTCCCTCACCTCCTCTCCCACAGTGAATTGGATGTTATTGTCCCGGTCTCTCTTCAGGAAGCCGTTGATATTCATCTGGAACCTAGCAGCAGGTGCAGAATAGGCGCAGGTGAGGTCCCAGTGTCAGGGGTTCCACAGCTCGTAGCTGCCTCTCCTCTCCCCATTCTCTCCCTTGGATCTCCCACTGGCTCCTCTGGGGACCCTGGGGTGAGGAATTCCCCCGGAGTCCACCCCAGCCCCCGTCTTGGGAAAGGGTACCTTTTATCTGGAATGAAGGTCCCCAGGCCATTGCTGCTGATGTCCACACGCATGACCACACTGCCTTTCTTGATGGGCATGGGCGTGTACCAGCTCATGCTACACACTTCTTCTGCCATGCATGGCTCTGCAGGGAGGCCCTGGGCACTGAAACTGCTGGGGCCTCCCAATGGCCGGTTCCAGGCCCCAGACCACCCTGGGATCTCCCCACAACTCCCCATACCTGCCTCCACGCCATGGGTCCCACTGGGGCCTCTGTGTGGCCCCTCTAGGCCATGGAATGTGCTGAGCTCCCGCCCCCCACATACCCTCCTCAGATCATGGCCCCACAGAGGCCCCCAGCAAACCCCACACCCCTGCCAGGTTGCGATCCCTCCCGCCTCCCCCAGGCCCACCTTTGCTGCGGAAGGGGGCAGCCTCCATCTGGATCTGCAGCTGCTCTATCTTCCAGCGGTAGAAGTTGACTGGGGACTGGAAGGTGACCAGCACCAGGGGCTTTAGCCCCGTCAGGTGGCCCATGCGCACCAGGTCCTCAGAGGGCTGAGGGTGAGATGGCCCCACAAGTGTGTCCTTATGGTAGCCTCTGGGTGCCCCCTGCCTTAAGCCCGCCTCTAACAGTCTGTCTCCTGGGCTGTCCGGGGGCAGCACACTGTCCACCATGTGATGGTCAGAGGACATGGTCTAGGTTTGGGGCTTGGATGGGGGATGGAACAGCCTAGGAGGGGGCAGAGGGGTAAGGGGCTGTGGAGGGAGTCGGAGGCCTTCCTGGAGGAGATGACTCCAGAGCCAGTGTCTGCAGACAGAATGTGCATGTAGGGAATACATAGGGAAGGGCAGCATGGGATGAACAAAACTGTGCAGGTGGGAGGGATGCTGGGAAGGTGGGAGGGATGTGGCACCCAGGGTGCTGCTTTCCACTCCAGGGATTCCCAGTTCCAGGCTTAAAAAAAAAAAATTAGATTGCCCAGGCTGGTCTTGAACTCCTGGTCTCAAGTGAGCCTCCCACCTTGGCCTCCCAAAGTGCTGGCATTAAAGGCGTGAGCCATCTCATCTGGCCCCCAGTCTCACTCTTGAGGTGGGCTTCCACCCTCTCTGCAGCAGACTTTCTGCCACCTATGCAAGTCAGAGGACAGCCAAGTTCTGGGCCTTGAGCTTGGGGTGAGTGTAGGATGGGGCGATTACACAGGAAGGGACTGAGGACGAGGGTGACAGGGCATGCCTGGACAACCTCCCAGGGATGCGGGATCCTGGCTGAATAGAAAAGGGTGGGGAGCGCTTAGAGTGGAGATGGGAGAAGAGGAGAAGGATGTTTCAGGCATGCAGAACAGCACCAGTGAAGGCTAAGAGGCGTCCCCGAGAGAAGGCGGCACTCAGGCCACCAAGGGGAGGCCTTGGTTGCTGTGGGACCAGGGCGAGGGATTTACCAGATTCAGCACCTGTGCACAGCCCTTCATCGAGAGGGCTGACTTTCTTTACTTTCTTTGCCAGGCTCCTTTCTTTTCCTTTTTTTTTTTTTTTTCAAGAAGGAGTCTCACTCTGTCGCCCAGGCTACAGTGCAGTGGCATGATCTCGACTCACTGCAGCCTCTGTCTCCTGGGTTCAAGTGATTCTCCTGCCTCAGCCTCCTGAGTAGCTGGGACTACACACGTGCACCACCATGCCCAGCTAATTTTTGTATTTTTAGTAAAGATGAGGTTTCACCACGTTGGCCAGCCTGGTCTCAAACTCCTGACCTCAACTGATCTGCGCGCTTCGGCCTCCCAAAGTGCTGGGATTACAGGCATGAGCCACCAGGCCATTCTTTCTTTGAAAACTGTTTAATTTTTGTAGAGACAGAGTCTACTCTGTTGCCCAGGCTGGCTATTTCTGTAATTTATTTATTTATTTATTTATTTATTTATTTTTTACATGGGACAGGGTCTTGCTATGTTGGCCAGGTTGGTCTTGAACTCTTGGCCTCAAGCAATCCTCCAGCCTTAGCCTCCTAAAATGCTAGGATTACAGGTGTAAGCCACTGCACCTGGCTTTTTTTTTTTTTTTTTAAGATAAGGTCTTGCTCTGTTGCCCAGTCCGGAGTGCAGTGGTGCCATCACAGCTCACTGTAACCTCCACCTCTCCCAGACTTCAGCAATCCTCTTACCTCAGCCTCCCAAATAGCTGGGACTACAGGTACCACTACCACGCCTGGCTAATTTTTTTATTTTTTATTTTTTTTCCGAGACGGAGTTTTGCACTTGTTGCCCAGGCTGGAGTATAAGGGCGCCATCTCAGCTCATTGCACCCTCTGCCTCCTAGGTTCAGGCGATCGTCCTGCCTCAGCCTCCCAAGTAGCTGGGATTACAGGCATGCGCCACCACGCCCGGCTAATTTTTGCATTTTTAGTAGAGATGGGGTTTCACCATGTTGGTCAGGCTAGTCTCGAACTCCTGAACTCAGGTGATCCACCTGCCCTGGCCTCCCAAAGTGCTGGGATTACAGGCATGAGCCACTATGCCCGGCCCAATTTTTTGATTTTTTTTGTAGAGACAGGGTCTCCCTATGTTGTCCAGGCTGGTCTTGAATTCTTGGGCTCAAGCAATCTTCTCTCCCTGGCCTCCCAAAGTGCTGGGATTATAGGTATGAGCCACCACACCCAGCACCAGGCTCTTTTCAATCCTGTCAACTACACCTGTCCCTGGCCCTGCCTGAGTTCCCATTGCAGAGGAGAAGGTGCTAGTGGGGCAGGGACCTCCTTCCTGTGAGGATGACAGTAGCCACTAACACCCTGGTCCTGTCCCCGTCATCTCCTGCCTGGGCAATGTAGCAGCCTCCTCCTTGTCTCACTGCTCCTGCCCTGCTCCCCCAACAACAGGAGGGAGCCAGTGAAGCCTGGAATCAGATCCAATCCCTCCTCTGCATAGGGCCCTCTCAGGCTCTGTCTCAGAGTAAAAGCCAAGTCCTCACCATGGCCCATCAAGCCCCAAAAACCTTCCCCCATCACTTCCCTGACCTCTCCTCCCACACTCCCTCTCACTCACTCTGCTCCAGCCACAAAGTCCTCTTCATAGTTTCTCACACATGCTGACCTCTTTCCTACCTCTGGGCCATCGTGCTGGCTCTTCCCTCGGCCTGGAAAGCTTTACCTGGCTCTCCTAATAATCCCCACTTTTTATCATTTGAGTCTCTGCTCAAGCCTTTCCAGAGTGACCTTCTCCAACGACCCCCACTAAAACAGTGCCCCCCCCTCCTTTCTAACGTATTACCTCATTTTATTATTTGCATTTATTAATACTACTCTCAGAAATTCTTTCATGCCAGCCTTAGGCAACATAGTGAGACCCTGTCTAATTGAAAGTACACTGGTGTGATGGCTTGAGCCTGTAGTCCCTGCTACTTGGGAGGCTGAGGCAGGAGGATCACTTCAGCCCAGGAGGTCGAGGCTGCAATGAGCTATGATCAAGCCACTGCATTTCAGCCTGGGTGACAGCGCAAGACCCTGTCTCTAAAAAAATAAAATTATTGGCCGGGCGCGGTGGCTCACATCTATAATCCCAGCACTTTGGGAGGCCGAGGCAGGTGGATCACCTGAGGTCAGGAGTTCAAGACCAGCCTGACCAATATGGAGAAACCCCATCTCTACCAAAAATACAAAATTAGCCGGGCGTGGTGGCGCACATCTGTAGTCCCAGCTACTTGGGCAGCTGAGGCAGGAGAATCGCTTGAACCCAGAATGTGTAGGCTGTACTGAGCCGAGATCATGCCACTGTACTCCAGCCTGGGTGACAGAGTGAGACCCTGTCTCAAAAAAAGAAAAAAAAAAAGACTCTGTGATACTGGCATATGAATAGGCATTTAGAGCAATGAATTATTGAGAAATCAATTCATTTAGAATAGAATTGAGTCCAGAAAGAAACCCTTATATTTATATTCAATTGATTTTTGACAAAGGTGCCAAGACAATTCAGCGGGGAAAGAATAATCTCAACAGGCCAGGCATGGTGGCTCACGCCTGTAGTCCCAGCACTTTGGGAGGCCAAGGCAGGTGGATCACCTGAGGTCAGGAGTTCGAGACCAGCCTGGCCAACATGGTGAAACCCTGTCTCTACTAAAATATAAAAATTAGCCAGGCATGGTGGCGCATGCCTGTAATTCCTGCTACTCAGTAGGCTGAGGCAGGAGAATCGCTTGAACCTGGGAGGGGGAGGTTGCAGTGAGCCAAGATCACGCCACTGCACTCCAGCCTGGGTGGCAGAATGAGATTTTGTCTCAAAAAAAAAAAAGAAGAATCTCACCAAACGGCATTGGGACAACTGGATATGCACGTGTAAAAGCTTGGACCTCACACCATATACAAAAATTAACTCAAAATGGATGAAAGACCTAAATGTAAGAGCTAAAACTAAAAATCTCTTGAAGAAAATATGAGTAAGTCTTCATGATCTTTAGTTACGCAAGGCCTTTGTAAATGACACAAAAAACACAAGCAAAAAAAAGAAAAAAATTTATAAACTGGGCTTCACCAAAATTAAAAACTTTAATTCCTGCTACTCAGGAGGCTGAGGCAGGAGAATCGCTTAGAACCCAGGAGGCAGAGACTGCAGTGTGCCGAGATTGCGCCACTGCACTCCAGCCTGGGCGACAGAGTGTTAGGAGAAGCTGAGGCAGGGCTTGCATGTCTGACATAATGTAAAAGAGTCTTGGAACATGTCCGGGGTCCAGGGTCTAAAACCCCTTGTGGCCTTTGGAACACCAAGCTCTGTGCTAAAGGGTGGAAGCCTACCATCATGCACCATAATCTAAGCCAAGGGCATAAAATCCCTCATGGCCTCGATAGAATCCAGGGCTCATGGCTCTGGAATGTGTCTAGACTTGCTTGCTCCTTGCGCTCCCAGGATTGATTGTATCTTGAGTTAAAAGAACCTGCTCTCCATTATCTCAAGCAGCAGAGCAAATGCTAAACCATCACAGCTGTAAATCATGTGCTTAATGCAATGTGCCCTTTTGACCTCCACATTCTCACCACCTGTTTCTTTGTTGGATTACCAATAAATAGCGTGGGCTCCCAGAGCTCGGGGCTTTAGCAGCCTCCATACACTAGCAATGGCCCTCTGGTCCCACTTTACTTCTCTCTCTCAAACTGCCTTTTTCTCAATCCTTTGACTCCGCCGGACTTCGTCGCCACCCCCTCCCCCCGACCTGGTGTTGGGTCTGATCACCCCAACAACAGAGTGAGACTCCATCTCAAAAATTAATTAATTAATTAATAAAAACAAAGACAGGGTCTCACTCTGTCACCCAGGCTGGAGTGTAGTGGCATGATCACAGTTCCCTGCAGCCTCAACCTCCTAGGCTCATTATGATGATCCTGCCTTAGCATTTCTACAGGTGGGAGCCACCATGCCCAGCCAAATTCACCTAGGCTAGTCTTGAGCTTCTGGATGCAAGTGATCCTCCCGTGCTGGTGTGGTGGCGCACAACTAGTCCCAGCTATTCAAGAGGCTGATGCAGAAGGTTCACTTGAGCCCAGGAGGTCAAGGCTGCAATGAGCTGTGATTTCACCATTGCACTCCAGCCTGGGTAACAGAGTGAGACCCTGCCTCAGAAAAATAACAAAAATAACAATGGTGAATTTTATGGTGTGTGAATTATATATATGGTAAACTCCTACTCATAGCTTTAAAAACCTGGAACAAGGCCGGGTGAGGTGGCTCACGCCTGTAATCCCAGCACTCTAGGAGGCCGAGGCGGGCGGATCACGAGGTCAGGAGATCGAGACCATCCTGGCTAACCCGGTGAAACCCCATCTCTACTAAAAATACAAAAAATTAGCCGGGCGTGGTGGCAGGCGCCTGTAGTCCCAGCTACTTGGGAGGCTGAGGCAGGAGAATGGTGTGAACCCAGGAGGCGGAGCTTGCAGTGAGCCGAGATCGCGCCACTGCAATCCAGCCTGGGCGGAGCGAGACTCCGTCTCAAAAACAAAACAAAACAAAAAAAACATGGAACAAAAAAGCTTACTTGAGCACCTACTAGGTGCTTGGTGGGTTACTGGGAACTGTACACAGACAGCCTTCTTGAATCCTTAAAGCCACCAGGGTTGGATGGTGCTACCACATATTGAGATGGGGGCCAGGCACGGTGGCTCACACCTGTAATCCCAGCACTTTGGGAGTCTGAGGCAGGTGGATCACATGAGGTCAGGAGTTTGAGACCAGCCTGGGCAACGTGGTGAAACCCTGTCTCTACCAAATACAAAAATTAGCCGGGCGTGGTGTCACATGCCTGTAGTTCCAGCTACTTGGGAGGCCGAGGCAGGAGCATCGCTTGAACACGGGAGGCGGAGGTTGCAGTGAGCCGAGATCGCGCCACTGCACTCCAGTCTGGGCAACAGCGCAAGACTCCGTCTCAAAAAAATAAAATAAATAAATAAATAAAAATGTTAGAGGTGGGAAAACCAAGGCTCATAGAATGAGCCTATCCGTGCTGCACCCACTCACCTTTTCCTCGCAGGAGTAGTTGATCTTCAGGTAGTAAGGGAAGCCCAGGTATTTCTGCAAAGAGAGGTTAGGCCACACGTCCAGAAATGAGTGGAGTGCGGGTTCAAAATCCCTCTGGTTCACTTGACCCTGGTCCCCTCACCTCGCTCGGGTCGATGGGTGAGTCCACCAGCATGTGAAACAAGCTGCTCACTGTGTCCACGGGCTCTTGCTCAAAGAAGCTGTCGCTCACACCACTCTCGCCTACCCTCTTAAACTCGTTCAGGACAACCTGCCAGGTGCATTCCTGGAAATCCTTGATCGCCCACAGCCTCCACGACGCCAGGAGCACTGCCAGCAGGGCCCACAGCACCTGCACGACTCGGACTCTGGGCCACGGAGGACCGGCAGGGAACATGGCTGGGCCGCACATAACGTGGCTAGAACCTGGAGAACGCAGGAGTCAACACCCACGCGCCGGACAGCTCTCTGGAGCCCACTTTTAAGATTCCACCTCGCTTCTGCGCCTCTCACAGCACTTGCTCCTGGCCACGCCCCGGCTCTTGCTCCTGGCCCCGCCCCTGCACTTGCTCTTGGTCCCGCCCCTGCTCTTGCTCCTGGCCCTGCCCCCGCACGGACTTTTAGCCCCGCCTCTGCTCTTGTTCCTGGCTCCGCCTCTGCACTTGCTCCTGGTCCCGCCCCTGCTCTTGCTCCTGGCCCTGCCCCCGACCCTCGTGGGTATCGCACCTCTGCTATTGCTCCGGGCCCCAGCCCTACTAATGTTTCTGGCCACACCCCTGCTCCTCCGCCTCGTTCCGCCCCGCCGCCTCCACGTCTCTTCCTTTAACTTTATCCTCACCTTGCTCCTTATTCCGCCCCCTCCCTGTATTCCACTCTTGCTCTTCACCTGGTCTTGGTTTCTATTTCTCGCTTTGACAGTCCCCCTCTTAAGTTCCCCCGTACTGCTTCTGCCTGCGATCGCACCCGTGTACTTCCACCCGGCTGTGCCCCAACCTCTTGCCCCACCCTCGCACTTCTCTTGGTATCGCCGCTTTCTCCTCGCTCGGGGTCTGCCCAGGGGCTGGGTACTGTACCTGGTCTCGCCCGTCTCCGGGCCCCGCCCCTGCTCTTGCTCCCGGCCCCGCCCCTGCTCTTGCTCCCGGCCGGGCCCCCGTTTCTCGCCCGGGGCTTGCTCCTCACTCTGCTTCCGCTCCTGACCGCGCCCCTACTCCTCCACTTGGTCTTTATGGACCCGTTCCTTCCCCGGGTTCTCGGCGATTGGTTCTTCCCGCGCGGGCCCGTCGCCCCGTCCCGCCCTCTGGTAACGCCCCTCCTCCTCGCCCTGCCCCTTCTCGATGAAAACTGTCTCTTCGCCTCGGGATCTTTCCTCGCCCTTCGTTGTTTCCTCGCCCCACACCTTCTCCTTCCACGCCGGCACCAGCTTCTTAGCCGGCACCTTCTTGAGTCTCACCTTCCCCTCGTACCGCGACACCTTCTTGCCCCACTTCTTACTCTTCCTTCCCATGCCATTAACACCTGCCTGCTCTATACCCCGACTCTCCTGCCCCGCCCCGCCCTTCGCCCTTCACGTTCGGCTCCCCCTTTCCCTCCTCTGCCAGCTCCCACGACTCTTCCCCTCTTTCCCTCCTCTCCCAGCTCCCACGACTCTTCCCCTCTTTCCCCTGCCTCTCCCCTTCTCGCCTTCCCCTTCCCCTCCCCTTCCTAGTTCCTCCCCGTCCCCGGCATCCCCCCGCCCCTGGATGGCACAGCTTTTTCCCCGGCCCCGTGGTACCAGTCACTTGGTTAAAACCGGTCAACTGTCACTCGGCCGCACCAGTCCCGCCCCTCTTGCCCGGTCTCAAAATGGCCGCCCACACTTCCACAGCCGACTTCCGCCTTTGCAGAGGCACGCCCTCCTCTCACGCGGTCTCCAAGGTGACGCGCAACCCCTAAGGCACCGAGGGCTGGAGGCTGTCTCAGCACTGAGGGCGCGGGGCCTGGTCGGCAGAGGGTGCTGGAGACTACGTTTGTGCCAGGAAGGCCTTCAAGGAGTTTCTATTGGTTGTTCTGGCAGCAAGCACGGTCCCTACTTGTGCTTCCTACCCAAATATATATATATATATATTTTTTTGAGACGGAGTTTCGCTCTTTCTCCCAGGCTGGAGTGTGAAGTGGCGCGATTTCGGCTCACTGAAACCTCCGCGCCCCTGCCCCGGATTCAAGCGATTCTCCTGCCTCAGCCTCCCGAGTAGCTGGGATTATAGGCTCCCGCCACCACGCCTGGCTAATTTATTTTTTGTATTTTTAGTAGAAACGGGGTTTCATCATGTTGGCCAGGCTGGTCTCGACTCCTGACCTCAGGCGAACCACCCGCCTCGGCCTCCCAAAGTGCTGGGATTACAGGCGTGAGCCACTGCGCCCGGCCCTACCCCAAAATTCTACTCCTTAAAAAAGTGTGGTTTCCTGGAGACCTTGTGAGAATGAATAGGCTGCTTAGCACCGTCCTCTACAAAACAGGACAAGGACAGCCATCCTATACTGTTGTGGGAAGTGTGCCCGGCTCAAGTAAAATATTCATTAAGTTAATTTTCATTTGCATTCTGATGCCTTACAGGTAAGGATTCAGGCCATGACTTTTTGATGAACTCCAGACCAGACGTTTAACCCAGTGGTTTTCAAATTTGAGCATGCATTAGACTCACCTAAAAGGCTGGGTAAGCCAGGTTGGTGGGTACCACACCCTGAGTTTTTGTTTTTGTTTTAAAGATGGAGTCTCTGGCTGGGCATAGTGGCTCATGCCTATAATCCCAGCACTTTGGAAAGCTGAGGCAGGCGGATCACTTGAGGTCTGAAGTTGGATACCAGCCTGGCCAACATGATAAAACCTTGTCTCTACCAAAAAATACAACAATTAGCCGGGCATGGCGGCGGGCACCTGTAATCCCAGCTACTCGGGAGGCTGAGGCAGGAGTTGCTTGAACCCAGGAGGCGGAGGTTGCAGTGAGCCGAGATCCCTCCACTGCACTCCAGCCTGGGCGACAGAATGAGACCCTGTCTCAAAAAAAAAAAAAAAAATTAAGCCAGATGTGGTGCTGCACACCTGTAATCCCAGTACTTTGGGAGGCTGAGGTAGGAGGATCGCTTGAGGCCAGCCTGGGCAATATGGTAAGACCCTGTTGCTAACAATTTTTTTAAATTAGCCCAGTGTGGTGGTCCATCCCTGTGACCCCAGCTACCTGGGAGGTTGAGGCAGGAAGACCACTTGAGCCCAGGAGTTTGAGGCTGCAGTGAGCTCTGAAATACACGGAAATGCAGTGAGCTGTGATCACACCACTGCATTTCAGCCTGGGCAAAAGAGCAACACCCTATCTCAGGTTAGCCTTGAATTTCAGGCCTCATGTGAGCCTCCCATCTCAGCCTCCTGAGTAACTACCTGGCTACTTCCAGAATTTTTCATTCAGTAGATCTGGAGTGGGGCCTGATAATTTGTATTTCTGGCAAGTTCCTAGGTGATGCTGATACTAGTGGTCTGGAGACCACACCTTGAGAACCAGTGCTCTAGAACCTTCCATGACCCTCTAGGCCCTCAGGAAAACTTCCAAACCCCTCGGTTTCCAGAGCCCCTCATACTCTCCTCCCTGTCATTCTATCTGGCTCATCTGCCCTCTCCCCCTTAGACCTCTGTGGTCCACAGTCTGGTCACATGGAGCGACTTGAATATCCTTGGTCAGGTGTGAGCCATGCATGCTCCAGACCTGTGCAGACTCAGTAATGCCCTCTGGAATACCATTCCATGCTTTTTAACAGGGCCCACCACTTTCCTTCCTTTAGGTCTTCTCTGTGATACATGACCAGCCCTCATCCTACCTCTTGGCCCCTCTAGGCCACTCATGACTGGAAATGGGTGTTTCTTTTCCACTGGATCACAAGCTCCGTGAGGGCAGGGTGTATGGCTTTCTCTGCCTCTGTTGTCCCCCAGCCCTGCCAGGCACCGCATATAATAGTTGTTTTATGTAAATGAACCGATGATGGTGGTCTATCCTTCCCACCCCAGCCCACCCCCGCAGGCTAGGGAACGGTGACATCTTCTAGGGGAAGAAACTCAGTAGCCATGTACCAGAGCCCTTTTTTTTTTATTTTGTTTTTTTAGAAACGGGGTCTCACTCTCTCACCCAGGCTGGAGTGGAGTGGCGCAATCATTGCTCGCTGCAGCCTCGAACTCCCAGGCTCAAGTGATCTTCCCATGTCAGCCTCCCAAGTAGCTGGAACTGCAGATGCGAGTCATCATATCCAGTTAATTTGTTTTATTTTTACTTTTTTTTTTTTAGAGATGGGGGTTTCTTTTTCATCTTCTTTTTTTCCCTTTTTTTTTTTTTTTTTTTGTTGAGACAAAGTCTCACTCTGTCGCCCAGGCTGGAGTGCAGTGGTGCCATCACAGCTCACTGCAACCTCCACCTCCCCGTTTCAAGCAATTCTCCTGCCTCAGCCTCCTGAGTAGCTGGGATTACAGGCATCTGCCACCGTACCCGACTAATTTTTATATTTTTAGTAGAGACAAAGTTTCACCATGTTGGCCAGGCTGGTCTCGAACTCCTGACCTCAAGCGATCCACCCGCTTCAGCCTCCCAAAGTGCTGGGATTACAGATGTGCTTCATTGCACCCGACCTTTATTCATCTTTTAAAAAAAAAAAAAAATAGAGATGGGGTCTCACCATTTTGACCAGTCTGGTCTAAAACTCCTGGCCTCAAGCAATCCTCCCATCTCGGCCTCCCAAAGTGCTGGAATTACAGACATGAGCCACCATGTCCAGCAGAGATGAGGTCTCACATGATGTCCAAGCTAGTCCCAAACACCTGGGTTCAAGTGATCCTCCTGCCGCAGCCTCCTGACTAGCTGGTGTTCCACCACACCCAGCTAATTTTTAAATTTTTTGTACAGGGAGGGTCTTGCTATGTTGCCCAGGGTGGTCTTGAACTCCTGCCTCATTCGATCCCTTCATTAGATCTTAAACCATAAGATGTTTGCTGTAGCATTGTTGTACCAGCAAAAGACTGGAAAACACCCACGTATCATCAACAGGGGATGTTGAAATTATTTATGGGAAATGTGTCCTAGAGGAGACACCGTAAGATATAAGACCTATTGTGGCCAGGTGTGGTGGCTCACACCTGTAATCCCAGCACTTTGGGAGGCCGAGGCGGGTGGATCACTTGAGATCTGGAGTTCGAGACCAGCTTGGCCAACATGGTGAAACCCTGTCTCTACTAAAAATACAAAAATGAGCCGGGCATAGTGGCAGGTGCCTGTAATCCCAGCTACTCGGGAGGCTGAGGCAGGAGAATTGCTTGAACCCAGGAGGTGGAAGTTGCAGTGAGCTGAGATCGTGCCACTGCACTCCAGCCTGGGCAACAGAGCGAGGCTTAGTCTCAAAAAAGAAAAAAAAAAAAAAAGACCTATTGTATGTCTCTGAAATTATCTCTGAATTACACTGTGTTGGTGACAAAAGCAAGGTACAGAAACATGAATAAAAGAAAGGTGACATTAAAATATTAATATTTATAATTGGTACGAAAAAGCATAGTACAGAAGTGAGAATCATCATTAGTCAACATTTTATTGAGTGCCACACACTGCTAGCTCTAAGGGCTTTAGAGGTATGAAGTTGCTGACTTCTCAAGTCCATGAGGTAGGTGCTATTACCATCCCATTGTACAGACTAGCAAACTGAGGCACATGGAGGTGAAATCACTTGCCCAAAGCCACTTAGCTTGGGAGTGACAGAGTTCAGATTTATACCCAGGAACTTTGCCTCCAGAGTCTGTAATCATAACAACCTCACCATATTAGGTACTACTTGTGTAGAGTGAAAAATAAATGACACACACATGCATATGGCTGGTACATAACATCAAATGTGCCTGGGAAGACCTGAGACATCCATCCATGATCTGAGTGTAGGAGAAAGACTTACTTTCCACCGTACACTCTTTAGTACCTGATGAATTTTTTAGCACACACTTTTTTCTTTTTTTTTTTTTTCTGAGACGGAGTCTCGCTCTGTCTCCCAGGCTGGAGTGCAATGGTGGGATCTCGGCTCACTGCAACCTCCACCTCCTGGGTTCAAGTGATTCTCCTGCCTCAGCCTCCCGAGTAGCTGGGATCACAGGTGCGTGCCACCGCACCCAGCTAATTTTTTTGTATTTTTAGTAGAGACGGGTTTCACTGTGTTAGCCAGGATGGTCTTGATCTCCTGACCTTGTGATCCGCCCGCCTCGGCCTCCCAAAGTACTGGAATTACAGGCGTGAGCCACTGTGCCTGGCCCTTTTTTTTCTCCTAGGACAGGGTCTTGCTCTATGGCCCAGGCTGGAGTCCAGTAGTGTGATCATGGCTCACTGCAGCCTCAACCTCCTAGGCTCAAGTGATCCTCCTGCCTCATCCTCCTGAGTAACTGGGACTACAGGTGTGCGCCACCACACCCAGCTCATTTTTAACATTTTCTGTAGAGGGGTCTTGCTATGTTAACATGTCCAGGCTGGTCTCCAGCTCCCGGGCTCAAGCGATCCTCCTGCCTCAGCCTCCCCAAGTGTTGGGATTACAGGCATGAGCCGCTGAGCCTGGCTTTTTTAATGTCTTGGACCAAAAAGGACTTGCTTTTCTTCCTGGAGGTATTTGGAAGGAGAAACAGTGAGAAATGAACGCCAGCTCACATAGGCACCTAGCTGCCCCGAGATGACTTTAGCTCAAAGTCAGCTGTGACATAGGTAAGGAACCGAGAAGGTTGGGAGGCTGAGAAAGGGCTAGACAACAGATATTTCTGAGCTCCCATAGGAAAAGATGCCCAACCAAAACCTTGTTCAAATCCCAGTGTTCCACTTTCTGTGTGACCTTGGGCAAGTATTTAACATCTCTGGACCTCCTTCCCCCATCTGTAAAATGTAGAGAATGTATCAGGGGCTTGGAATCGTGCCTGGCACATAGTATATCCAATATACATATTTTCTTTTTCTTTTTCTTTTTCTTTTCTTTTTTTTTTTTTGAGACAGGGTCTTGCTCTGTCACCCAAGCTGGAGTACAGTGATGCAATCACAGCTCACTGCAGCCTTGACCTCCCAGGCTCAAGTGATCCTCCCACTTCAGCCTCCTGAGTAGCTGGGACCACAGGTGCACACCACCAAACCCAGCTAATTTTTGTATTTTTTGTATTTTATGTTGCTGAGGCTGGTCTTGAACCCCTGGGCTCAGGCAATCCTCCTGCCTCGGCCTCCCAAAGTACTACGATTTGCTAGGATTATAGGTGAGAGCCACTATGCCCAGCCCCTATGACTTTTTTTTTTTTTTTGAGACAGAGTCTCTGTTTCGCCCAGGCTGGAGTACAGTGGTGTGATCTCGGCCCACTGCAGCCGCCACCTCCCAGGTTCAAGCAATTCTGTCTCAGCCTCCCAAGTAGCTGGGACTACAGGCATGTGCCACCACACCCAGCTAATTTTTGTATTTTTAGTAGAGACGGGGTTTCACCATGTTGGCCAGGCTGGTCTTGAACTCCTGACCTCAGGTGATCCACCTGCCTCGGCCTCACAAAGTGCTGGGATTACAGGCGTGAGCCACCTGGCCTGCCCCCTATGACCTCTTGATACACCCCTGGGTGTCCCTTTTGCCCCACACACCCACCATATTCTAAAGCAGCCTCAGCGTCTCCGCTAAAACCTGCTCTTTCTCTCAGGGATAACTGGCCACTCTGTGGGACATTCCCTAGCCGCGTCCCTCCAGTCTGTGGGGGCTATGGCCTGTCCACTTGGCTCCTGAGTGTGCCCGCACTCACCCCTCCTCCCTTCCATGGCTCAGCCCAGGCCCATCGTCTCCCTCTTCATTCCTGCCTCAGCCTCCCACAGGCACCCAGCCTCAGTACCCGCTCTGCTCCACCTCTCCAGAGCAACTAGGGGGATCATCCTAAAACCCAAACCTAACCATGACCCACTCCTACTCTAAACCCTTCCATGGCTCTCTAGGGCCCTCAGGAAAGAGACCAGGTTCCCATGCTGGTCATTTAAGGACACTAACGGGTGCTCGTGCGCACCCCTCTGCCCTCCTTCCCTCTTTCCCTGCATACCGTTCATACTAAACTGCTTGTCAGAAGCTGGTGGCCAGCATGCTTTTCCATCTCCAGGCCTTTGCACACAGCTCCTCCCACCTGGTATGCCCTCTCCATGCCTTTTCTACTTGTCTACTGTTGGGACCCAGCTCAAATGCCCCAGCCCTTTTTAAAATTTTTATTTTTGTAGAGATGGGGTCTTGCTATGTTGGCCAGGCTTGTCTCAAACTCCTAGCCTCAAGTGATCTTCCCACCTTGGCCTTCCCAAGGTGCTGGGATTACAGGACTGAGCCACTGTGCCCCGCTTCTTTCCTTCTTTTCTTTTCTTTCTTTCTTTTTTTTTTTTGAGACGGAGTCTTGCTGTCACCCAGGTTGGATGCAGTGGCGCGATCTCGGCTCATTGCAGGCTCCGCCCCCACCGGGGTTCACGCCATTCTCCTGCCTCAGCCTCCCGAGTAGCTGGGACTACAGGCGCCTGCCACCTCGCCTGGCTAATTTTTTGTATTTTTAGTAGAGACAGGGTTTCACCGTGTTAGCCAGGACTTACTTTCTTTCTTTTTCTTTTTTTCTTTCTTACTTTTCTTTCTTTTTCTTTTTTCTTTCTTACTTTTCTTTCTTTTTCTTTCTCTCTCTCTCTCTTTCTCTTTCTTTTTCCTTCCTTCCTTCCATCTTTCCCTTTCTTTCTTTCTTTCTTTCTCTCTCTTTCTTTCTTTCTTTCTCTCTTTCTTTCAGACAGGGTCTCACTCTGTCCCGCAGGCTGGAGTGCAGCAGTGCCATCATAACTCACTGCAGCCTCAAACTCCTGGCCTCAAGTGATCCTTCCACCTCAGCCTCTGAAGTAGCCAGGATCACAGGCATGCACCACCACACCCAGCTAATTTTTAGATTTTGTGGTTGTTGTTGAGATAAGGCCTCACTGTGTTGCCTAGGCTAGTCTCAAACTCCTGGCCTCAAGCGATCCTCCTTCCTCAGCCTTCCAAAGTGCTGGGTGTATAGGCGTGAGCCACCACACTCAGCCTGAAATCCTTTTGAAGTTGTATTATGATGATCACCATTTTACAGATAAGGAAACAAAATCAGAGAGGTAGTGTGACTGCCCAAGGACACAGGCCAGACGTGGCTAAGTTGGGATTTGAGCTCAACCAGGCTGATTCCAGGGCACAACATACAAATGTGGACAGCTCTTACAATGGTGTCATGGTTAAGGGCAGCACCTCCCATGCCATTCAGATCTGGGCTGGGGTCCTATGTCTGTTTCCTGCCTGCCAGGCTGCTGAGGAAGAGTCTATCGCCCAGGCCTACACCAGGGGTCCCTCCATGGGTCCTGCTCCCTGGAGACACCTGAGAAAAATGAGTCAGGTACAACTTCTTCCTGCCTATTTCTCATAGTTCAGGTCTTAGTTCGATGTCCCTTCCTCTAGGAAGTCCTCCCTGACTTTCCAGGCTGGATTGGGCCTAGTCCCTATGCTTCTCCGACTTCAGCCCTGACCACTCTGCCTGTGCTTTCAACACCTCACCTCCTCCATTAAAGTCCTGACCATTTTGGGCCATCACTGTCTGGGGACAGGTCTGTCCACCTCACTGGACTGCAAGCTCCATAAGGGCAGTTCTCCACCCCCAACTATGTCTCCAGCACTGTCTAGCACAGGGCCAGCACACAGGAGGGGTTTAGGGGCAAATTCTTCTATTCTTCCCATTTGGCAGCTGAGGAAATCAAGGCTCAGAGACGGGCAGTCACTTGTCCAGGGTGTAGCGACCAATCTGGTGCCTGAAATGAGGTCTGAGCCCACAGCCCAGTAGAATCAGCAGTTGACGAGTGGTTAATTGAGAGACACAGACGGAACATGAAAGAGAATGAGAAACAGAGACAGCAAGAGGGAAAGACAGAGGCAGCGAGAATGCCAGAGAGCCAGAGAGACACAGTGTAAAGAGGATGAGAGAAAGGACAGAGAACAAGGTTATGTTGGTGCCCAGTGGAGCCCGGGACATGGGGACAGGGAGTGCTGCCCTTCACATCCCAGCCAGATGCTGGGAAACAAAGGAGAGACGGTGGACGGCAAGGCCTCAAGATCACCTGCTGTGCTCGTGGACATTCCTGTACAGCCAGCTCTGGTCGCCTGGACCCCTCAGTCCCAGGCCAGGCACACCCAAGCCTGGCAGAGGCTGCCCCAGCTACCTGGGGATGGAAGCGTAGTCGGTGTGGGAGCTGGCAGAGAGTTGCTGGTGCGACTCCGGCTGGGGGCCCAGGATGTCCACCCGATCGTCCTCATCCGCATTGAAACTGGCAGGGCACGGAGGGGGCAGCAGGATGAGCTCCGTGAGGCCGTGGAGGTCGGACACGTGGCGGAAGGTCTGCAGCACCAGCACCATGGCCACCAGGCCCAGGAAGAGGTAGACTGTAAAGGCGGAGAAGGGGCGTTGGTCATCCTGGGGCTCAGATTTTCCAGGCGGGGCCGCAGTTCTACTGGACCCTGCAGGGTGGGGTTGGATCCCTTTTGGAAGTCCCAGAGTGGGACTGTGAGCCTTTAACTCCCCCAGGGACAGGGCTAGGTCCTCCTCAAAGCCCTGCCCTAGCCACCCAGCTCACCTGTGACCAGCACCTTGTAGAGGGCCCGGTAGGGCTGGCCAGGGGCCTCCCCGGGCACGTAGTCGCCCAGGCCGATGGTGGACAGAGAGATAAAGCAGAAGTAGAAGGCATCCAAGAAGCTCCAGGCCTCCTCGAGGTGGGCAAAGATCACAGCCGGCACCAGAAAGCAGACGGTCACTACGACCCCCAACAGGGCCACCAAGTGCCAGCAGGCCGCCCGCCGGGGGTCCCAGCCCCAACGCATGCTCAGCCAAGACAGGGGCACGTGAGTCAGCAGCAGTGACAGGCGCTGGGCTGAGGCGGTCAGCAGCAGCATGGTGGTCGGCACGCCCAGGAGCGCAAAGGCGATGGAGAAGGCCTTGCCCGCATCAGTCAGTGGCGTTGTGTACCCATAGCCTAGGGGAGTAAAGAGAGTAAAGGGTAAATCTTTTTCTTTTTAGAGATGGGGGTCACTCTGTCACCCGGGCTGGAGTGCAGCGGTGCCATCATAGCTTACTGCAGTCTTGAACTCCTGGACCTAAGTGATCCTACCACCTCAGCCTCCTCCTAAGTAGCTGGGACTACAGGCATGTCCAGCACGCCCCGTTGATTTTAAATTTTTTTGTAGAGATGGGGTCCTACTATGTTGCCCAGGCTAGTCTCGAGCTCCTGGACTCTAGTGATCCTCCCACCTTTGCCTTCCAAGGTGTTGGAGTTACAGATCTGATCCCCAGGACCCAGCCAGGGAAAACCCTCCTGCCCACTCAACACCTGCAGCGAGAGGTCTGCGGACACCCACACCTACACATGGCTTCATCCCAAACCTGCCTCTCCCCACATCCCCTCCTGTCCCAGGTGATGGCACCTCTGTCCTTCGACGCTCAGGCCAAGAGCCTTGCCTTCATCCCTGACGCCCTCGTCACTCATGCCGCACTCCATCTGTCAGTGAAGCCTATTATCTCAACTTTCAAATAGGCCCAAAACCCACTTACTTCTCCCCCACCCAGTCCCATGGCCCCCACCCTGGTCCTGTCCACCACAGCAGCCTCCTCCTGGGTCTCCCTTCCCCATCCCCAGCCCCTACAATCTGTTCAGCCAGCAGAGCCTGCCAACACCTGAGTTCAGTCATGCCCCTTCCCTGCACAGAGCCCCTCTGTGGCCCCACCTCACTCAGGTAAAAGGAAAGAGTCCTCATCATGACCCATGAAGCCCCACAGGGTCCACCAGGGCAGCACGCTCCCACCCCAGGGCCATTGCACTGGTTGTTCCTTCCCCAAAGAATGCTCCCCTCTCTCCTCTCCAGGTCTTCTTCATCCAAATGTCACCTTCTCAGTGAGGCTTTCCCTTGAGCACCCTAAATGGTAACATCCTCTTACCCAACACTTTTTTTTCCCATAGCACTTAACACCTTCTAGCATGCTCTATGGTTTACCGTCTTCTCATAGGCTGCCAGTTCAGCAAAGCAGGAGGTTCTGCGTGTTTCATCACTGCTGTGGGCGCTCGATCAGTACTTCTCAAAACAAAGAATGAAGGGTGCAGGCTCTTGCCTGGCTCTGAGCCTCAGCTTGCCCTATTCTAAAATGGGCGAGACAATGGGCCAGGCGTGGTGGCTCAGGTCTGTAATCCCAGCACTTTGGGAGGCCTAGGCGGGCAGATTATGAGGTCAGGAGTTCAAGACTAGCCTGACCAATATGGTGAAACCCCGTCTCTACTAAAAATGCAAAAATTAGCCGGGCATGGTGGCTCACGCCTATAGTCCCAGCTACTCAGCAGGCTGAGGCAGAAGAATCACTTGAACCTGGGAGGTGGAGGTTGCAGTGAGCCAAGATTGTGCTACTGCATTCCAGCCTGGGTGACAGAGCAAGAATCCGTCTCAAAAAAAAAAAAAAGTTTTAGAGATGGATGGTGGAGAGTGATTTGAGTTGAGCAATAACTCCATCTCCCACATGGCATGGCCAGCCTCGTATCTATTAAAAAAAAAAAAGATGAAGGTGATGATGGTAACAATATGAATGTATTTAATGTCACAGAACTGTACCCTTAAAAATGACTAAGATGGTACATTTTATGTTATGTGTATTTTACTATAATAAAAAACTTGGGAAAAGAAATGATCCCAGCCAGGCATGGTGGTTCACACCTGTAACCCCAGCCCTCTAGGAGGCTAAGGTGGGAGGATCACTTGAGCCCAGGAATTTGAGACCAGCCTGGGTAACATAGGAAGACCCTATCTCTACTTTAAAAAATAATAACAATAATAATAATTTTAAAAGGCTCCCCCTGGGTTTTAGCTGGATACATGGCCTTTTGGAATCAGGACGTTCCCTCCTCCCTTGCAGAGCCAGGTGTGGTTCTGTGACTAATCTCTGGCCAATGAGGTATTCATGAAAGAGTCAGGCAACTTCCAGGAAGGGTCCTTAAGGAGCGAGGGATGCCAGTCTCCCTTCTTTCCTCCCTCCTCTTGCTGGCTGGAGCACAGACATGGAGGCTGGAGCTACACAGCCATCTTGGACCATTAGGCGACCTTGGGAATGGAAGTTGCGCAGAGGAGTTAGGCAGGAACACCAGGGTTTTGCTGAGAAGGAGCCTAGGTCTCTGACCATGCAGTACGACTTGGACTGACTACCTGGAATGTGAACAAGAAATACACTTCTTATTTAAGCAACTGTAATTTGAGGTGTATCACTTATGACCCCCAACCCTCATTAATACAAGGGTTTTTGATGGGGAAACTCCAGCAGCCTGGCAGGTTTGCAAATGACATGAAATCCTTATAAACAGGCTGGGTGAGGTGGCTCATTCCTATAATCCCAGCACTTTGGGAGGCCAAAGTGGGAGGATTACTTGAGCCCAGGAGTTTGACACCAGCCTGGGTAACATAGCAAGACCCTATCTCTGTAAAAAAAAATAATAATAATAAAAGAGATCTTTATAAATAGACAAATCATAGAGTTTGAAAAGCATGGGGCCTGTGAGCCTCAAGTTACTATTTCAAAGAGAAGAGTCCAAAACAGTGTTTTGCCATTTACTCCCTGCATGACTTTGGCCAGATGACTTCTCCCCTCTGAGGCTCAGTTCCCTCTCTGCAAAAATGGGCTCGTAAGCAATCCCTTCCTGGCCAGGCAAGGTGGCTCACACCTGTAATTCCAGCACTTTGGGAGGCCAAGGCAGGAGAACCGCTTGAGCCTAGGAGTAGTTTGAGACCAGCCTGAGCAACATAGGGAGACCACCTTCTACAAAAAATAAAAAATAAAAAAATTAGCTGGGTGCAGTGGCGTGCACGTGTGGTTCCAACTACTCAGGAGGCTGAGGTGGGAGGATCACTTAAGCCCAGGAGGTCAAGGCTGCGCCACTGCACTCTAGCCTGGGTGACAGAGCAAGACCCTGTCTGAAAAACAAAAAACAATCCCTTCCTCAAATGTGGTAGTAATCCTACTAGGCTGGGATAGGGCATAGTGCCTAGCAAGAGCGTGGAAAGAGTTACAAGGATTGTAATGCTCACTTCCTCTCTCCGATTCCCAGTTCCGGGTAGGACTACCCGCTTCCTCCTGCCTCAAGTGCAGCAAGGCTGCCCAGATCAATTCCAGGGCCAAGATTTGGGCCTATGACCAAACGAGGGGCATTGTGGGAAGAGGTCTCTCTGAATCACGTTTAATTGGTTTTCCACTTCTCCAGATGCATTCAAGGCTTCACCCACTATGAAAACAGTCAACATTAACTCAATAAACATCAGTTATTACCAGCGCTTCGCACGGACAAAGACTCCCTCCTTGACCGCACTTCAGTCTGACTCCTGAGTCCTTAAGTAGGCCCAGTTTTAGCAAGAATCCTACAAGCCACCCACCCCGATATCTGATCAAATTCCTCATCCACCACTCTTTTTTGTTTGTTTGTTTTGAGACAGAGTCTTGCTCTAACGCCCAGCCTGGAGTGCAGGGGCGAGATCTCGGCTCACTGCAACCTCCGCCTCCCAGGTTCAAGTGATCCTCCTGCCTCAGCCTCCCAAGTAGCTGGGATTACAGCCACGCACTATCATGCCTGGCTAATTTTTGTATTTTTAGTAGAGATGGGGTTTCGTCATGTTGGCCAGGCTGGTCTCGAACTCCTAACCTCAGGTGATCCGCCCGCCTCAGCCTCCCAAAGTGCTGGGATTCCAGGCGTGAGCCAACTTGCCCGGCCTGTTTTTTGTTTTTTTGAGATGGAGTCTCACTCTGTTGCCCTGGCTGGAGTGCAGTGGCACAATCTCAGCTTATTGCAACCTCTGCCTCCCAGGTTCAAGTGATTCTCCTGCCTCAGCCTCCCGAGTAGCTGGAATTACAGGTGCCTGCCACAATGCTCGGTTGATTTTTGTATTTTTAGTAGACGGGGTTTCACCATGTTGGTCAGGCTGGTCTCGAACTCCTAACCTCAGGTGATCTGCCCACCTCGGCCCTCCAAAGTGCTGGGATTATAGGCGTAAGCCACTGCGCCTGGCCCTCATCCACCCCCTCTCAATATCTAAGTCCTTGGCCTGTCTTTAGCAAGAATCTTGTTAAGCTGAGTTTAGCAAGAATCCCCCTACCCGAATGTCTCTCCTCTTAGTATTCTTCCATCCACTGACTCCCTTATTCTACTTGTTAGCCATAAAACTCCAGCTGTGTTTGCTATATTCACAGTTGAGTTCAGTCTCTCTGGCCTTTGCAATGGTCTCTCCTCTACCACAATAACTTTCCATTTTTAACAAGTGTTAGCATATTTTTTTCTTTTACAACACACACAGCACCCTTCTTCTAAGTAGTGTGGTGTGTTGGCTAGCAGCATGGGACTCTAGAGCCTGATGGCCTTGACTAAATCTCTACTCTATGCCGTCTTTGCTGTGTGACCTTAGGAAAGTTACCCAACTTCTCTAGGCTTCGGTTTCCATGGCTAAAAATATACAGCCTATAAAGGCGCCTGCCTCACAAGGCTGTTGTGATGATTAAGTGAGTTAAAGCATGCATTGGCAAGTCCTCTGTCAGGCTACTGCTATTACAGGGAAATGGGGAGTGTTATTATCTCCATTTTAGCAATGGGGGAGGACACTGAGGCCTGGCAATGAGCCGCGGCTGAGCAGGGATGTAGCCAGGCTGTGCCTGACGTGTGTCTGGCTTCCCTCATCTGCCCTGCCAGGGATGACTTCTTAGAAGCCAGGATCTGGGAAGAGGTAGGAGGCGTGCACATGACCCAGGGAAGCTCAGAAGCAGGTCAGGCCGCCCTGGCAGCATGGGCAGACCCAGGGGAGGTCAGCTAACGAGAAGTCACCCAGCTCTGCTGCCAGGGGACCAAAAGCAAAAGCTGCCCCCTATTGTTGGCCGGGAGGGCGAGTTAGGAGTCTGGGCTAACCCTGCACCAGCCTCCTCTCCTCAACAAATCCCCAACAAAGAAACAAAGAGGAAGTCTGGGAGCTGAGAAGGGGCTGGGGGAGCAGCAGAGCCTGGCAACAAAGAGATTTCCCAAGTCTGGCTTCTCAGGGTTTCCCAAAACTCGGGGTCCCTCCACGGTGGGTCCTTTTGACACATCCCTAGCTGGGGCTGCTGAATTGGGAGTCCCAGGTCCAGAGGGAACAGGTGGTGTCCCTATTGGGAGGAAAATCCTGCATTGAGAGTGACCCCATATAGGGGAGATGTCAAGATGGGGTGGGGTACCTAGGGAAGGGTTTTGTGTCTGGGGTCAGAGTTGCCTGCTGGGGAGTATGGGGCCAGGAGACAGATGACAGTCTGGAGCAGAGGCCCAGGTCCAGAGGGCCAGGAGTCCCAGATGGCGGTGCCAGGTCCTTGCTGAGGAATCTCTGTTGGGAGGGAGGTCTTTAGTGAGGACACCCTGAGAGGTCTGGAGATTTAGGGTCCTCGCTAAGGCGCCAGGGTCAGGAGGAGGTTGAGATGGGGTTTCTCCAGGGGGGTTTCCCAGAAGGACATATCTGGAGGGTCAGGAGACATGGCAAGGGTGGCAGGCCCAGACTAGAGATAAAGTCAGGGGTCCTGGCATGGTTGAGTTCTGGGTCCAGAGGGGGCAAGGATCTCCCTTGGAGGGTGGCGTGTCCTGGGTCCTTGCTGGAGGTCTCTGAGGACAGTCCTAGGCTTAGAGGGGGCTGGACAGACCCGGGTCACCAAGAGGATTAAGACCGGGGAATGCAGTCCCAGTGCAGTGGCTCAAGCCTGTAATGCCAGCAATTTGGGAGGGCGAGGCGGGCTGATCACCTGAAGTCAGGAGTTTGGGACCAGCCTGGCCAACATGGTGAAACTCCGTCTCCACTGAAAATACAAAAATTAGCCAGGCATGGTGGTATGTGCCTGTAATCCCAGCTACTCGGCAGGCTGAAGCAGGAGAATAGCTTGAAACCGGGAGGCGGAGGCTGCCGTGATCCGAGATCGTGCCACTGCACTCCAGCCTGGGCGACAGAGTAAGCCCTGTCTCAAAAAAAGAAAAAGAAAAGAAAAAAAAAAAAGACCGAGGAACGGGGTCCCAGCTGGTCTCTGCAAAGGTACTCTGAGGGGAGCTGGGTGTTTCCTACTTAGGAGGAAGGGCTCGGACTTGGGCTCCCCGAGCAGAGCAGATATCATGAGCCTGGGTCCCGGGTCCTCACTGGGGTCTTTTCGGGGGATCCGAAGCCCAGAGGGGATTGGGATAAGGGTATTCGTGAGGGCCCCGGGGTCCCCAGGGGTTAAGGATGAAGTGGGGATCCCGGGTCCTCGCCGCCTTGCGGTGAGGCGCTTACGTACCCACGGTGGTGATCAGCGTGCTGGCGAAGAAGAGAGCAGAGGCGAAGTCCCAGGCGGGGTCCGAGGCGTTGGCGGACCCCGAAGCGTTAGCAAGCACGACCCGCCCCAGCCGTCCGGCCGCCAGCACTCGCTCCACGAAGGCGTCCAGGGCGGGGGCAGCCACACACGGGCTGCGCTGAAGCAGCTGCGCCCGCAGCGTCTCCAGCTCGGCTCGGAGCCTGGCTTCGTGCGGCCCCTCCAGCCGCGCCACCAACAGCGCGCCCAGCACCAGGTACGCGGCGTACGCGGCCAAGGCGCCCGCCAGAAGCGCGCCCCTCCGCATGGCACCCACCGGGACCCCGCGAGCCCTGGGTGGCCCCGCTGACGTGGCCCCCGCCTCCGGACCGTCTGGCACCTAGTTCCAGTTCCGGGAGTGCTACAGGCGCGGCAGCAGATGCCCCAAGAGGAAGAGGAAAAAGGGGAGGTGGGGGGCGGCGACGGAGGAATGCCCCGCCTCCGGGAAACTGAGGCACGCCCAACCGCCAGGTGTTCGTTCGGAGAGGGTGGAGCCCAGTGCTCCCAGACCCAGCAGACCAACGGGATGGAAAGGGTGGAGGTAGTCCTCTCTTCCCCTCATTCCTTCCTTCTCGTCCTCCTGGAAGGCTGGTTCTCTATGTTAGAAGAATCTGAACTTTCCTCTCTGCTCGCAGGCCGAGGAGTCGCCCCCCATCGCGCACAGCAGCTAAGGTTGTGCACTGCATCAGGGCGCGCGGCTGACGGAGCAAGGGGCAAACTGAAATCCAATTCTCGCTCCATTCGCCAAGTTGTGAGCCTCGGAGTGGGAACAGCGGACACCACAGAGTCAGGTGTCCCCTGTGCCCGTGTGGACAGAGTGGGGATCCTCAGCTACTCACCAAAGCTTTGTTCAATGCCCACTTTCTGCTGACCCCTCGCTGGATGATCCTGGAGACTCAGTAATGATGAGACCATCCTGCGCCATGCATTCATGGGGCTCCCAGTCTAACTGGGAGACTGACACAAGAGTGACCCACGCCTGTTGTCCCAGCTACTCGGGAGGCTGAGGTCGGAGGATTGCTTGAGCCCAGGAGTTCGAGGCTGCAGTGAGCTATGCCTGGGAGAGAGTGAGACCCTATCTCTAAAAAAAAGAAAAAAGACAGCCCAGAGTGGTCAGGGCTGTGATGAGGGAAGCAAGGGTACAATGATCAAGCCTGGAATCAGGGAGCCCTAGAGGGCCCTGGGAGTCCAGAGGAAGCAACCACCCCTGCCTAGGGAGGTCAAGAGAGCTTCCTGAGGAAGGGGCTAGCTGAGCTGAAGCATGAAGGATGAATGGAAACAAGCCAGGCAGAATCACAAATACACGCCTCTATTTAAGAGGAAATTTTTCTTTCTGCGCCCCCCCGTAAGTCTCTCCACTTCTGCCTCCAGCCAGAACTCAGCGCCTTCCTGACAGCCTTTTGGAGGGCAGCCCAGAGTCCTAACCCCATCCGACTGGCAGAGGAGTGGGGCTTGGGGCTCAGCTCAGACATGTCCCAGCTGGTTCTATTAAAGAGCTGGCAGATCACCGGGCAGAGCCCAACTTGGGGTTGACAATCCAGAAGCAGAGGCACCTGATAATAGAATCAGTAACACAATAGGTGCCAGTGATCGAAGGCTTACATTCTGCCAGGCCCTGTGGACACCTGAACTTGCACTGAATTCTCAACCCCGTCCCAATATAATTCCCACTAAACAGATGAGAAAATTTAGGCTTAAAAATGAAGTAGTCATTTGAGACCAGCTCGGGCAACATGGCAAAACCCCATCTCGACAAAAAATACAAAAATTAGCCAAGTGTGGTGGCATGCGTCTGTAGTCCCAGCTACTCGGGAGGCTGAGGCAGGAGGATCGTTTGAGCTCAGGAATTAGAGACTGCAATGAGTTATGGTCGCACCACTGCACTCCAGTATGGGTGATAGAGTAGACCCTGCCTCAAAAAAATAAAAAGTAGTAGTCACACAACTGGTAAGGGGTGAACATGAGGCCAGCAGGAAGCCAATGAACTAATGAACTTGCTTTTTTTTTTTTTTTTTTTTTTTTTTTGAGACAAGAGTCTCGCTCTGTCTCCCAGGCTGGAGTGCAATGGCACAATCTCGGCTCGCTGCAACCTCTGCCTCCTGGGTTCAAGCAATTCTCCTGCCTCAGCCTCCTAAGTAGCTGGAATTATAGATGCCCGCCACAACACCCAGCTAATTTTTGTATTTTAAGTAGAGACAGGGTTTCGCCATGTTGGCAAGGATGGTCTCAAACTGACCTCAGGTGATCTGCCCGCCTTGGCCTCCCAAAGTGCTGGGATTACAGGCGTGATCCGCTGCACTTGGCAGTACTTGCTTTATTAATTAAATATATATACATAAGGCTGGGTGCGGTGTTTCATGCCTGTAATCTCAGTGCTTTGGGAGGCCAAGGCAGGTGGATCACCTGAGGTCAGGAGTTCGAGACCAGCCTGGCCAACATGGCGAAACCCTGTCTCTACTAAAAATACAAAAAATTAGCCAGGTGCGATGGCACACGCCTGTAATCTCAGCTATCGGGAGGCTGAAGCAGGAGAATCACTTGAACCCAGGAGGCAAAGGTTGCAGTGAGCCGAGATCGCATCACTGCACTCCAGCCTGGGCGACAGAGCAAGACTCCATCTCAAAAAACAAACAAAAAAGCAATAAGAAAAAAAAAAACATTTATGGAAGAGATGTATCTGGAGCAACCAGAGCAAGAGAGGGCTGAGGATGAGGAGAAAATGGTGTTGGAGCCCAGGGGACAGAGGCTAAATCAGAGGTGAAGAAGAATGCGGGCATTTCGCTCACAAAAAGGAACCACAGTGGAGCCAGCACTCATCACTGAGAAACCAGGAGCAGCCCTTAAGGTCTCCAAAAAGACAACGTCTCAGAGGAGGAAGAGGAAGCCACAGCGATAGGGTCACTTGCTGACATCCTTCCGGATGCGCTATCGCTGCGCAGAAGTAACTTCCACCACTATGTTTTCCTGAGATAAGTCGGGGAGTCTGAGAGGGAGAGAAGGGGGGAGACTGAGAGTCAGAGAGAGGAGAGACTAAGGACGCTAGGTGGGCAGGGCTCTTCACTTGCAGGTGCGCCTGTGTGCTGTGAGTTGCTGGGGGTTGTAGAATGCTTTTGGTGGACAGAGGGAACCAGGTTGCAATGTGAGAACATTTTTATGAATTTCTGGGAAACTGCCTTAAGATCTATTCCAAGAGAGACACCTGGTTCTTCTCACCTAACTTGTTGGGTTTCCTTTTCTCACTCTAAATATTCACTTTAAGGCCGGGCACTGTGGCTCATGTCTGTAATCCTAATGCTTTAGGAGGCTGAAGCAGGAGGATGGCTTGAGCCCAGGAATTCGAGACCAGCCTGGGCAACATAGCAAGATCCTGTTTTGACAAAAAATTTAAAAATTAGCTGGGCATGGTGGTGCATGCCTGTGGTGCCAGTTACTGGGGAGGCTGAGGCAGGAGGATCACTTGAGCTCAGGGGGTCCGAGGCAGCCTGGAAAACAGAGGAAGACCCTGTCTCAAAATAAATAAATATTTACTTTAATACCTAAGGGATGTCAAAAATTGTATAAGCCCCTACAACTCCAATTAGCCCCTCAGGAACACAAATGTTTCTCTTTTCCTTGCTCCACAGCCTTTTCTGGCTCTCCAGTGCTCTCAATGACCCAAACTGAACGGCTGTCTGCAGAGAACTGCATTTCCCATCGACCTTTTCGCTCGATATTTACATTTTAAAAAATGTTTTGTAGCGATGGAGATCTCGCTGTTGCCCAGGCTGGTCTCGAACTCCTGGGCTCAAGCGATCCTCAGCCTTCCAAAGTGCTGAGATTACAGGCGTTAAGCCACTGAGCCTGGCTAAATTAAAAAAAAAAAAAATTGTAGGGATGGGGCGGGGCGAGGGTCACTATGTTGCTCAGGCTAGTCTCGAATCCCTGGGCTGAAGCAATCCTCCCGCCTCGGCCTCCCAAAGTGCTGGAGTTAGGGGCGTGAGCCCCGGCAAGGGGCAGACACTCATTTTCTGTCGTGGCAGACACCGCCTCCTCCTGGGATTGGTCCCGGCCTCGCCCTCCTGCCACTCAGGCCTTGACTCGCTTTACTGCATGAGCCCAGTAGCCCAGTCTCCGCCTCTTACGTAAGGCACCGCCCAGTCGTCCAGGCCTCCGTGAAGGGGGGGGCTGGAGGGGTCGGGGGGGTGGGGGCGAGGCCTTCCCTCAATCCTGACGTCCATTGGCTGTCTCTTCGCCGGCGGGGCGTGGGTACGGGAGCCGGGCGGGCACGCTCCGAACCGCGGCTTAGGTGGCGGCGGCGAAGGATGCACCCGGCAGGCTTGGCGGCGGCGGCTGCGGGGACGCCCCGGCTGCGTAAGTGGCGTACGTGGCCGGCGGAGGAGATCGGGCGGGCGGGGGCGTGGCGGGGCGGCCGCGTCGGTTGGCGAGGTCACTGCAGGTCAGAGGTCACGAGATCAAGGATCTGGAACCCTGAGGTGTGCACAGCGCTGGGATGCCAGGTTCGGGTAGGAGGCCCCTTGGGGGGCGATTCTTTAGGAAATTCCTTTAGAAGAAAACAACTTGGGACTGGATAGCGTGCGATATGCAGAGAAATGCAACTTTCATTCATTTGCAGTTAGCGATCCGCCCTTCCCTGCTCCCCACCCTTCCGTGGCTCCCCAGTACCCGCCTGCTGTCGCCCACACCCTTAGGACAGCTTCGTGGCCCCCCGGGAGCGCAGAGGGCCATGCCTACCGCTCATTTAAGAAGCGAACCTGTATTGTGCTGTTGGCCCCCTTTTCCTGTCTCTTCATCTCCGTGAGTGTGCTGTGTGTTTCATTTATTCATTCAACCTAACTTGTCTCAACTCCCATGTGTCAGGCCCTGTGTTGGGATGGAGATGTTGTGGGAGCCCTGAGGAGGCACATGACCCAGCCTAGGGGTGTCAGTGAAGCTTCCTGGAAGAGGATACTTCTTTTTCTTTTTTTTTTTTTTTTGAGACCTAGTTTTGTTCTTGTTGCCAAGGCTGGAGTGCAATGGCGCGATCTCAGGTCACCGCAACCTCCGCCTCCCGGGTTCAAGCGATTCTCCTGCCTCAGCCTCCCAAGTAGCTGGGATTACAGGCGCAGGCCACCACGCCCGGGGTGGTATAGACGGGGTTTCTCCATGTTGGTCAAGCTGGTCTCAAACTCCCGACCTCAGGTGATCCGCCCGCCTAGGCCTCCCAAAGTGCTGGGATTACAGGCGTGAGCCACCGCACCCGGCATGGAAGAGGATAATTCTGATCATGAAAAGTTACCCAGGAGAAGGAGATTTGTAGTGAGAGGGCAGGCTGGGCGTGCTGGCCTACACCTATAATCTCAGCACTTTGGGAGGTCGAGGTGGGCGAATCACTTGGGGCCAGGAGTTGGAGACCAGCTTGGGTAACAGCAAAATCCTATCTCTAATAAAAGTACACAAAATTAGCCGGGTGTGGTGGCGAGCACCTGTAATCCCGGCTACTTGGGAGTCTGAGGCTTGAGAATCACTTGAACCCAGGAGGCAGAGGTTGCACTGAGGCGAGATTGCACCAGCCTGGGCGACAGAGCAAGACTTCGCCTCAAAAAAAAAAAAAAAAAAAAAAAAAGAGGGTGATCCACCTGCCTTGGCCTCCCAAAGTGCTGGGATCACAGGCATGAGTCACGGTGCCCAGCCAACCAGCCTGGCCAACATGATGAAACCCCATCTCTACTAAAAATGCAAAAAAATTAGGTTGGGCGCAGTGGTTCACACCTATAATCCCAGGATTTTGGGAGGCCGAGGTGGGAGGATCACGAGGTCAGGAGTTCGAGACCAGCCTGGCCAACATGGTGAGACCCCATCTCTACTAAAAATAGAAAATTTAGCTGGGCGTGGTGGTGTGCGCCTGTAGTCCCAGCTACTCAGGAGGCTGAAGCAGAAGAATTGCTTGAACCTGGGAGGTGGAGGGTGCAGTGGGCCGAGATTTCACCACTGCACTCCAGCCTGGGTGACAGAGTGAGACTCCATCTCAAAAAAAAAAAAAAAAAAAATTAGCCGGGCGTGGTGGCGCGCACCTGTAATTCCAGCTACTCGGGCGGCTGAGGCAGGAGAATCGCTTGAACCCAGGATGCGGAGGTTGCAGTGAGCCAAGATTGCGCCATTGCACTCCAGCCTAGGCAACGAGCGAAACAACGCCTCAAGAAAAGAAAAAAAAGAGAGAGAGAAGGAAAGGCATTGGAGGCCTGTGCCAAGTAAACAAGTAGACATATGAATATATATTCAGAAATTATTGTGAGTGCTCAGAAGAGAAAAAGAAAGCACCACATGTTATGAGAAGGAACCAGACGAGGTTAGTGCATTACAGGGAGGAGTGAGGAAGGTCTCTGCAAAGGCAGGGGCCTCTGTGTGATATTGGGAGGTGCTGATGGAGGGAGGTTGTTCCAGGATGAAAGCTCTGCATATTCAAAAGCCAGTGGGGGCAAGGAGCTTGGCAGAGTCGGGGCCTGAAAGGCCATGTGGCTGGCTGGTGCATGGGATCCCCAGGAGAGGTTGCAAACCATGGTGGTTGGCAGGAGTGGGTCATGCAGGGCCTAGCAGGCCTTTGGATTTTTTTCAGAGCACAGTGAATAGTGATCTTAGGCAGAGGATGACGTGGTCTTATTTGTATTTAAAAAGATCACTCTGGGCCGGGTTAGGTGGCTCACGCCTGTAATCCCAGCACTTTGGGAGGCCGAGGCGGGCGGATCATGAGGTCAGGAGATCAAGCCCATCCTGGCTAACACGGTGAAACCCCGTCTCTACTAAAAATACAAAAAAATTAGCCGGGCGTGGTGGTGGGCGTCTGTAGTCCCAGCTACTTGGGAGGCTGAAGCAAGAGAATGGCGTGAACCCGGGAGGCGGAGCTTGCAGTGAGCTGAGATCACGCCACTGCACTCCAGCCTGGGTGACAGTGAGACTCCGTCTCAAAAAAAAAAAAAAAAGATCACTCTGGGTCAGGCACTGGTGGCTCACGCCTGTAATCCCAGCACTTTGGGAGGCCAAGGCAGGCAGATCACTTGAGCTCAGGAGTTCGAGACCAGCCTGCCCAAAATGGTGAAACCCCATCTCTACTAAAAATACAAAAATTACCTGGGCTTGGTGGCGTGCGCCTATAATCCTAGCTACACAGGAGGCTGAGGCAGGAGAACTGCTTGAACCCGGGAGGTGGAGGTTGTGGTGAGCCGAGATCGCACCATTGCACTCCAGCCTGGGTGACAAGAGCGAGAATCTGTCTAAAAAAAAAAGAAGAAGAAGTAGGGGAAAGAAAAGGGAAGTGGGGCTTGCAGAGAGGCTGGGGCCAGTGCTGCTTGCCTTGGAATTGAGGAGACCTGGGTCCGTCTTCAGGCTTCGAATAATTGAGAGGAAGGGTTCGAGGCTAGTAGCTGATCAGGAGTGACATGGATGGACTGCTTTCTGTGGGGCCAAGGAGTTTATGAGTGTCACAACAGCTCTGCAAGGTGGGACAGTTAACTCCGTTGTGTAGATGAGAACATCCAGGTGCAGAGAAAGTCATGACGTGGATAATTCGATTCCTCTCCCCATTCCCACTGTCATCTGATCACTCATTCCCTGTGCCTGCAATAGTGGGTGGCACATAGTAGGATCTCAGCAGATATTTGCAGGGTAGCATTGGTTATTGATTAGGAACAGAGGCCCTGGAGGCAGAGTGCTGGGTTCAAATCCCGCCCTCCCTAT
Organism: Homo sapiens; assembly: GCF_000001405.40. Lineage (NCBI taxonomy): Eukaryota > Metazoa > Chordata > Mammalia > Primates > Hominidae > Homo > Homo sapiens. The sequence continues at coordinate 38,312,508 of NC_000019.10, read as the reverse complement.
TTTCTCCATCTCAGTAGAGAGCACTCCCATTTGCCTCATTACTCAAACCAGGATCTATAGAGACAGTATTGGCTCTTCCCACTTCTTTTTTTTTTAAAGAGGGCCTTGCTGTGTCGCCCAGGCTGGAGTGCAGTGGCATGATCTTGGCACTGCAGCCTTGACATCCCAGGTTCAAGCAGTCCTCTCACCTCAGCCTCTTGAATAGCTGGGACTACAGGTGCACGCCACCATGCCCTGCTATTTTATATTTTGTAGAGATGGGGTTTCACTATGTTGGCCAGGCTGGTCTTGAACTGAGTTCAGGTGATCTGCCTGTCTCAGCCTCGCAAAGTGCTGGGATTATAGACGTGAGACACCATGCCCAGCCTCTTACCACGTTTTTTGTTTTGTTTTGTTTTGTTTTTTTGAGATGGAGTCTCGCTCTGTAGCCCAGGCTGGAGTGCAGTGGCGCGATCTTGGCTCACTGCAACCTCCACCTCCCCGGTCCCGGTTCAAGCAATTCTCCTGCCTCAGCCTCCGGAGTAGCTGGGATTACAGGCACGCACCACCATGCCCAGCTCATTTTTGTATTTTTAGTAGAGATGGGGTTTCACCATGTTGGCCAGGCTGGTCTTGAATTTCTGACCTGGTGATCCACCTGCCTTGGCCTCCCAAAATGCTGGGATTACAGGCGTAAGCCACTGCGCCTGGCCTCTTCCCACTTCTTAACACACCTCCTCTGAGCACCCCTCAGCAAGTCCTGTCCCTCCTAGCTCTGAAACTGATCCAGAAATAACCCATTCCTCTTTTACACCCCCAGTCCTGTCTGCCATGGTCTCCCACCTGGATCACCCCAGCAGCCTCTCTCCCTTCCCTGCCCACCCCTCATCTGTTCCCCACGTGAGGCCACAGGGACCTTTTAAAAACTTTTGAAACCTGGCTCTCATACTATGACTTTGGGCAAAGGCCTGAGCCTCTTTAGGGCTTGCTTTTCTCATATGTAAAATGGGGATGATGATAGCATTGGCAGCTGGCAGAAACAGGGTGGTTGTGAAGATGAGATGAGTTCATCCACAGGATTATTGTAATATTTATCAGGCACAGCAGGGCTGGACTCCTGCTCTGCCACTCACTCAGTTTGGCCCTTTGCACAAGTCATTTTAGCTGTCTGGGCCTTGGTTTCCACACCTGTAAATTGGGAGTGGTCATTTATTCTGTTTTTTGTTTTTTGTTTTTTTTTTTTGAGACAGGGTCTCACTGTGTTGCCCAGGCTGGAGTGCAGTGGTGCAGTCTCGGCTCACTGCAACCTTTGTCTCCCAGGCTGAAGCGATCCTCCCACCTTGGCCTCCCGAGTAGCTGGGACCATAGGCGTGAACCACCACACCTAGCTAATCTTTCTATATTTTGTAGAGATGGGGTCTCGCCATGTTGCCCAGGCTGCCTTTATTCATTGATCAGGTTTTTATCAAGTGCCTACTCTAACCCTGTGCAAGGGGCTGGGGACTCAGCTGTGAACGAGATCAAGATCCCCACCTTGGGGGACTCACAGTTGAGTGGGGGAGACAGTGAACAAAATAAGACAGCCAGCATGTCAGCTAGTGCCGAGTTCTATGGATATCAGTGAAGCAGGGCAGGGGGTGGGGAGTGCCACCAAGGGAGGTACGGTTGTAGACAGGATGGCTGGGGAAGGCCTCACTGAACAAAGCCCTTGAGGAGGAGAGGAGGGAGCTCTGAGGATGTTGGGGGAAGAGCGTTCCAAGCAGAGGCACAGCTGGTGCAGCGGCCTTGAGGCAGGCACCTTCCTGGTGCATTCAGTGAGCATTGGGAGGCGCAGGTGGCTGGAGCCAAGTCATTGAGGGGGAGCATAGGAGATATGGACAGCGGCCTTGTGTAAAAGGCTTGGTACAGGATTTTGTGCCCAATAGCCCCCCCTTCCTCTCGCACATAGTAGCTTTTGAGATAATCATCATCATTGATATCTGGATGGATGGATGATAAGTGGATGGGTGGGTGGGTGAATGGATGGTTAGATGGATGGATGATGATGGATGGATGGATGATAGATGGGTGGATAGATGAATGAGTTGGTGGATGGATAGATAGCTTGGTGAGTGGATGGATGGATGGATAGATGGAAAGATAAATGCATCAGTGGATGGATAGTTGGCTAGATAGGTGGGTGGATGGGTGGATGGATGGGTGGGTGGGTGGATGGATGAATGGGTAGGTGGATGGATGGATGGGTGGGTGGGTGGGTGGATGCATCATTAGATGGATAGTTGGCTAGATGGGTGGTGGATGGATGGATGGTTGGATAGGTGGATGGATGGATGGATGGATGGGTGGATGGATGAATGGATGGATTGATGGGTGGGTGGGTAGATGGATAGATGGATAGATGGGTGGGTGGATGGATGAATGGATGGATTGATGGGTGGGAGGGTGGATGGATGGATGGGTGGATGGATGAATGGATGGACAGATGAATGCATCAGTGGATGGATAGTTGGCTAGATGGGTGGGTGGATGGATGGCTGGATGGATGGATGGATGAATGGATGGATGGATGGATGGTTAGATGGATAGATGGATGGATGGGTGGGTGAGTGGGAGGGTGGGTAGATGGATAGGTGGATGGATGGGTGGGTAGATGAATGGATGCATAGATGAATGTATCAGTGGATGGATAGTTGGCTAGATGGGTGGGTTGGTGGATGAATGGCAGAGCTTGCACCTGCCAGTCCATCTGACATCAAAGCCAGTGTCTCTAATGGTGACACCACCCTCCTCTGCAGCAGGAGGCAGAGCTGTGGGATGAATGAGGTTCGCCAGGTCTCCCTTACCTATCCTGGGTCCCCAGCTCCTTCTCACTCTCTTCCCTTGCAGCCTCGAAGCGGAGGATCCCTGTGTCCCAGCCGGGCATGGCCGACCCCCACCAGCTTTTCGATGACACAAGTTCAGCCCAGAGCCGGGGCTATGGGGCCCAGCGGGCACCTGGTGGCCTGAGTTATCCTGCAGCCTCTCCCACGCCCCATGCAGCCTTCCTGGCTGACCCGGTGTCCAACATGGCCATGGCCTATGGGAGCAGCCTGGCCGCGCAGGGCAAGGAGCTGGTGGATAAGAACGTGAGTGGGCGGGGCTGGTGGGAGTGGGGGGATGCACGGGGCCACAGGGCTTCAGACTTGAGCTCTGCCTCCCCAGATCGACCGCTTCATCCCCATCACCAAGCTCAAGTATTACTTTGCTGTGGACACCATGTATGTGGGCAGAAAGCTGGGCCTGCTGTTCTTCCCCTACCTACACCAGGTCAGCACCCCCAGGGGAATGTGGGTCTGCAGTGGGCCTGTGGGGGGCTCAGGGGTGGGGGCAGGTGCATGGTGGAGCCGGGAGATTCGCCTCGAGGGAGGAGGGCCTGTAGCAGGGTGGGAGGGGCCTGGCTCTGAGGGTCCTGCCCGTCTCCCCATCCCCGCAGGACTGGGAAGTGCAGTACCAACAGGACACCCCGGTGGCCCCCCGCTTTGACGTCAATGCCCCGGACCTCTACATTCCAGGTTTCACCCTCCCCCTACCCTGCACCCTCCTCTCTCTTCCGGGCCTATATGGAGCGGGTGTGTGGGTGCCTGGAGGCCCAGGGCAGTTCTTCCTCTGGTGACCAGTGTCTGTGTGTCTGTCTCCCACAGCAATGGCTTTCATCACCTACGTTTTGGTGGCTGGTCTTGCGCTGGGGACCCAGGATAGGTAAGGGAGGCCTGGGGCAGGCCGAATAAGGTGGGGTTTGGGAGGCCCATGGTTGGTCAGGAAGGTCTCAGTTCCAAGGTCTCAGTTCCCCTTTCAGGACAGCCCCACTTTGCTCCCAGTTGGCCCAAGATACAGCCCTCAGGGTCACTGTCAGCATCACCCTCGCCTCTTCCCTGTCCTTCCTACCCACATGCATTGCGTCACCATCCCCTGTGCTGGGTGACCCTTCTCCATCCACCCTTCCTCTTGGCCTCTACTACCAGACCCATCCTCATCCTCCCTCTGTCATCACCAGCTCCCCACTGCACCCCTACTCCAGCAGCAGCCAGGATGGTCCTGTCTGAGGTGCGGGCCTGGCCCACCCTGCCCCGCCCTGCTATCCATGGCTCCCAATCAAGCCCCAGCTCCTCAGCCTGGCACTGCCCCTCCCGCTGCACGCTCCGGTCTATTCCTTTCCTTGGGAGGGCTGGCACTGTCTCCTGGGGCCTTGTCACATCAACTCCCCTCTGCCCAGGAGCGTGTTCCCCTCCACTACTGCCGAGTACCTGCACATCCCTGCTGGCTCCATTCCAGTATCACCTCCTCCGGGAAGCCTTCCTGCCCCCCAGGCTAGATCAGGCCCCTCCTCTTGCTCACATCGCCCTGTTCTTTTCCTTTATGGCACTGAACACATCTGTCATTAACTAACTGGTGAGGCCCTGGGGATGTGGCAGAGGCCAAGGGCTTTGTCCCTGACCAGCTCCTTCCTGCAGGCTTCAGCTCGGTGTCCCCTCTCCTGGGAAGCCCTCTCTGACACCTGTCTCCTGACTGTCAGCACAGCCCCCTGTGACTCCAGCCCTGCCTGCTCTGGGTGTCACTGTCTAGGGATGGGTCTGCCATCCTCTCTGGATGGGATTTCCGTGGGAATAGGATAGCGCGCACATCCATCTTGGTCACTGCCAGGTGTCCAGCCCTACCCAACACAGAGCTGTCCCCAGATGGGTGCTGGGGGTGGGGGGTCTGAACCAGCCAACCAAGTGGCGGGGCTTTGTGCCTGCAGGTTCTCCCCAGACCTCCTGGGGCTGCAAGCGAGCTCAGCCCTGGCCTGGCTGACCCTGGAGGTGCTGGCCATCCTGCTCAGCCTCTATCTGGTCACTGTCAACACCGACCTCACCACCATCGACCTGGTGGCCTTCTTGGGCTACAAATATGTCGGGTGAGTACCCCCGCCCTTCACGCCAGCCCCAGCCCTTGGGCCTTGTCCTCACACAGCCTCCTCTCCCTCCCCCAGGATGATTGGCGGGGTCCTCATGGGCCTGCTCTTCGGGAAGATTGGCTACTACCTGGTGCTGGGCTGGTGCTGCGTAGCCATCTTTGTGTTCATGGTGAGCTGGGCTCGGGGCTGGTGAGGCTGAGGCACAGGTGCCCCGGAGGCATCCAGGCATCCAAGCAGAGGATGTCAGGTGTGGGGTTCAGACCAGAGACACATTGCTGAACTGAGGAGCCCTGGAGTGGCTGCCCGGCCTGGGGGGTCAGGAGGGCTTCCTGGAAGAGGGGGTATCCTGAGCCCTGGAAGAGGAGACACCAGCCAGGCTGCTAGAGGCTGGGGATCCCCAGCACACAGGCTCCAGGCTGGGCTCTCACTCTCATTCCACTCTCCTTACATGGGAGCCTTCCTGCCAGAATTTCCCTGGAAGGAGATTCTCTAGAGCCCTTCCCACTGGAGTCAGGGGTGCTGGTGAAGAGCACTGGGGTCTGCAGGCTGGGTGGACCCCAAGCTTAGTTGGATCCTGGGCAAATCACTTCCTTTCTTTAAATTCAGTTTCCCCTTTTGCCGGGCGCGGTGGCTCATGCTTGTAATCCCAGCACTTTGGGAGGCCGAGGCGGTCGGATCACGAGGTCAGGAGATCAAGACCATCCTGGCTAACACGGTGAAACCCCATCTCTACTAAAAATACAAAAAATTAGCTGGGTGTGGTGGTGTGTGCCTGTAGTCCCAGCTACTCAGGAGGCTGAGGCAGGAGAATCGCTTGAACCCAGGAGGTGGAGGTTGCAGTGAGCCGAGATCGCACACCTGCGCTCCAGCCTGGGTGACAGAGCGAGACTCCGTCTCAAAAAAAAATAAAAATAAAAAATAAACTCAGTTTCCCCTTTTGTAAAATAGGATGATGATACTTGCACCTCAAGGTGCTGGGAGGATTCACTGTGAGCATGTGAGAAGCAGAGGGCAGACTGTGGTGGCTGGTGGGCCAGGGCAGAGCCTTGGATAAACTTTGACTTAAGTCTCATCATTTAAAAGTTTAGGCCAAGCACGTGACTCACATCTGTGATCCCAGCACTTTGGCAGGCTGAGGCAGGAGGATCACTGGAGGCCAGGAGCTTGATACCAGCCTGGACAACATAGCAAGACCCCATCTCTAAAAAAATATAAAAATTAGCCAGGCATAGCAGTGTGCACCTGTAGTCCCAGCTACTCAGGAGGCTGAGGTGGGAGGATCACTTGAGTCTGGGAGGTTGAGGCTGCAGTAAGCTGAGGTCACGCCACTGCAGTCAAGCCTGGCGGACAGGGTGAGACCCTGACTTTTTTTTTTTTTTTTTTTTTTTTTTTGTGAGACAGAGTCTCGCTCTGTCGGGAAGCTGGAGTGCAGTGGCGGGATCTTGGCTCACTGCAACCTCCGCCTCTTGGGTTCAGGAGCAAGTCTCCTGCCTCAGCCTCCTGAGTAGCAGGGACTACAGGCACTCACCACCACGCCCAGCTAATTTTTGTATTTTTAGTAGAGACGGGGTTTCATCGTGTTGGCCAGGATGGTCTCAATCTCCTGACCTCGTGATCCGCCCGCCTTGGCTTCCCAAAGTGCTGGGATTACAGGCGTGAGCCAACGCACCAGGCCAGAGACCCTGTCCTTTAATAAAAATAAAGATAGCATTTCTGGCGTGTCTTCAGAAATTGCCGTGTGGCCAGCATAAGGGGGGGCAGCATCCTGGGCCACGTCTCCCACCCCCTCAGGCCGGGTGTCCACCGGGAAGTCCCCCTTCACCCGCTCCAAGACCTTGCCTGGCATTTGAGTATGGAACCTTCTCAGATTTTGCCCACAGGGCCCGGGGAGAAGCAAATCCTCACCATGTTAGGAGGTTTGGGGAAACTGAGGCCCCGGGAGCAGAAACCTGAGGCTGCAGAGGGCCAGGGACTTGTCCCCAGCTGCCTGGGGCTTCTAGGCAGAGGCTGGAAGTATGTCCGGGCTCTCACTCTGGCCCAGAGGGCTCAAGGGTAAATCCCTTGGTTCCTCTCTCTCTTTCCCACCCAGATCCGGACGCTGCGGCTGAAGATCTTGGCAGACGCAGCAGCTGAGGGGGTCCCGGTGCGTGGGGCCCGGAACCAGCTGCGCATGTACCTGACCATGGCGGTGGCGGCGGCGCAGCCTATGCTCATGTACTGGCTCACCTTCCACCTGGTGCGGTGAGCGCGCCCGCTGAACCTCCCGCTGCTGCTGCTGCTGCTGGGGGCCACTGTGGCCGCCGAACTCATCTCCTGCCTGCAGGCCCCAAGGTCCACCCTGTCTGGCCACAGGCACCGCCTCCATCCCATGTCCCGCCCAGCCCCGCCCCCAACCCAAGGTGCTGAGAGATCTCCAGCTGCACAGGCCACCGCCCCAGGGCGTGGCCGCTGTTACAGAAACAATAAACCCTGATGGGCATGGCGTGGACAGCCTCTCCTTGGCCTCGCGCACGAATGGGCGGGCCCAGCGCTGGGCAGGGGGCAGGGAGCTGGGGACGGGCCAGAGTAGGCACCACGCTGACCAGTCGCAGAAGGCAGAGAGGAAGGTTTAATGAGCCCTGTCCAGGGCCCTTCAGTGGGGAGCCTCCTTCTTCTTGCCCTTCTCCTTCTTGCCCTTCTCCTTCTTCTTCACTTTGGGCTTCTTGGCCTTGCCCGGGATGCTCTCGTGCTGCTTGGAGCCAGCAGCGTGGGACTGTGGGGCCGAGGGCAGGGATGGGAGAGAAGAGATGGTTCTGGGCTGGAAGCGAGACAGGGGGACCACTCCCCGCACCCTCCCCGCCAGCCCCAGTGCGGGGACGCCTCTCTGGGGTGCAGGGCACGTGCTTGGGGACGCTGGCGAGAGCCCCTTACCTTCACATCCGTGTCCGAATCGCTGGAGCTGCTGCTGGAGTCGGAAGAGCTGTGGTGTCCTTGCTGGATGGAGGTGCGGCAGTGAGGCGGCGCCCCTTACCCAGCCCCCTGAAGTTGGAGGCCTAAGGCAGGACCCTGGGGTCAGGGGCAACCCCAGCCTTCCCGCCCCTCCGCAGCCGGTGATGAGGCGACTTACCTTTGGACCCGGACCTGCCCCTGCCTCCGACCGGCCCTGAACTTTGTGGGGACTGAGCTTGGGATCTCCCCCGTGGCCCGCCCCCACACCGGGCTTCTGGGAGGTGGGCTCCAGGGCTGTGGAGAGAAGTTGGGTGGTTGGTGCAGGCAGCTTCTGGGCTTGAGTCCGGCCCCCTGCACCTCCAGTCCACACTCCCCAGGAGCTCACCTGCTCCCAGGTCGAACTCCATGGCGGTAAGAGAAGTTGGGTCCTAAGGCCAAGGGCGCCTGGGCCCTGCAGAGGAGCGGAGCAGGGGGAGGAGCGCTGAGACCTGCCCGTTGGAGGAATGCTGAGACGCCCCACCCAACCTCTGTCCTGGTCCTCAGCCCTGACTCATTGCCCGGCACCACCCAGGATTTCCTCTGTGAGAAGTGGGGGAGATGGACAGGTGACTGCTTCCGCCAGCCTTGGTGCCTCAGGGGAGGCCGACTGAGGGGGGCTCTGTGGATGGCATTCGGGGAGCTACAGGTTTCCCCCAAAAGCTCAGATGCTCGTTCTTGAAGAGGGAGGTGCTGCCCCTGCCTTCCTGCGTACCGCGACAATACAGCTTCCTCCGCGGCGCTTTAACACGCAGGGCGCTGCTGCCAGGGGCGTCCCGTGTTCTAACTCGCTCCCACAGCCCCTCCGGCTTGGTGAGCAGCGTCTGAGGGGTGAGGGGCATAGACTTGGAGCCAGCCTGCTGCACTAGATGCCAGCTGTGTCACTTAGCAGCAAGGTGACCTCAGCAAAGTTGTTTTACCTCTGTGCCTCAGTTTCCTCATCTGTAAATAACAGCTACCCATGGGATTGATGTGAAAGTCAGAGGAGTTAATTTCCTAGAATGGTGTCTGGCATGAAGTACTGATAATGTGTTGGTTTTTTAAAAAATAAAAGGTAGGTGTTTTAGGCCAGTCATGGTGGCTCACGCCTGTAATCCCAGCTGCTCCGGAGGCTGAGGCACGAGAATCACTTGAACCTGGGAGGCAGAGGTTTCGGTGAGCCAAGATCACACCACTGCACTCCAGCCTGGGCGACACAGTGAGACTCCGTCTCAACAAAGAAAAAAATATATAGATATAAAAGATAAGTGTCAGGCCGGGCATGGTGGCTCACGCCCAGCACTTTGGGAGGCCGAGGCAGGTGGATCACCTGAGGTCAGGAGTTGGAGACCAGCCTGGCCAACATGGTGAAACCCTGTCTCTACTAAAAATACAAAATTTAGCCAGCCATGGTGGCAGGTGCCTGCAATCCCAGCTACTTGGGAGGCTGACCCAGGATAATCACTTGAACCCGGGAGGCAGAGGTTGCAGTGAGCCGAGATTGCGCCATTGCACTCCAGCCTGGGTGATGGAGCGAGGCTCCATCTCAAAAAAAAAAAAAAAAAAAAAAAAAAAAAAAGTGTCTTAATCAGTGTGGGCTGCTGTAACAAATATAGAGAGGGTGGCTTCAACAGGAAACAGTTCTCACGGTCCTGGAGGCTGGAAGTCTGAGATAGGGGTGTTGGTAGATCCAGTGTCAGGAGTGCCGCTTCCTGGCTCGTTGACAGCCACCTTCTCCCTTCCTCCCGGCATGGCCCAGAGCAAGATCATCTCATGTTGTGTCCCTTTCTATAAGGGCACAAATCCCATTAATAAGGGCTCCACCCACATCACCTGATGACCTCCCAGAGGTCCTACCTCCAAATACCATCACTCAGCTTCAGCACAGGAGTTTGGGGAAGACACAAACATTCAACCCCTACTGTTCCAACCCCTGCTTCACAGATGAGAAAACTGAGGGAGTAGGTAAGAAGACGAGGGGCAAACATATAGCATGGGCCAGGTGAAGTGGTTCATGCCTGTAATCCTAGCACTTTGGGAGGGAAGCAAGGCAGGAGGATCACTTGGGCCCAAGAGTTTGAAATCAGCCTGGGCAACATACTGAGACCATCTCTACATAAAATTAAAACTTAGCCAGGCATGGTGGCACTCGCCTGTAGTTCCAGCTACTTGAGAGGCTGAGGCGGGAGGATCACTTGAGCCTGGGAAGTCCAGGCTGCAGTAAGCTGTGATTGAGCCACTGCACTCCAGCCTGGGTGACGAAGCAAGACCCTGTCTCAAAACACACAGGCTGAGCACAGTGGCTCACACCTGTAATTCCCAGCACTTTGGGAGGCTGAGGCAGGCGGATCACCTGAGGTTAGGAGTTTGAGACCAGCCTAGCCAACATGGTCAAACCCCGTCTCTACTAAAAAAAATACAAAAATTAGCCAGGCATGGTGGCGTACGCCTGTAATCCCAGCTACTTGGGAGGCTGAGGCAGGAGAATTGCTTGAACCCGGGGGGTGGAGGTTGCAGTGAGCCAAGATCACACTGCTGCACTCCAGCCTGGGCGACAGAGCAAGAATCCATCTCAAAAAAAAAAAAAAAAAAAAAAAAAGCTAGGGGTACAGAGGTTAAAAAAAAAAATCAGCAAAAATCCAGCCTCACGGAATTGACATCCTAGTCAGGGAAACAAAGTCAAAAGTATAGCATAGTAGGAAAAAAACCGGAAACAAATCCCAGCACTTTGGGAGGCTTAGGTGGGAGGATCACTTGAGCCCAGGAGTTCAAGACCAACCTGGGCAATACAGGGAGATCCCATCTCAAAAAAAAGAAAAAAGAAAACTGGAAACAAATTAAGTCTTCATCAACTGGTGAGTGGATAGAAAATGTAGTATGTGGGCCGGGTGCAGTGGCTCATGCCTGTAATCCCAGCACTTTGGGAGGCCGAGGCAGGCAGATCACGAGGTCAGGAAATCGAGACCATCCTGGCCAACTTAGTGAAACCCCATCTCTACTAAAAATACAAAAAAATTAGCTGGGCATGGTGGCAGGCGCCTGTAATCCCAGCTACTCGGGAGGCTGAGACAGGAGAATGGCGTGAACCCGGGAGGTGGAGCTTGCAGTGAGCCGAGATCGCACCACGGCACTCCAGCCTGGGCGACAGAGCGAGACTCTGTCTCAAAATAAATAAATAAATAAATAAATAAATAAATAAATAATAAAATAAAAAAGACCTGAAGACAGGCCTGGTGCAGTGGCTCATGCCTGTAATCTCAGCACTTTGGGAGGCCGAGGCAGGCGGTCAAGAGTTCGAGACCAGCCTGGCCAACATGGTGAAACCCCCTCTCTACTAAAAATACAAAAATTAGCTGGGCATGGTGGTGGGTGCCTATAATCCCAGCTACTCGGGAAGCTGAGGCAGGACAATCATTTGAACCCGGGAGGCGGAGGTTGCAGTGAGCCAAGATTGTGCCATTGCACTCCAGCCTGGGCAACAGGGCGAGACTCAAAAAAAAAAAAAAAAAAAAAGACCTGAAGACAAGCAGGCAAGCGATGCAAGCATATAGAGGAAGAGGGAAGAGCAAATGCAAAGGCCCCTGAGGCAGGAATGTGCCTGTGTCTGAGGAGCTGCGCTGAGGTCAGAGTGGCAGAGAGAGCAGAAGGAGAGAGGCAGATGAGGGAGAGGGGAGGAGAGGCGGGTGGCGGGTGTGGACTTGTAAATCAAAGACCTTTGCTCTTTACCCTGAGTGTGACTGGGAGGTGAGCAATGATTGTGGCTTTGCCTGCAACTGGACGCAGGATATGAGAGAAAGTGTCCGTCTCTCGAGGCAGAGTGCGCATTCCATGAGGGTGAGAACTCATCTGCTTTGTGCACCACCCAGAATGGTGTGACTCAGAGGTGCTGCTCGCCATGCCTTAGTGAACAGGTGGCATCGCCTGCTGCCAGGTACTGTGCTAAGGGTGAGTCACCACCGGCACAGAGGGGCTGCAAGTTTGGGTCCTGGAGGTCAGTCGCTCTACCGCTTACTGCTTTGTGGACAAATCAGCTAGCCACTCTGGACTACTGCTTCCTCGTCTGTAAAAAGGAAAACTTATCTCATCTAGGAAATGGTTTTGCACAGAACCTGCCTGGCACAAGTTAAACTGATGCTCAATCAATGTTAGTTTTTGTTTTCTTCTTCTATTTTTTTTTTTTTTTTTTTTGAGACGGAGTCTTGCTCTGTCACCGGGCTAGAGTGCAGTGGCCTGATCTCGGCTCACTGCAATGCAACCTCCAACTCCCTGGTTCAAGCGATTCTCCTGCCTCAGCCTCCCGAGTAGCTGAGATTACAGGCACACGCCACCACACCCAGCTAATTTTTTGTATTTTTAGTAGAGACGGGGTTTCACTGTGTTAGCCAGGATGGTCTCGATGTCCTGACCTCGTGATCTGCCCACCCTGGCCTCCCAAAGTCCTGGGATTACAGGCATGAGCCACCGCACCCAGTAACTTTTTTTTTTTTTTTTTTTTGAGGCAGGGTCTTGCTCTGTCACCCAGGCTGGAGTGCAGTGGTATGATCATAGCTCACTGTAGCCTCAACCTCCTGGGCTCAAGGGATCCTCCTACCTCAGCCTCCTGAGTAGCTGGGACTACAGCCATGCACCACTATGCTTGGCTCATACAAAAAATTTTTTGGGGGCTGGGCGCAGTGGCTCACACTTGTAATCCCAGCACTTTGGGAGGCTGAGGCGGGTGGATCACCTGAGGTCAGGAGTTTGAGACCAGCCTGACCAACATGATGAAACCCCGTCTCTACTAAAAATACAAACATTAGCCAGGCCGTAGTGGTGGGCGCCTGTAATCCAGTTACTTGGCGCCTGTAATCCAGTTACTTGGGAGGTTGAGGCAGGAGAATCGCTTGAGCCTGGGAGGTGGAGGTTGTAGTGAGCCAAGATTGCGCCACTGCACTCCAGTCTGGGCGACAGGGTGAGACCCCATCTCAAAAAATATATATATATTTTTTGAGATGGGGTCTCACTATGTTGCCTAGGCTGGTCTTGAATTCTTGGGCTCAACTGATCCTCCTTGGCCTCCCAAAATGCTGGGGTTACAGGCATGAGCCACTGCACCCAGCCTGCCCTTTCCTGTTTATTCCCTGATGATCTCTGCCTAAAATGCCTTGAGGGTATAAACAGTGCCTTCTCCCCTGTAGGAAAAAGGGACCTGTGCTCCCAGCTGGCAGCAGTATTGATGTCATCCACTGCTAGGTCAGCTTACCCCTTCTCTAACATTTCACCAGCAGCCATCCTTCCGAGGGACACTCTAACCCTGAAAGCTTTTACTTAATCTCTGCAATTTAGGAAGATTTCTGGATGTCAATTTAACTGCGTTGGGAAGGCAAGACGGTGTGGGACCAAGAAGGGCACTGTCTAGCCCTCCCGGCAGGTCTCACACTCCTGCATGCCCAAGGGCTGATGGGTGGACTGGAAAAGCGGCTGCAGCAAGGCTGGTTTGGTTTCTTTCCTGAAGCTCACAGGAATATAGTGCCTTGGTTCTGTAAACACCATAATCCCTGTTCCTGAATGTTTTCTTTGAAATCAACCACATCTTGGGAGACAGATGACCTTAAGCACACAGTATGCAGGGACCCAGTTTCCTTTCCCAGAAGACGAAAGCTCTGGACTGGAACCTCTGACCACAGTCAGTCTTGCTCTGGTCCTTGATGTTCTGGGATCCTGATCGTCAGGAAATCTCGACGGACCGTCCGTGGGAAGTGCCAAGGGGCTGACAACCCAGCTGGAAAGGCCCAGGCTTGGCCTCCACCCAGCTGACTGCTGGGTCTGGGATTTGATATGATTCCACTTAACAGGCTAGTATGTGAGCCTCTTACTGTTTCAAAAATGCTGGGAGAAGTCTCGAGACTCCAGGGTCAGAGACAAAGGCTTTCCTGCTCGCACGAAGCAGCACAGACGCCACCATGTGTGGGATTCCCCTGGGCTGTAGAGGCAGAGCCGGGGACCCAGATGGACACCTGCACAGGGAGTGGGTTGTTACGAAAGAGGCATGCTAAGCTTGGGGACCTGCCTGGCTATACGCAGCCTGCCCTCACCCCTCAACGTGCTTGCTGCAAACACAACCGTAAGAAATGACCAAGGGAGGCCAGGCGTGGTGGCTCACGCCTGTAATCCCAGCACTTTGGGAGGCCGAGGCAGGTCAATCACTTGAGGTCAGGAGTTTGAGACCAGTTTGGCCAACGTGGCGAAACCCCATCTCTACTAAAAATACAAAAATTAGCCGAGCCTGGTGGTGTGTCCCTTATAATCCCAGCTACTTAGGAGGCTGAGGCAAGAGAATCACTTGAACCTGGGAGGCAGAGGTTGCAGTGAGCTCAGATTGTGCCACTGTAGTCCAGCCTAGGTGACACAGTGAAACTCTGTCTCGAAAGAAAGAAAGAAAAAAAAAATAAAACCAAGGGAGAGAGCTATCAGGGTCATGCATTCCTGGTACATTCAGCAAGACCTGTAGGAATGAGAGACTCCCCTCTACCACCTTAGCTGCTGATAAATTGAATGAATGTGTCATTCTGCTTCCACTCTGATGAATCTGACCAACAGAGGCTGGGGCCAAATGTGTTGTTTCATACAGCATCTCATTAAGCATCTATGATCAACTGGACTCCAATCTGCAGCATTAACCTCAACCATGCCGCCAGGTTCCAGGGGCGAGGGGACCACCAGGTCTTACTTCAGACATCCCAGACACAGTCTCCTATTCACTAGGACAGGGGTCCCCAAACCCCCAGGCCACAGACCAGTACCGGTCCCCAGCCTGTTAGGAACCCAGATGCACAGGAGGCGAGTGACCATCACTGCCTGAGCTCCGCCTCCTGTCAGATCAGCAGCAGCATCAGATTCTCATAGGAGTGCAAACCCTATAGTGAACTGTGCATGCGAAGGATCTAGGTTGTATGCTCCTTATGAGAATCTTTTTTTTTTTTTGAGACACAGTCTCACTCTGTTGCCCAGGCTGGAGTACAGTGGTATGATCTCTGCTTACTGCAACCTCCGCCTCCTGGGTTCAAGTGATTCTCATGCCTCAGCCTCCCGAGTAGCTGGGATTACAGGTGTGCATCACCACACCCAACTAATTTTTGTATTTTTGGTAGAGACAGGGTTTCGCCATGTTGGCCGGGCTGGTCTCCAACTCCTGACCTCAAGTGATCCACCCACCTCAGCCTCCCAAAGTGCTGGGATTACAGGTGTGAGCCAATGCACCCAGCTTCCTTATGAGAATCTAATGCCTGATGATCTGAGGTAGAAGTTTCATCATGAAACCACCCCCTACCCCCCACCACCCTGGTCTGTGGAAAAACTGTCTTCCACAAAACCAGTCCTTGGTGCCAGAAAGGTTTGGGAGCACTTCACTAGGATTCACACAAGGGAGTCAAGTCTGATCTGATCTTTGGTGTCATTGCCTGTCATTACAAACCCAAAAAACAACCTCCTCCCCAGAGGAGAGACATTCTGTGGGCCACCTTCCCACATGCAAACACACAACCTGAGGGGTCCAGGGTGCCCAGCTCAGGAATTTTTCTGTTTTTGTTTTTAGAGATGGGGTCTTGTTTTGCTCTGTTGCCCAGGCTGGAGTGCAGTGGTAGCATTGTGAGCATGGTTCACTGCAGCCTTGACCTCCCAGGCTCAAACGATTTTTCCATCTCAGCCTCCCAAAGTGCTGGGATTACAGGCGTGAGTACTGTGCCCAGGCAGGAATTGGGAAACGTCACTTGGAACACCACAGCATTGGTTTGGTTAAGCCCCATGGGCAGTGCTACTGAGCTGCAGGCTCAATGACTACGTGGGGTAGAGCTCAGAGCTCCTTGGGCATCAGAAGCCTATGATTTTGTACCAGCCAGACTGGAACAAGGCTGGGCCTGTCCCTACGTTTAGAAACATCTTGTGTGTTGGGGGAGGGGGCCCCACATTCAGGAGCTGCCATTGATGGCTTCAGGTGCAGAATGGCTCTAGACTGGCCATGTCTACAAGTGTGGGGTTTTTCTTTTTTTTTTTTTTGAGACAGAGTCCCACTCTGTCGCCCAGGCTGGGGTGCCAGTGGTACAATCTCCGCTTGCTGCAACCTCTGCCTCCCAGGTTCAAGCAATTGTCGTGCCTCCACCTCCCGAGTAGCTGGGACAACAGGCATGCACCACCACGCCCAGCTAATTTTTGTATTTTTAGTAGAGATGGGGTTTCACTATGTTGGCCAGGCTGGTCTGGAACTCCTGACTTCAAGTGATCTGCCCGCCTTGGCTTCCCAAAGTGCTGGGCTTCCCAAAATGCTGGGATTACAAGCATGAGCCACTGCGCCCAGCTTACAGGTGTGTTTTTATAGTGGGTCAGAATAGCAGCTGCAGATGCTGCTGGACTTGGGAGGATCAGGTGACAGTCTGGCCAAGCAGCGGTGCTGGGTCTGGAGGCCAGAGGGAGGACTGATTGCACCCTCCCCACCCCTCTCCCCCCACCTCCTGGGGTCTAAGGTGTTCCCTCCTCAGGTGCCAGGTTGTTGGTCTCCCTCCAAGGACATGAAATCAGTCTGTATCCCACCCCGGAAGTACCGCTTCACTTCTTCTTTCAACATCTACTCACACCCAGACTTGTTTTTGGAAGAGTCCGATGTGAATGGAACATGGGCATTTTTACAAATTTAGAGACTTATGATTTCCCTCACGTTGTCTGATGTGCCAAGTAGGGAGACTTGGCAAAAAGGACACTCGACCAAGTGGCCACTGTCTTTGGGACCTAGGACAAGCGAGTCCAGGAGAGTCCCAAGGGCAGAACCTGAACTAAGGCCAAGCCCCATAGGTCCTGTTCCGGTGGGCCTGCCCCCTGGAGGCTGCACCCATCAGGCAGGCCTGGGCTTGATGTTGTGGGAAGAAAAGAGGCACACATACCCAGGAATGATAAGGGTAGAATTCCTAATTTTTATTTATTTGTTATTTATTTATCTTGAGACGGAGTCTCGCTCTGTCACCCAGGCTGGAATGCAGTGGTGCGATCTCGGCTCACTGCAAGCTCTGCCTCCCGGGTTCACACCATTCTCCTGCCTCAGCCTCCGGAGTAGCTGGGACCACAGGCGCCCGCCACCACACCCGGCTAATTTTTTGTATTTTTAGTAGAGACAGGATTTCACCGTGTTAGCCAGGATGGTCTCGATCTCCTGACCTTGTGATCCACCCGCCTCGGCCTCCCAAAGTGCTGGGACTACAGGTGCGAGCCACTGCGCCCGGCCTGTTTTTTATTTATTTTTTTGAGACAGAGTCTCGCTCTGTCACCCAGGCTGGAGTGTAATGGCGCGATCTCGGCCCACTGCAACCTCTGCCTCCTGGGTTCCAGCAGTTCTACCTCAGCCTCCCAAGTAGCTGGGACTATAGGCGTGTGCCACCACGCCTGGCTCATTTTTGTATTTTTAGTAGAGATGGGGTTTCAACCATGTTGGCCGAGCTGGTCTCTAACTCCTGACCTCAAGTGATTGGCCCACCTCAGCCTCCCAAAGTGCTGGGATTACAGGTGTGAGCCACTGTGCCCAATTTGTATTTTTTTTGAGACAGGGTCGTGCTCTGTTGCCCTGGCTGGAGTGCAGTGGTGCAATCGTGTCTCACTGCAGCCTCGATCTCCTGGGCTCTAGCGATCCTCCCACCTCAGCCTCCTGGGTAGCTGGGAGCACAGCCATGCATCACCACGCCTGGCTAATTTTTGTTTTTTTGTAGAGATGGGGTTTTGCCACGTTGCCCAGGCTAGCCTCGAACTTCCGGATTCAAGTGATAAACCTGCCTCAGCCTCCCAAAGTGCTGGGATTAGAGGCATGAGCCACTGCACCGGCCCCTAATGTTTATGGGTCTGTATAACCGCCGAGCCCTTTGTCCTGATCTTTACCCAGGAGATGGCCCAGGGGAACCCTTTCTAGGGACAGCCACACTGTCTGCCTTCCTCAAGCTTGTGGACCAGGGGAAGAGATAGTGAGAAGCTCTGAGCTGATTTTCGGTGAGCTGATTTTTTTTCAGGCTGGTCAAGGAAAGCAGCAGAAGGAACAAAGAACTCTGTAACTGGTTGTGATCAATTACTTGTTACACTACTGCACTTGGACCAGCAATGAGTTGATTTTTTATAAAGCCCATTCCACCTCTCAATGGTGCCAGCAACCCGAGGGAGACAGAGATGTGAAGTGGCCACTGAATGCCGAGGCCACTGACCCACTGTTGGGTGGCCTTTCCAACAAAAAGAGGGCCTTTGTCAGGCCGTAAAATGCCCCAAGAATTGAACACATGACACAGCTGAGCTTCAAGGGCCACGGCGGCAGCAGCCTGAAGAGTGTCTGCTGTGGTGAGGCCCACCAGTCGCCCTGGAAAGAGTCCAGAGGCCCGGATGGAGTTGAGCTGCCAGGAGCGGAGGGGCTGAGGCCTCCCTTGCCGTGAGAAGGGGCAGGTTTAGGCAGGAGAAGTGGGTCACAGAGCAGCAGCTTCTGCACTAGAAACATATAAAGGCTCATTGTATTAGAAACCTACAGAAGCTCAACTGGGCTTCAGAGAATTCCCTTCATCTAACTTCCTATTATGGTAGAATTAAGTGATTCTCAAGTTTTTTTGTTGCTTTTTTGTTTTGAAAGGAGTCTCGCTCTGTCACCCAGGCTGGAGTGCAATGGCGTGATCTCGGCTCACTGCAACCTCTGCCTCCCAGGTTCAAGCGATTCTCCTGCCTCAGCCTCCCGAGTAGCTGGGATTACAGGCACCCGCCACCACGCCCGGCTAATTTTTTGTATTTTTAGTAGAGAGGGGGTTTCACCATGTTGGCCAGGCTGGTCTGGAACTCCTGACCTCAGGTGATCCGCCCACCTCAGCCTCCCAAAGTGCTGGGATTACAGGCATGAGCCACTGTGCCCGGCCAATTCTCAAGTTTTTAAAAAAGTCCAAAGGCACAATTTTTTTTTTTTCAACATGACTGAGATAGGAGACAGTCCATATTGGAGTTGGTGGAGAAAGACTCCTGCTGGGCAGAGGTGCATGTGCAGACTCTGCAGGCTTGCAGGGGTTAGGGGCCGCGCCCACTGCCACACACAGAGCGCTGCAGGTGGAGAGGCTCTGCCCAACTCCCAGGCCCTCTTTCCCTGGACCACAGGCTCGCCCAGACCCCTGTGTGTCTGATTTGTCTGGGACGTGGTAAGTAGATTCCACTTGTTCACCAACCCCGAGCCAGCTGCAATGACCACTGGAGAGTGGGCTGAGGCATGCGGGGATCAGCTGGGAGGACACCAGGATCCCTTTGCGGCATCTGCTGTGAGGGAGGCGGGGCAGGAGCAGATGAGCTATTTGCCCAACTTGCTTCTGGAAGAGAGTTTTAAGCCCTAAGGGATTTCTAGGAAGGGCCAAGGGAAAGACATGGAAGTTCTTTGGTTCCAAGCAGTCGAAAGCAGTCTGGCCTGTGGCACTGCACCTGGCCACTCCTCCTGTGTCTCTGAGGCAGGTAGAGTCCAGCTGCTTGCCGGACCTCATGGGGCGCCCAGATGCCTGTACCCCAGGACCTCCTTGTTGGAATAGAGGAGGGAGGAAAGGGGCTTCTAGAGTCTAGTGTCAGGAAAGGAACACCCACAGGAGGCAGCAGGATTGGGCCTGAAGGCCAAATTCAGCCGGGCAGTTCTCTGTCCCCGTTCCCACACAGGGGTGTGTTGGAGACTTGACAGAAAAGCCCAGGGCAGGCGGTGCAAGGCCTGACCTAGAGCGCCCTCCCACCACCCCTTCAAGATGCAGAGAGCACAGAACCACGAGAGGAGAAGCGTCATGGACGCCACAAGGACTCGGTTAAGCCCCTCCAACCCCGGAAGGTCTTGGTCCTCCCTGGACAGCATGCGCCCCTCCTGCGCCCTCGAGGGCAGTGCTTCAAGGTGTGGGCTACAGTCTATAGTGGGACATCAAGATCAGTTCAGAGGGTTGTAGCCAGAAGTTTTAAAAAGTGAAATAGAGTAATAAAATATCAGTGTTCACAGGTGGTGAGGCTAAGTGTGGTTTGGCGAAAGTTCACGGGCACTCAGTAATAGGACATTTATTTCATCTTGTGGATTCATTCAAAAAGATCTGAAAGACGCTATTTTGAGGGGTCTATTTCTAGAATGGGACACCTCAGATAGTGTCTTGTGATCATTTTGGTAGGGTTGAAATTAGGACTCCCATAAAGAAAGCACATGCTGAAATTTATTCTAAAGGGGAAGGCCCCTTTTTATTAAACTTGTACATTTTACTTTCCTTCTTTCAGAATGCTAATAAAAAACTTTTGTTTATACTTAAAAAAACCATAAATCAGACAAACAAAAGAAACGATTCCAACATCACTTCTGTGATGAGAAAAGAGGCAATGGAATTCAACATAAGCAAAGAAAACTCTACCTGGAGGAAAGAAATCGATCAGCGAGGAAACAACTCGGGGCTGCTGCCAGACTGCAGGCCATGCGAGGAGGAGCCTCCTAGAGGATTTCCAAAGCAAACCCATCCCTGCCAGACCAGGAAGCAGCCGTCCTACCTCCCAGAGAAACAGACCTCAGCCCTAATGATCACTCAAATCCGAGTCAATCCCTCTATTTAAAAAAAGCTCACACATAGTCTCCCCTCCCTTCCCCAGTCCTCTTGGCGACAGGGCGGTCACAGGACATATGTGTTCTTCACCAGCTGCTCCTTGTCATCTCCGGAGCTCCAGACGGTGCGCAGGGCACGCTCCTGGTTCCTCCGTGCCACCCGGATCAGGTAGACCATGGAGGCTCCCAGGAAGAGGATCAACACCATCACGAACAGCCCCGCCAGAACCACCACTGAGGACGAGAGAGGGGCCTCAGGACGGGCCAGGCAAGGGGAGTTGCAGCCAGAGTGGCGCTCACCAAGGGCCTGGGGAATCCAGGTGGGCTCAGCCTGAGGACCAAATGCCCCTCCCCAACCCAGACAGGGTCCAGAACTGCAGCTGGAGAGGACACAGCCTGCCAGAGATGCCACCAAGGAGAGTCCCCCAAAAAAGGAGGCGCCATGCTATGTGCGTGCCAGCAGAGTGGCCGTGTCGCCAGCAGAGTAGTCATCTGTGTTCCTTCTTTTTGAACTAAAAACCCAACTCTCAGGGCAACCTGCACAGGAGCCCCAGGCCGAGAGATGCACAAGGGTGTAAAAAACACTTAGCACCGGTGTGTACACATGAAACCTTAGGGGCTTTGTGCACACACACGCTGACCGGCAATAGAGAAAGACGTGGCCCTGCAGGGGCTGGGAGGGCTGAGAGCTACTGCGGGATGAAGTCAGGGTGGAAGCGAGGGGGTACTCAGAGCTGTGCCAGCAAATTTAATAGTGTCTGCCCCACTGCAGTCTCGCTGGTCAGCTCAGATGCTTTTCTTCAGGAGGGGATCCGGCTAAGGAGTGTGACCTGTGGCAGCCTCCCCCATGTGGCTGTGGAGCTGCAGAGTTGGCCTTTTTGGGGCCACCCTCCAGACCCAGACTGCTTGCTTCCCAGCCCCGTGCCTGGCAAACCAGGCTTCACTGCTAGAACAGGACAGACTCGCAGGCCAGGTCCTGGCTCCTTCACCGGGAAACAGGTGGAGAAAGAGGCCAGACTGGCATGGCAGGTCTTTTGTGCCAACATTATCACCTGCAACTCAAGCTCAGAAACACAGGCCAGAGGCCTGGCCTCCCGCTCAGACCAGACTGTGTTGGGAAACACCCTGGCCCGTGGTCCTCCGTCCTGTCACCCGTGACCAACTCTTATGCCCCACATAGCAGCGCTCCCTCCACACCTCAGGCCAGCCTCAGGCCCGTGTGCAGCAGTCCTCAAATGCTCAACAGGAAGACCTCATCCCCAGTCACCCACGCCGCCTGGGCAGGGCCTGCCTTGTGACTGACTCACTCCAGCCCCAACTGTGTACACTGAACGGTGGGACAAACCACCACCTCGCCATTCTCACGCAGAAACATGACTTTCTGCCAAGATGATGTTCACAGTGAAGGATAATGTAAACCACAGCTGGGCAGGGCTGAGCTCAGTCAAGGAAGGGAGGAGGCAGGCTGATGGCAGGAGGAGGGTAAGGGGCCACTTACCCTTTGAGCCAAGGGGCAGGGGAGGATTCTCCTGCTGGCCTGGAAGAGAACACACAGCCTGAGGTCAGCTCACAGCCCCCATTCCACAGAGCTGCCGCAGGGGATCCCCTCAGCCAGGGCCTCCATGGGGAGCTCTTTCTGAGGGGCTTTCTTCCAGCTTTTCTGGGGCTTAGAGGCCTTGCTGCCCTGGTGGGCCCAAGAACAGCATTTCCAAGGCCTTCATATTTTAGGGATGGGGAGATGGACCGGGGTCCTCAAGGGCAGGGCTTCCTGGGCTGAGGGGCTGCAGACTTACGGAAGCAGCGGAGCATGCAGGCCTCCTCAGAGCGGTAGCTGTTCTTATTGCCCCGGCAGCCTCCATAGATGAAGTTATTGCAGGAGTTCCTCTCCACGTCAAAGTACCAGCGTGGGAAGGATGCACGGCAAGGCCCAGTGACTGCGTTGGCGGTGCAGTATTCTAGGAGTAAGACAGCCCAGGGAATACAAATTAGTAGGGCCCGCAAGGAGGGGAAGCAAGCCAGAAAGTGCCTGAGGAGGCTTGCGGCTCCAGCAGACGGAGAAACATCTCTCTGGTAAAGAAGCCTGTAAATTACACCCAAGACCAGTGCAGCGGCTCTGACGCGCTGCTCCTTGGGTCCAGGTGACGGCTTCGGAGCTTTGAAGGCTGCTCTCTGCCAAGCCCTGTTCTAGGCCTTTTACATGCAGTGGCTGAGTCTCTATGAGACCTATCTGGGACCCTTCATTTTATACATGGGAACTCTGAGGCGGGGCAACAGTCACTTGCCCACAGCCAAGCCGCTGGCGAGAGGTTCAGGGACAATGTAAATTGCAGAGCCACGTGCCAGGCTACGCCTCTAACGCACATCTCCACAGGCGCAGCCTCCTTCCCACTGCTGGCGGCATCCACGTGGGGCCTGTCACCTTGACCCCAACCTCAGGGGGCTGCCACCACCTGGGGAGGGGAGAGCCCTGCTCTACAACTTCCTCAGTGAAAATCCGCAAGTGTCTCTCAATACCCAACTAAGAATACATGTTTTGCCCCATATATAAGTTTCTTCGGAGTTTTTTTTTTTTTTTTTTTTTTTTTTTTTGAGACAGAGTCTCACTCTGTTGCCCAGGCTGGAGTGCAGTGGCGCAATCTTGGCTCATTGCACCCTCCGCCTCCCAGGCTTTGAGCAATTCTCCTGCCTCAGTCTCCTGAGTAGCTGGGACTACAGGTGCATGCCACTACGTCCAGCTAATTTTTCGTATTTTTAGTAGAGACAGGGTTTCACCATGTTAGGATGGTCTTGATATCCTGACCTCGTGATCCGCCCACCTCAGCCTCCCAAAGCGCTGGGATTACAGGTGTGAGCCACCGCACCTGGCCTCTTTGGAGTTTTACCTTCATAGTTGAACATATCGCTGGAGTGGTCTTCAGAATCCTGCCTTCTGGGAGCTGAAACACAAACATCTGTGTTAGGGAGGCTGGGCCGGACACAGGACACAGGCCTAGCTGGGTCTGGGTCTGGAAGGGCCCACTGAGGAGTGTGGACACGCCTTTAAGAAGGGGTGTGTAGCCCCTTCCATGGCCGGCTCTGCCACGTCACCCCAGCCCTAATGGGCTCTACGCACACACTGAGAGTGCTGGATGTGGTGGCCCTGCCGCCACCTCAGGGTTCCTATAGAAACCAAGCCTGCCACAGCTCCTAATATTATAGGGAACACGGTCTTGTTCACACTTTCTAATACAGTGAGGGGGACATGTTCCTCTCCAACAAGATGGAAACCAGAGCTGGTGTGTGGGGGGGCTAGCAGAGGATAAACAGGGAGCCAGGCAGAGCAAAGCCAGGACAGGCACAGGACTCCAGGCCTAGCAAAGCTGGAAAGTGACCACCCTAACGCCCCAGCACTCTGCAAGCCAGCCGGCCCAACAGCTGCTGAGCTACAGTGCACTCGGTGGGTAGCAGCTGCCGGGGGAGTCCCATCCTCCAGCAGGGGTGCGGTGCAGTACCCCCTCCACAGCAGCCTCCCAGAGTCCATGGCCTGAGGTCTGCCCCGAGGGTGCATTTGCTACCTGGTAGTGCATCGGGACCACTCACCCCAGGCGCCCGATGCAGAGTCCTTAAACCATAAAGGAGGAATGGGGCAGCAGCCGCCAGCACTACAAAGCAAGCTAACACACATCTTGAGATCACAAGCTGCAGTGGCGGGGAGGCGGGGGTGGCAGAGGACAGAGGATGCCCACGGGGCAGGGGACAGCGATGGCAACAGGGAGCAAAGGAAGCAGAGGAGACAGAACAGGCAGACAGGAGGGTGGGTGGGGAGTGGGGTCAGCAGAGCAGCTGGAGGCCCGCACAGCAAGGAGGGGCCTGAGCCTCATGGGCAGCAGCCACCTCCATCCCATCCTCCAGGAGGAGATGGGGGCCAGCCAGGAAGTGCTGCAGGATCCCCGGCCCCTGTGTCAGCTGGACAGTATAAACTCCCCCATAAGGATGCTGGAGCCAGAAGCCGGCAGCCCAGGCAGAGCCCCCGGTTTGCCAATTTTGAGTAAACAGAACCATGAGAGGGAAGCCTGTGACAGTTCCCAAATGACAAGTGTCCTTTCACAATGACCCATCCGGTGGCCTCACTCCATCGCGGGTCTCTTTAAGAACCTACCACTTGGGACAGAGGAATCCGCTGCATTCCTGCTGGTGGCCAGGTCACCCGTGGCATTCTCTGCAAGGGGACAAAGAAACAGCACAGTGAAAGAGCTTTCGAGAGACTGCCAGGGACAAAGAATGAGCTGGCCCTGTGCGCCTCTCACCACAGCATCCACTTCTCCTTTACATGGGACCTTCAATGTGCATGCCAGACCACAACTTGGAAATAAGGAACCAAGATTGCCTCCCGAAGAGGAAACTTAAGATTAACTTGCAGGGAATCAGAGCAGAGATGTGCAAAGTGACCTTAAAAAGACAGTGACTTGGCCGGGTGTGGTGGCTCATGGCTGTAATTCCAGTACTTTGGGAGGCCAAGGCAGGTGGATCACCTGAGGTCAGGAGTTTGAGACCAGCCTGGCCAACATGGCAAAACCTATTAAAAATACAAAAGTTAGGGCCGGGTGCGGTGGCTTACGCCTGTAATCCCAGCACTTTGGGAGGCCAGGGTGGGCAGATCGCGAGGTCAGGGATCGAGACCATCCTGGCCGACACTGCGAAAACCCATCTCTACTAAAAATACAAAAAATTAGCCGGGTGTGGTGGCACGCGCCTGTAGTCCCAGCTACTCCGGAGGCTGAGGCAGGAGAATTGCTTGAACTCGGGAGGCGGAGGTTGCAGTGAGCCGAAATCGCACCACTGCACTCAGCCTGGGCAACAGAGTGAGACTCCGTCTCAAAAAACAAACAAAAAAACCCAAAAAGTTAGCCAGGCGTGATGGCAGATGCCTGTAATCCCAGCTACTCGGGTGGCTGAGGCAGGAGAATCGCCTGAACCTGGGAGGCAGAGGTTGTAGTGAGCCGAGATCACACCATTGACCATTGCACTCCAACCTGGGCAACAAGAGTGAAACTCCGTCTCAAAGAAAGAAACAAACAATCAAAACACAGTGACTTCCAGGGCCAAATAATTGCTTAACTGTATCAACTCATCTAACTAATTCAACTGTAATACCAGTGCTTACACTGGGTGAAGGGTGGGGGGCATCACTTGAGGCCAGGAGTTTGAGACCAGCTTGGGCAACATAAAAAGACCTAATCTCTTTGGGGGGAGAAAAACAAAACAAAACACGACACTTTTTTTAAAGGTTAACATGACAAATTTTTCGTTTTGAAACGGAGTCTCGCTCTGTCGCCCAGGCTGGAGTGCTCTGGCGCGATCTCAGCTCACTGCAAGCTCCACCTCCCGGGTTCACACCATTCTCCTGCCTCAGCCTCTGGAGTAGCTGGGACCACAGGCGCCCGCCACCAGGCCCGGCTAATTTTTTTTTGTATTTTGAGTAGAGACGGAGTTTCACCGTGTTAGCCAGGATGGTCTCGATCTCCTGACCTCTTGGTCTGCCCACCTCGGCCTCCCAAAGTGCTGGATTACAGGCGTGAGCCGCCGCACCCGGCCCACATGATACATTTTACACAGCGCTTATCTCCCACACCTCGTCCAAGATGGAGGGAACCCTGGCTCCTCCGCATCCTCGGGCCTGGCCTAGCCTGATGCTATTAAACGGTCACCTTGCAAACCAGCTCCCCGCGTTCTGCCTCTCTCTTCATCAAGCAGTCTTCTGGCAACTGGACTAGAGACTTGCCTATGCGGACTAAAGGCGTGGGCCCGGGGACACGAGTGCCTGCTCCCCGGGGCGGTCCTGGTTCTCATGATGAATTAATACACTGGCAGTCTCATTCTCACTTGCCTTCCCACAGAGCCTGCCTGCCTGGGAGAGAATATGCCGGCAAAGGACCCCAGGCACTAGCAGCCCTGGCAGTGTTTAGCTCTTTACAGACTCACATGGGAGCGCCTCGAGAGACACACATTGCAGCCAGTCAGATGCCAATATGTGCTTTCTGGACCTGCAAGGCGGGGCCGGACTCTAGGGAGACAGCTAACCTGCCTGCTCCCAGGAACACACAGCCACTCATGTCCCCTGGCTATGTTCACTGTCTACTGCCTGAGTTCTCAACACTTCAGCTCCCTTCCTGAGGAGGTAACAAACAGCCAGGATGGACAGATACATTTGCTAAAGGCAACTCTTGACTGGGATAGCTCAGAAAAGGTAGCAAAAGATAGTTCTCCCAAGTCCTCCTTCATAATGAATCACAGCTGACGATAGAAATACAGTAACTGGGTCAACGGTGGCTCACAGAGACAACACCAAGTCATCAAAAAAACATGTTAGGGGGAGTGCCGCTGAAAATATTTTTATTTATTTTTTACTTAAAGGCCAGTGTAATTGTTTGTTTTTTCAGTTAAAGTGAAATGTTTAGCTGGGCACAGTGGCTCACGCCTGTAATCCTAGCACTTTGGGAGGCAGGCAGATTGCTTGAGCTCAAGCGTTTGAGACCAGCCTGGGTAACATGGTGAAACTCCATCTTCACCAAATACACAAAAATTAGCCAGGTGTGGAGGTGCACGCCTGTAGTCCCAGCTACTTGAGAGGCTGAGGCACGAGAATCACTTGAACCCAGGAGGTGGAGGTTGCAGTGAGCCAAGATCACATCACTGCACTCCAGCCTGGTAGGCGACTAAGCGAGAAAAAAAGAAAAAAGTGAAAATCTTTAACATAGGATTTGGATGGCCAAACCCTCGGGTCTCTGGAACACTCGGGATGGAGCAGCCCCAAAGGGCCAATGTCTCATCACCACCAGCTCTCAGGAAGTCCTTCTCACTCAGCTAAGAGCCAGGGCACGCTGCTGGGAGGTTTAGGTTTTAATTTAAACTGTGAGGTTATCAGGGTCAAAATTACCTTGATTCCACAGAACTCCTCGCAGGTGAGGGCCGCAAAGAGGATGGATTCCAGGACGTATGTTTGTTTTAACTTGATCGGTAACTTGGCTGGGTGAGCTATTCAAGTCACTTGTCCCACAATTAAAAATAACCCAAATAGCGGCCAGGTGCGGTGGCTTACACCTGTAATCCCAGCACTTTGCGAGGTTAAGGCAGGCAGATCACCTGAGGCCAGAAGTTCAAGACCAGCTTGGCCAACATAGCGAAACCCCATCTCTACTAAAAATACAAAAATTAGCCAGGCGTAGTGGTGGACACCTGGAATCCCAGCTACTCAGGAGGCTGAGGTTGCAGTGAACCGAGATTGCTCTACTGCACTCCAACTTGGGCGACAGAGCAAGACTCTGTCTCAAAATAAAATAAAATAACCCAAATACCCAGGGAACAAGAGGGGCAGCCCTGTCGGAGTGGATCAAAAAGCCTCTGCTCAAGAAGGCAAGGCTACTTCCTCTTTGGTCTGCTCTGAAACTTGCACTTAGTAAAGTGGGAGAAAGGAAGCTGGGTCACGCTGGCCCCAGCTCTGCCCTGTTGTTTTGCTCCCTTTCTGGGAAGAGGAGGAGTGAGGGTCTGCTGTGAAACCACTGTACGGCCACCAGGACATTCACACGGTGCCTGTTTCTTCTGCTTTTTAAAACGTCACCCAGATTCCACTGTCAAGAACTAATAAAGAGAGGAAAGTATCCACATTCCAGTTAATAAATTGTCTCTAAAGAGCAAAATCTGGCTGGGCACAGTGGCTCACGCCTGTAATCTCAGCCCTTTGGAAGGCCCAGGTGGGAGGATCACTTGAGGCCAAGAGTCCAAGACCAGCCTGGGTAACATAGGGAGACCCCCGCCTCTATAAAAAATTTCAAAATGAGCAAGGTGTGGTGGCATGTGCCTGTAGTCCCAACTACTCAGGAGGCTGAGGTGGGAGGTTCTGCTTGAGCCCAGGAGGTGGAGGCTGCAGTGAGACCCTGTCTAAAAAAAAAGCAGGGGCTGGGCGCAGTGGCTCATGCCTGTAATCCCAGCACTTTGGGAGGCTGAGGCAGGCAGATCACAAGATCAGGAGATCGAGACCATCCTGGCTAACAAGGTGAAACCATGTCTCTACTAAAAACACAAAAAATTAGTTGGGCGTGATGGTGGGTGCCCGTAGTCCCAGCTACTCAGGAGGCTGAAGCAGGAGAATGGCGTGAACCCGGGAGGCGGAGCTTGCAGTGAGCCAAGATCGCGCCACTGCACTCCAGCCTGGGCGACAGAGCAAGACTCCGTCTCAAAAAAAAAAAAAAAAAAAAAAAAAAGGAAAAAAACAAAAGCTCCAACTACTGCCATCTCACCTGTGACAGTGGCACATTTCTTGAGGCACTCCTCCTTGGTCAGGTAATTATTGCTGTTTCCGTCACAGCCCCCATACACAAACAGCTGGCAGGATCCGTCAGTGACATTGTACCACCACCTAGGCATGGAGGCCCGGCATCTGCCCACCACCTTCGACACCAGGCAGAAGTCTGAAACGCGAAGCACAACCCGGTTAGCTTGGCAGGGCAATCCTGGCAACAAAGGACACGCACAGACCTGTACATGGATCCCCCAGGAGAACCAGAGCCTTGAGTTCCAGCAGTTCCCCTGTGAGCTGTTTCCCAAGCCCAGATCGTCAACAGGCCCACTCAGTGCTTCCTTCCTTGTATAAACACATCACCCAACAATAAAGACAGCAACCCACCCACTGAACTGTATTTCAGTTGTGTGTTTTGTCCCCTGTCCCCATTATTGAAGACATGCACATCCAGTGTAGAAACATAACTTTATTTATTTATTTTGGAGAGAGAGTCTCACTCCATCGCCAGGCTGGAGTGTGGTGACTCGATCTCAGCTCACTGCAACCTCTGCCTCCCAGGTTCAAACGATTCTTTTGCCTCACCCTCCTAAGCAACTGGAACTACAGGCGTGCGCCACCATGCTGGGCTTTTTTTTTCTGAACTTTTAGTACAGATGGAGTTTCACCATGTTGCCCAGGAGGGTCTTCAACTCCTGAGATCAAGCAATCCGCCTGCCTCGGCCTCCCAAAGTGCTGGGATCACAGGCACGAGCCACTACGCCCAATGGAAACATGACTTAAAAAAAAAAAAACAAAACAAAACCTGACTCCAAGACCCTTCTGGATGCTGCCCCATCCCACAGGGCCAAGGGGAGCTTAGGGCTGAAAGGTCAGAGCCAGAGAAGTGAAGTTGGGAAGGAGAGGCGCTATCAGCACCCTCGGTAGTCCTCACACGTGCTTTTCCTGATCTTTCCTGTCCACTCTCTGCCCAGGCAGGCCACAGGACACTCAAATTACTGGAAGAGCCTCAGAAGGAAGCTTCTTAACTCGAGTGCCTGCAGCCCAGCCCATGGCTCCAAAGACAACACAGGTCCTACCCCTGCACCACGGCTTGTTACAGCTCCTATTTGGGCACACCAAGATGGGCCTGGGTTTCAAGGCACCCTCAAATCTGGCCCTACTTTAGTAAAAGGGAAACAAAAGCCAATGTTATAAAATTCCAGCCAGAAACACTTCTTGCAAAAGGTCGGTACGCTCTCTTGAAAGGGAGAGAGAAACAATTGCTAGAAGCAACACCTGCACCAAAATAAGCCTTTCCACTGGAAGGATTGAAGGCGACCTGAAAAGAAAACAGCCTGGCTGTGTGGCTCCATGTCTGCTCCTGTATCACGGTTATCACCCCTCCCTAACCCTGGCCTTCACCCACCTCTGCCTGCTCAGCACAAGGGCATTCCAACCTGCACAGGGCCTGGCACAGGATGCTTGATAAACATGTCTCCAATAAAAGCATCCCACAGCCAAACGCTTGCTTAGATGTTGTCATTGACTCCTCGCTAGTTGTTTTCATGTTTGTTAGGTTTGTTTCACCCACTAGGGATATATCTTCTGTTGTGTCTCCCCAAATATGTCACAGTGATGGGCATGAAACCAGATGTTCCACAGAACACTAATCAACGGACAAAAAAGGTTGCTACTCTGCAAAACAAACAAACACATACATGCCTCCAAGGAAATCCCACCCACACAATAGATCACAGGTAAGTAGCACAGCAGAAAAAGCATCTTCTGAAGCAGGAAATTCCCTATCATTTGAAAAAAGCTAACCATGAAAAGTCACCCGTTAGAGGGTACCTTATCTAGACACTTCATATGAATGAAAGTGTACAGTATGTCCATAAAAGGCAAATCAATAGACACAGGAAGTAGATGAGTGGCTGCTTGGTACTGGGGGTGGGAATGGGGAGTGATGGGTAAAAGGATCTTTAGGGGATGATGAAAATGTTCTAAAATTGGATTGTGGCAATAGCTGCACAGCTCTGTAGAAGGTGCTAAAATCCTTGGATGATATACTTAAAACGAGTGATTTTATGATAATTTTTTTTTTTTTGAGACAGAGTTTCACTCTTGTTGCCCAGGCTGGAGTGCAGAGGCGTGATCTCCGCTAACTGCAACCTCCACCTCCCAGGTTCAAGCTGTTCTCCTGCCTCAGCCTCCCAAGTAGCTGGGATTACAGGCATGCACCACCACACCTGGCTAATTTTGTATTTTTAGTAGAGATGGGGTGTCACCATGTTGGCCAGGCTGGTCTCGAACTTCTGACCTCAGGTGATCCGCCCATCTCAGCCTCCCAAAGTGTTGGGATTACAGGTATGAGCCACCGCGCCCGGCCTATATAATTGTTTTTGAGATAGGGTCTTCCTCTGTCACCTAAGCTGGAGTGCAGTGGCAGGACCATGGCTCACTGAAGCCTTGCCTCCTAGGCTCAAGTGATCCTCCCACCTCAGCCTCCTGAGTAGCTGGGACTACAAGCAGAAAAAAAATTTTTTTTTTAAATAGGGGCACCTTTTGTCCATTACACATCAACCAAAACCAGCTGGCTGTACACCTGGAACAGGTACAATATGCCAAAGGTCACAAAACACATAATCAACAAGGTCCAGAGAAAACAGCAGGAGGAGGTCCTCTGGTGTGTGACTCTGCCCACCCCAACGCTGGGAGCAACACTGCCACCAACAAGACGAGATGAAGAGGACCCACGTGGGACCCAATTACAATCCAAAGCTGAAAACAGCATCAAGGCAAGAGCACCCAACAGCTACAGAGGCGCCAGCAGCCTCTCCGCCGCCCTGCCACAGTGAGCCCTGGCAGCCCCTCTGGCTGCTTTGTGTCTTAGCTTCCTAAGCAGTGTCAGACACAGCCTTTTTCCACAATAAACTTCAGGGGAATATTGTACACCTTAAATGGGTGAATCATATGGCATGTGAATTACATCTCAAAACAAAAACCAATAACCTGAGGGAGGGCCCAACAACACCCGGCGCCCAGGCAGGAACCACCCGACACCACACCTGAGAATGAAGCAGGGTGACCCACAGTATCATGGCAGGAATTCGGTAACTTCGTAAGTAAGGGTGCCAGGTACACGTGGCATGTGCCTGAGGGTGTGTAGGAGAAAAAATGCCTATTGAGGGATGGATGGCAGTTACCTTGGTGAATTCAACCCTGCCTAGAACCTGGCCAACATCTTTATAGGCCCAGACATGCACTCTTGCCAGTGCCCTCGTGCTGAGGAGACACAGGAGCACTGGCCTCAGCTAACAGCGCACGGGATGATACATGAGACCACAGCAGCAGGTGATGAATTTACAGTGAGAACATCACTGTATTCTGTCAAGCAGGTTGCATGCTGATGTGAATCAGCAAAACACCTTGGAAAGCAAGCATCAATGGAACACGATGCTTGAAGTCAGAATAAAGTTAGTTTACTGTATGATTCCTAAGAACATTCTCACCAACAGAATCTGTCAGGCAGGCCAAATGCTCACAGTAGCGGCTGAGGACAGCTCTTCCGGAGCACGGTCACGATCTGTCCCTGAGACGCTTCCTTTCTGGGGTGCTGCTGTGAGCCAGTGCCTCTTCTAGCTTGGATGCTTTCTGTTGACGTGCTGGGGGCTTCATGACAAGTCTTGCGAGCCTGGGAAGCCATTCTGTGTCTAGACAGCTGCTTACATCTGCTCTAAATATCACTGACTTAGTAGTTTAAGTTTCAGAAAGCAGCCTTATTTTCAGGTTCCTTCGGTAAAGTAGGAAGGAAAGGTAGAACTTCACTGTTGTCCCAGGAGAATTTAGAAACATGTCTTTATGGTCAGGCATGGTGGCTCACGCCTGTAATCCCAGCACTTTGGGAGGGTGAGGTGGGCGGATCACCTGAGGTCAGGAGTTCGAGACCAGCCTGGCCAACATGGCGAAACCCCATCTCTACTAAAAATACAAAAATTAGCTGGGCATGGTGGTGGGCACCTGTAGTCCCAGCTACTCAGGAAGCTGAGGCAGGAGAATCACTTGAGCCCGCAAGGCGGAGGTTGCAGTGAGCCAAGATCTTGCCATCGCACTCCAGCCTGGGCGACAGAGCAACGCTCAGTCTCAAACAAACAAAAAAGAAAAAGAAAAAGTCTCTTTATTAAGAGAAAACTTGGACTAAAAACATGTCTGAAAGACAGATGTTGGTAGTTGTTGAAGCTGTGTGATGGTGCATGGGGGTTTACAAAATGTGTCACTGCTTTGTATATACTTGAAAATTATTATAATAATTTTTTTTTAAGATGGAGTTTTGCTCTTGTTGCCCAGGCTGGAATGCAATGGTGCGATCTCGGCTCACTGCAACCTCCACCTCCCAGGTTCAAGTGATTCTCCTGCCTCAGCCTCCTGAGTAGCTGGGATTATAGGACTGCGCCATCACACCAGCTAATTTCGTATTTTTAGGAGAGACGCGGTTTCTCAATGTTGGTGAGGCTGGTCTCGAACTCCTGACCTCAGGTGATCCACCTGCCTCGGGTTCCCAAAGTGCTGGGTTTACAGGCACGAGCCACCGCACCTGGCCAAAAAAAAAATTTTTTTTTTTTTTACTCAAATTTCATTTGAGTAAAAGAGTTCTAAGTAGCAGATTAATTGGCTGAAGTTAGGTCCAAATAAGACTAAATTTAACCATGTCCTTACTATGTTAAGACACACATCTTTTTGTGAGTATGGAAGGAAGCTCCTCGTTGAAGACAAATCGTCTCATCTTGTCACATGCTTTCACTAACTGAATTGTTTTTAAGCATCTATGATGTAAACTTTACTCTCAGGCCTGAGAGAACTGAAGTCATGAAAAGGGATTTTGTTTGCTCATTTGTTTTAATGGAGGCAGTGTTCCTTCAGGAAACACAGGCCATATAGTATTCACTTCCACCACAAATAACAACAGTGCATTTTCTCATTCACTGTTCTGCAAAAACCTTGTATTTATTTATTTTGAGACTCAGTCTTACTCTGTCACCCAGGCTGGAGTACAGTGGCATGATCACAGCTCACTGCAGCCTCGACCTCCTGAGCTCAAGCAATCCTTCCATCTCAGCCTCCTGAGTAGCTGGAACTACAGGCACCCACCACCACGCCTGGCTAACTTTAATTTTTTGTAAAGATGGGGTTCTCACCATGTTGCCCAGGCTGGTCTCAAGTGATCCTGCTGCCTCCGCCTCTGAAAGTGCTGGGATCATAGGCATGAGCCACAGCACCTGGCTGCATTACTTATTGCCTTCGCCAAGCATGATGCCTGGCATATCATGTGCCCTACCTCTAATGGTCACAATAAAACTGTGAATCACGTAATAATATCTCCGCTTTACAAACGAGAATGCTGAGACTTGAGGTGGTTAAAGTGAGGCAGCCAGCAGTGCCAGGATGAGTTCCCTGTGGTCTGATGAGAGCCCAGGCACTAACACGACCCTTCAGACTGATGGGAAGAAAAAGCCACTGCATCAACAGGCAGCAGGAAAACAGAACTGAGGTTGCCTAAAAGCCAAAACATTCCTCAGGGTCTTTATCACAATCTGAGGGCTCACAAAGGCCAGGCCCTCTGCCAGGCCTCTGTTTTCAGTCACACTCAATGACAGGGTCACGGACACCAACATACCAAAGGAAACGGCCAGGGCTGGGGGGGAAATGGGCTGGACACATTTTTAGAAAGTTATTCCTTAATGAGGAATTCTATTATTATGAAATGACAAAATGCTATGTTGGTCTTAGAATAGTATTGGGAAGCAATCATGAAAAATATGACTCAAGTGCTATTTTGTATGCTCACAAATGGTAGGGCAAAATTAAGTACATTCTGTATGTTTTCAAAACGGAGACGGACCAACAGGAAAATGCTGAAAGGAACCAAATTTGGATGAACTCATAAGCTTCAGAATATCTAAGCAAAAGTAGAATTCCTGCCTTTAGGGAAGAGTAACTTTCTTTTGGAAAAGCATCAGAAATGGCAAAAGTCACACATTATCCGAAATATGAACCTCACTTACAAAATCCTCGCAGGCATTCTGAATGTCAGCTATTGCAAAATTGCAAAGCAAACTGGTCTTTGAATGTGTTGGAAAACAAGTTTCTCTGGTTCTGAAGTCACTAGAGCTTTAACCAAGACAATCAGCCGGTGACTAAGACAACAATCTACAGTCTGCTGGATAGATCTGCTGTCACCTTCTAAGAAGGACATTATAGAATTCTGAGGGGTCCCAAGTACTACCAATCTAATCTAATTTTATAGGCTTAGCAAGATAGTACTGGGCCAGTGGCTCACATCTGTAATCCCAGCACTTTGGGAGGCTGAGACGAGCAAATTGCTTGAGCTCAAAAATACAAAAAAAATGAGCCGGGTGTGGTGGTGTGCACCTGCAGTCCCAGCTACTTGAGAGGCTAAGGTAGGAGGATCACCTGTACCGGGAGGCAGAGGATGCAGTGAGCTGAGATTGCGCCACTGCACTCAGGCCTGGGTGACAGAGACCTCATCTCAAAAACAAAAAAACAAAAAAACAAAACAGATGAGATAGTACCTAATCATTTTCCAAAAATGCATAATTGCAGCTGTGTCTACTTTGCAAAGTAAGAACTTTAATGAAATATTTCAAATATGCTGATGAGTACAGAAAATACCCCATGTCTGGTATATCCACATCTCAGTGTCATCAAATTCTAACATTCTCAAGGACTAAAACATAGAGTAGGCCTGCTGGGCAGATCACCTGGGGTTAGGAGTTCGAGACCAGCCTGGCCAATATGGTGAAACCCCATCTCTACTGAAAAATACAAAAATTAGCCGGGTGTGGTAGCACGTGCCTGTAGTCTCAGCTCCTCGGGAGGCTGAGGCAGGAGAATCGCTTGAACCCAAGAGGTGGAGGTTGCAGTGAGCCGAGATCACGCCACTGCACTCCAGCCTGGGCAACAAAGCGAGACTTTGTTCTCCAAAAATAAATTAATAAATA
Organism: Homo sapiens; assembly: GCF_000001405.40. Taxonomy (NCBI): domain Eukaryota; kingdom Metazoa; phylum Chordata; class Mammalia; order Primates; family Hominidae; genus Homo; species Homo sapiens. The sequence continues at coordinate 38,276,797 of NC_000019.10, read as the reverse complement.
AAACATATGGATAGAGCAGAAACCCTTTGCATACCCCTCATTCAATCACATTTGCTCTGCCTCTTCCAAATTAACCCCCTACCACCTTGAACTTGGTGTCTTATTTCATTCATGTTTTTATATCCATTAAAATAAGCTTTGTTTGTTTGTTTTTTTGAGATGGAGTCTCGCTCTGTCGCCCAGGCTGGAGTGCAGTGGTGCGATCTTGGCTCACTGAAAGCTCCGCCTCCTGGGTTCACGCCATTCCCCTGCCTCAGCCTCCCGAGTAGCTGGGACTACAGGCGCCCGCCACCACACGCGGCTGATTTTTGTATTTTTAGTAGAGACAGGGTTTCACCATGTTAGCCACAGTGGTTTCGATCTCCTGACCTTGTAAGTCCACCCGCCTCGGCCTCCCGAAGTGCTGGGATTACAGGCGTGAGCCACCACGCCTGGCCCCAAAACAAGCTTATTTTTAAAACAAGCAAAAATAACTCCTAGGGTTCTAGTTATTGACAGACTCCCATGAGTGCTATGAGCTGAGGCACAAGAGCTTCTTGCCTCACCACGTGCAGGACAGGAAAGCCCAAAGCCACTCCTGAAATGCTTCTCCTCCTCCTCCTCCCACCCATCTGTTTTTTCTAGAACAAGGGTCTGCAAATGTTTTCTATAAGGGGCCAAATACTGAATACAAGCAGCAATTGGCCTGCCCGTCAGTGTGTGATCACACAAAGCAATCTCATAATCAGTGGGAAAAATGATACTGCTCAATGACATTTAAAAATTTTTGTCAGCTGGGCGTGGTGGCTCACACCTGTAATCCCAGCACTTTGGGAGGCCGAGGCAGGTGGATCACTTGAGGTCAGGAGTTCGAGACCAGCCTGACCAATATGGAGAAACCCCGTCTGTACTAAAAATACAAAATTAGCCGGGCGTGGTGGTGCATGCCTGTAATCCCAGCTATTCTGGAGGCTGAGGCAGGAGAATCGTTTGAACCCAGGAGGCACAGGTTGCAGTGAGCTGATCCATTGCACTCCAGCCTGGGCAACAAGAGTGAAACTTCATCTCTCAAAAAAAAAAAAAAATTTTTTTGTCAAGCTGGGCATGGTGGCTCATACCTATAATCCCAGCACTTTGGGAGGCCGAGGCAGGAGGATCATTTGAGGTCACGAGTTCAAGACCAGCCTGGGCAACATAGTGAGACCCTGTCTCTACAAAAAATAAAAAAATTTTTTTGGCCAGATACAGTGGCTCACACCTGTGGTCAGGATTTCAAGACCACCCTGGCTATCATGGCGAAACCCCATCTCTACTAAAAATATAAAACTTAGCCCGGCACAGTGGCGCGCGCCTGTAGTCCCAGCTACTCGGGAGGCTGAGGCGGGACAATCACTTGAACTCAGGAGGCGGAGGTTGCAGTGAGCTGAGATCGCACCACTGCACTCTAGCCTGGGCGACAGAGCAAGACCCTGTGTCAAAAAAATAAGGAAAGAAAAACTCTATTGGCTATAAATGCACAGAGTAACAAAACAAAACAAAACAAACAAACAGAAAGAATGTTTATTTAGCATACTGTAAGTTAAAACATTGGAAACATTTAGGATTAAAGTGTTAATTTCTGTGCAAAAGAATTTCTAAGGGGAGTTTGAACCGTGCTTGTGGTCTTCTCACCATATAACTTACGATACAGAGCAAGCATCATTTCTACACCTTTTCCAGCAATTGCCAAACACTTTTCTAGATCTGGATCAGCTTTCAACGTTTTATCCTTTGCTCTTTCAATGTCACAAAATTGCTCGCAGAGCTGCTTCACAGAAGAGGCTCTGCCAGTGTTGCTTCCTCTGGGCCACCATCCAGAAAGTCACAACTGCCGCCCTCATTTCCGTGGACAAGAAGCCTTCACAAGCTCCCTGGCTGCAGATCCAGAGTCTCTCCAGTGGCAGAGGGAAGTGCAACACCTCCCGTAAGCTGGTCTACCTCTCCATTTTATGTTTTTTTTTTTTTTTAAGACAGTCTCACTCTGTCGTCCAGGCTGGAATGCAATAGTGCGATCTAGGCTCACTGCAACCTCTGCCTCCCGGGTTCAAGTCATCTCCTGCCTCAGCCTCCTGAGTAGCTAGGACTCCAGGAGTGTACTACCACACCTGGCTACTTTGTGTATTTTCAGTAGATAGGGTTTTGCTGTGCTGGCCAGGCTGGCCTCAAACTCCTAACCTCAAGTGATCTGCCTACCTCGGCCTCCCAAAGTGCTGGGATTACAGGCGTGAGCCACCTTAGCGAAAAACACTGCAGAACACCTTTCCTAAAAACAACTAACATCACTAAAAACAAGTCTCCTCTTTTCATTAAAAACACTTGGAATTCTAAGGATAGTAGCCAAGGAGAAGTTATTTGCTATAAAAATCCCCAGACATGCCACTCCTTAGTATCAAAAAGCAAAGAAAGCTCTGAAGAGTCATTTAATCCAAGAGTTTCAAAGAACTCCATCTCAAAAAAAAAGAAAGAAAAAACATTGTTGTGAAGATTAAAGGAGTTTTTAATCCATTATAATTGCTTAAAATAGTATTTAGCACACAGCTTTCTTTTTTTTTTTGAGACAGGGACTTGCCCTGTCACCCAGGCTGGAGTACAGTGGTACAATCTTGGCTCACAGTAGCCTTGACCTGTGCTCAGTGACCCACCCACCTCAGCCTCCAAGTAGCTGGGACTATAGGCGTGTGCCACCATACCCGGTTAATTTTTGCATTTTTTGTAGAAACGAGGTTTCACCATGTTGCCCAGACTAGTATTGAAGTCCTGGGCTCAAATGATCCACCCGCCTCGGCCTCCTGAAGTGCTGGGATTACAGGCGTGAGCCACCGCACCTGGCCTAGCACAAAACTTTTAACAAATAGTAGATATTGTATCTTTACGATTGTATTTTTTATGAAGACAGGACTAATATAGGGACAGTCAGAATAAAGAGAATGACACATTTCACTACAGAGTCCAACCAAGCATGCTGACGGAGAGGATAAGGAGGAAGAGGATATACAGGGAAGGCCAAAAGTACAACCTCAAGCCAAACCAATGATGTCTTATCTTCACCTGGAGGAAGACAATGGCAAACCACCACACGGGTCAAAGTCCTGCATGGCTACAAGATCAGGATATGCTGGGCTGGGAGGCAGAAAGCCAGAGGGAGGGACTGGTGGAAAAAACAAATACCAAAACAAATGAAGCAACACAAACCCTCCATGCTTTCCACACCTACTTGCACTTGCACTTCAAGCATCTTTTCACCAGGGAATGAATGAGAGCATCTTAAAAAGAGGTACTGAGGCCGGGCACAGTGGCTCATGCCTGTAAGCCCAGCACTCTGGGAGGCCGAGGCAGATCACCTGAAGTCAGGAGTTCAAGAAAACAGGTACTGAATGACAGGAGGTACTGAAGCCTATTTCAATTCTACCAAGCCAGATTCCAAAGGTGACATTTACTGTGTAATCAGCCTTATTTTAAGATGATCTATAAATCTACCTACTTTGGTTAGCTGGCTAGGTTCTATATATTTGAGTGTTTCTGTTTCCAGTACAGAAAGCTACCAACTACCCATCTCCTCTAGGCTTGGGTGTCTGGAAGTTTTCATTATTGAGACAATTCAGAACCTTTCAAAAAAAAACCTCAGGTATTTATGAGGAAAGAACATTTACAATTACAAATCCTACTTAAGTTATGAGGCTCATAAAATCTTGGTGTTTCAGATATAAAATCTTGGTATTTTCTATATAAAATATTTAGATATAAAAGTTTACATTTCAGGCCGGGCACGGTGGCTCACGCCTGTAACCCCAGCACTCTGGGAGGCTGAGGCAGGTGGATCACCTGAGGTCAGGAGTTCAACACCAGCCTGGCCAACATGGTGAAACCCCGTCTCTACTAAAAATACAAAAAAATGAGCCGGGCGTGGTGGTGCATGCTTGTAATCCCAGTTACTCAGGAGGCTGAGGCAGGAGAATCGCTTGAACCCAGAAGGTGGAGGTTGCAGTGAGCCGAGATCGCACCACTGCACTCCAGAGTCTGGGCGACAGAGACTCCATATCAAAAAATAAAAAATTTACATTTCATAACCTATCAGCACAATGCAACTCATCACTACTCATGCCTACCATCACTCCATATTCCACTCTGAAACAAGACTATTAAGTCTACCCTCGCCTCAATCCATAACAAGAACCCGAGCAGTCCATCTGAATAGCTGGGAAGGAAACAATAGTTTCAAATCTTCTAAGAAACTGTCTGCTGTTAATTCGCATTCAGCCATTCTTTACCTTGTGCAAATCATGGACCATTTTCAGAACTGAGGAAAGCTCTTGGACCCTCTCTCTGGAATGGTGTTTCTCAACCTTTTTTCATTACTACCTTCCCCCTAAGACTTTTTGGAAATGTTTTTCCTAATCGCCCCACAAAATTTTAACACCACAGACATACTATATATCTATTCATGTAGAGCGGCCCTTCAAAAGGTCACAAACTATTATAGTATCTTTTTGTTCCCCCACCCCTTTAAGAACATGCCATACACTCTAAATGACAGACCCTGGCATACACATGGACAAACTATCACATATAAAATTGTTTTGAGATGGGGTCTCGCTCTGTCGCCCAGGCTGGAGTGCAATGGTGCGATCTCGGCTCACTGCAACCTCCACTTCCTGGGCTCAAGCAATTCTCCCACCTCAGCCTCCCACATAGCTGGGACTACAGGCTGACTAGTTTTTTGTATTTTTTGTTTCACCATGTTGAAACTCCTCAGTCAAGCAATCCACCTGCCTCAGCCCCCCAAAGTGCTGGGATTACAAGCGTGAGCCATTGTGCCCAGCAGTATCACATAAAAGTGAAGGACTTCAGATTAAGGGACTTCTGAGGCCATGGACCCTGGGCCCAGTCAGGAATCACCCTGAGCTCCATCTCCAACACGTGTGAGTAAAACAACATGTGAATTCTTGCCCTCTTTTTTTTCTGAGATGGAGTCTCACTCTGTCTCCCAGGCTGGACTGCAGTGGCGTGATCTCGGCTCACTGCAACCTCCACCCTCCGAGTTCAAGCGATTCTCCTGCCTCAGCCTCCAGGCGCCTGCCACTGCACCCGGCTAATTTTTTTTTGTATTTTTAGTAGAGATGGGGTTTCAACATCTTGGCCAGGCTGGTCTTGAACTCCTGATCTCGTGATCCACCCACCTCGGCCTCCCAAAGTGCTGGGATTACAGGCATGAGCCACTGTACCCGGCCAAACATGTGGTGGTCTCTTGTAAGTGGCTCCTCTCACTTAGCATAACATTTTTTTTTTTTTTGAGAGAGTCTTGCTCTGTTGCCCAGGCTGGAGTGCAGTGGCATGATCTCAGCTCACTGCAAGCTCCACTTCCTGGGTTCACGCCATTCTCCTGCCTTAGCCTCCCAGATAGCTGGGACTATAGGCGCCCGCCACCACGCGAGGCTAATTTTTTTGTATTTTTAGTAGAAACGGGTTTTCACCGTGTTAGCCAGGATGGTCTCGATCTCCTGATCTCGTGACCCGCCTGCCTCGGCCTCCCAAAGTGCTGGGGTTACAGGCATGAGCCACCGCGCCCGGCCTCGCCCTCATTTCTAAAATGGCTTCTAATCATAAAAAGCATATTTCAAATAAACTTCAAAATAAGTAAACTCTAGCTCCTACTTCACCTGCCAAGGAAAATAAAACAACAAAAAAAGGTAAATAAACTCCAAAGTTCCTGGGCCTCAGCATCAACATCAGCACTTCTTTACAGGGAGTTTTCAAAAAGATGTTGCCAGAAAAAAACCATGAAATGACACTTGTGAGGAGGATCTTGCAGGACATCGGAATCCACACTCTAATGTCCACATTAGTCATGGCCGGTGGGCCAAGGCCTCCTGGGGCTAATGGAGTCATTTCAGTGTGACTCCTGCTGGGCTCTCTCCCGCCTCACATGAGCCACAGGCTTATCACCCCTTATTCAGCCTCCCCTGTAGCCTCCAGACATGGCAAACAGAAGCTCTGCATGCATTCTGCAAATGGCTGGGGATGGGTAAAATGAGAAACAGGGTGGGGAGCAGGGTGAAAGAGGAGAAGTGTGATTTCTCCATTGCAGGCTGAGCTCTCAAATACTGACTGGGCAAAGCAATGTTTCCAGTGGAAAGGGGCCAGTCTCCCGCGGTGACCTGAAGGCAAGGCCCTCAACCTTCTTTAGGAACTGCAACCATTTGAACCTCAGAAGCCCCCATTTTCAGTGCTAAGCACACCAACCCTGACACTCATCACCAGACATACATTCATCTGTTCATTTATTGTACTGTCTTCCTCTCATTATGACACGTCTGCCACGGATGGGGGAGGGGGTCTATTTTGTTCAGTGCTCTAATTTGAGTGAGTCAGTGCCTGGCAATTGGTGGGTGCTCAATAAACATTTGCTGACTATATCAGTGAATAAGATTTCGAACTACCCTGGAACCAAACTGCCTTGCCTGCAAGTAGGACAAGCACTCCTTCTATGGAGGATAAGAATAATGTGAGAAGCTGTTTTAGAGAATTCCCAGCTGATCGCCAACACCAGCTTTACTTTAGCTCTTCTGTCATCTTATCTCTGACCACCAGGGTCACGACTATCCATGGGGGTGAGGAGGAAAGTAAAGAAAGGGTGGCAACTAATAACACGTCTGTGGAGTCTGCTGGAAAGCTTACAGCAGTTAAGGTTCTACAGACACTATAATTAACCTGAGAGGTCCATGCATTTCGAAAATCCCTTGGAAGTGCAGGAGAGGGCTGGGCCACGTGGCTCGAGCCTGTAATCCCAGCACTTTGAGAGGCTGAGGTGGGCAGATCACCTGAGGTCGGGAGTTCGAGACCAGCCTGGCCCACATGTTGAAATCCCATCTCAGGCCGGGCGCGGTGGCTCACGCCTGTAATCCCAGCACTTTGGGAGGCCGAGGCGGGCAGATCACAAGGTCAGGAGATCAAGACCATCCTGGCTAACACGGTGAAACCCCGTCTCTACTAAAAATACAAAAAATTAGCCGGGCGTGGCGGCAGGTGCCTGTAGTCCCAGTACTCGGGAGGCTGAGGCAGGAGAATGGTGTGAACCCAGGAGGCGGAGCTTGCAGTGAGCCGAGAACGCGCCACTGCACTCCGGCCTGGGCGACAGAGCGAGACACTCCGTCTCAAAAAAAAAAAAAAAAAAAGAAAAGAAATCCCATCTCAACTAAAAATACAAAAATTAGCTGGGTGTGGTGGTGCACACCTGTAACCCCAGCTACTCAGGCGGATGAGGCAGGAGAATCACTTGAACCCAGGAGGCAGAGGCTGCAATGAGCCAAGATGGCGCCACTGCACTCCAGTCTGAGTGACACAGCAAGACTCTGTCTCAAAAAAAAAAAAAAAAAAAAAAAGGTGCAGGAGAGGTTCTCAAATAAGTGTTGCCCTGCTTGCCTCCAGTGGAAATTCCCAAGAAGAATCAACAAAGGACCTTGAACCATCCTGGCTAACACGGTGGTGAGACCCTGTCTCTACTAAAAATACAAAAAATTAGCCGGGCGTGGTGGCGGGCGCCTGTAGTCCCAGCTACTCAGGAGGCTGAAGCAGGAGAATGATGTGAACCCGGGAGGTGGAGATTGCAGTGAGCTGAGATCGCGCTACTGCACTCCAGACTGGGCGATGAGAGAGACTCCGTCTCAAAAAAAAACCCAAAAAAACAAAAACAAACAAAAACAAAAACAAAAGACCTTAAGCCAAGTAACCATTAACACAAGTTCTGATGCCCAGGGCCAGGCACAAAGTTATTGGCAGCAAGAACTACACCTAACTGGCCACTCCTAAAGGACCTTTCAAGTTTCTATTCTGCTGAGGAAATATATGATCTGGCCTGGTGTTGAGCAACATTACACATTTCAGGACCCTCCAAATACCAGGATTTACCACCTGGGTGGGGAAAAGGAAAAGAAAAAAATCCTGCATATCTGCAGCTACCTGATATAAGGATTTCCCCAACAGCCAGCCGTAACACACACACACACACACACACACGCGCGCGCGCATGCTCTCTCTCTGTCTCACACTGTAATGTGCAATTTATAAAGAACTGTTACGTGTTACCATTTACTAAATGGAGCATATGTTTAAGGTAGGGGTCACAAGCCAAAGGCCTACAGAGACAGAGGGCAAGCAGTAGCTGAGATGAGGCAAGCTGAGTAAGATCTACAGGCTAGGGAATGGCATATCTCCTGCCTGAAAGAGGTACTCGGCTCCTGCCAGGGACTGCTGGGCAGGAAAACAGGCCTGTGTTCTGGTTTGGTTCCATTACATCTTCATGTCTTTCAGGCAAAGCCAAAAACTACATTTTTACGTTTAAAAAATCCCAATTCTGGAAAAAGTACAAGTCACATAAAGGCTGTGTGAAGCTTCCTGGGAGTGGACAGTTTATAATCTCTGCGTGCTTTCCACTCCAGACGGTAACTGTCCCTAACGCTAGATAGGGGAGCTTTCTCACCTGGCATAAGCTCAGCTTTCCCCCCACCTCTGTCTGCAGAGGTTGGAGTCAGGACACTCTTTGTCCGGCCCGTCCACCTGTCCCTTCCCACCTGCCCTCACTACTCAGAGCGTCACCAACACATCAATCATAGACCACATGATGCTTCTCACAAGAAGCCCCGACCCCTGAGTTAACCCTCACTCTCACACGGTGGGGCCTGCTTTGTCCCCATCTCCCCTCCCCCAACTCCTGGGCCCTCTGGTACTCAGGACTGGTCTTGAGCAAATCTTCCATGTCCTCAATCTCCTCTGAACATTGTTGCCACCCTCTTACCTAATTGGAATCTCCCCTGAGGGCACACCTCCTGGGGCCCTTCCAAGTGGGGAGGTCTCCTTGCTCCTGGGAGCTGCTTCTGGACTGTTCTCCCTCCACCCTCCCCAAAATCCCCAGCTGGGAGACTTCCATTATTAGAGTAAATCATTCACTACCCCGCCTGGCACGTTATCTGCCAACCCAGACAACTACTTCTTCCTTCCCAACTTTAGCTCCGGGCCTGCCACCTCTCCCGCTGCTCTTATGATCATTCTTGGAGATTTCTATATCCAGGTAGATGGTCCTCTGACCTCTAGGTCCCAAGACCTCCACCTGATCTCCTCCCACCCTCGCCCCCCCGCTTCCTCTCAGGGTCACACCTAGACCTGTCTCAGTAACTGCCACCTCTTCAGAACCTCCCTCTCATGCATCTCACTCACTACCCACTGCATCCTATCTGTCTGGTTCATTCCCTTCAGAACCTCAACTCCAACAATCTGCTGGCCCTACCATCTACCTCGGCCCTCCGCCCCCTCATGTTTTCATACAGAATAAATTCCTTGACCAACCCCCATCCTCCCTCCCTCACACATTCTCTGTTCACTCCTCCCTCACCACCACACTCATCCAGCAGCACCTGAGCCACTGCATGGAGCTTCAGCAACACCACACTCCCAGTGGATGACTCGCTTCCGGAGAAAACAGAAGCAATCAGGAAGGAGCGAGGAAAAAAAAGTCAAAACTGCCTTCTGCCTCCGATTAAGCTGTTCAAGCTTTCAAACAAACAGAACTTACGATGAGTGAGGGCATGAGTTCACCCAGTCAGACACTAGTACTTCTGAAAGGTCAGTAGGTCCAGTCGGCAGCAGCAGTCAGGTAGGCCACTCTGAACAGAGAAGGCCTCTGCAGTGAGACCTGGCTTTGTCAATTACTACTACCGAGTGACCTCGGGCAAGGCAAGTAACTTCACCACCGCACCCGGCTGTTTCAAAGGTTAAATGGCACATCCCAGCTCAGAGTAAGCACCAGAGGTAGCAAGAGGCCATGTCCCAGCTCAGAGTAAGCACCAGAGGTAGCAAGAGGCCAGGTAACTGGGAGGTACATCCTAACGTAATTACTTAAACTGAAAAAGTCCAGCAGAGCTGCCAAATTCTGGTTCGAATTGCAAGAATGATCAACGTCTGCATTCCTGACTCCCAGTCACCTACAGCTGAGCCTCTCCCCACCAATTCACTTTTTTCTCCTGCCTAGGGCACAGAGAAATTAACCAGTCCCCAGAAGTTACCACAGGTGATGACTTGGTACACACCTAGCCTGCTCTTTTTTTTTTTTTTGAGACTGAGTCTTGCTGTGTCGCCCAGGCTGCTGTGCAGTGGCTTGATCTCAGCTCACTACAGCCTCCGCCTCTGGGCTTCAAGCGATTCTCCTGCCTCAGCCTCCCGAGTAGCCGGGACTACAGGTGTGCACCACCATGCCCAGCTAATTTTTGTATTTTTGGTAGAGACGGGGTTTCATCATGTTGCCTAGGGTGGTGTTGAACTCCTGGCCTCCAGTGATCTGCCCGCCTTGGCCTCCCAAAGTTCTAGGATTACAGGCATGAGCCACATCACCCGGCCTTCTTTTTTTTTTTTTGAGATGGGAGTTTCACTCTTGTTGCCCAAGCTGGAATGCAGTGGCGCGATCTTGGCTCACTGCAACATCCGCCTCCCGGGTTCAAGCACCAGCACCTGTCTATAAAGCCCTAGGCCATCTGGCTGCAGCCAACCTCTCCCACCTCCCATCCTCCTCCAGTCCTCCCCTCCTTCACGCCTGCTCCAGCCAGGCTGGCTCTGTCTTTTCCCTGAACCCAACCAAGCTTGTTCCAGCTTCAAGGCCTTTGTACTCTATTGCCTGCAACTGGACACTGGTCCCCCAGGTCTCCGTGTGGCTACTGCCTCATTCTTCATGTTAGAGCTCAGATGTCACCCTCCTCACGGAGACGTCCCCCGACCACCTGAGCTAAAGCCGCCCCCAACATCTTACGTCACCCTGTTGGTGTACTTCACCTGGTTCATTTAATTCTCAGTAACTTAATCTCATGGCAAGTGCTTTTTAAACCTTCACTAGCTCTGCCTCTCCCACTGGAATATTAGCTCTGTGAATGCAGGAACCCAGCTAGTCTGAGTTAACTGTTATAACCAGCGCCAGTGCCTGACACGTAGCAGGGCCTCAGTAAGTTTTGCTGAATCAATGAATTCTTGCTTTCAAGAGAGCTCTTTTCAAAACACGCTGGTGCTTGTCTGAAGCAGTTAAGGTTATAACAACACTTGTTCAAAGAGACCTTTCAGACCACACTTCCTTAAGAGTGTAGAAGTTTAAATCACCTTATTCACCACCGACTTCTAAGGGCCAATCCAAAGACCCCAACACCAGCTGCTCAACGCCAATACTCTCTCGAGCCTTAGCAGAGCTTCCTCTTCCCCAAAGCTTGTTTCCTTTCTTGCTCCCTCCTTCTCGGGCACCTACTTTACTGCAACTCAACTACAAAAACTTCAGGGGAGGCTCTTGTCCAATCTCCAAAGAGGCAGGGGTGAGATGGGCTTCTTCCGAGTCTAAAACGGCCACCAGGTCACCCAACCCAACCCCCACCATCTCACAGGCCTGGCCTCTCCCTGAGCTTTGGCCATGGAACTTTCCACCGCCAGGAGAAGGCTGGTCTTCAATTCGGCTCCTCACCCCGTTCTTGCCACAGGAAGGGGCAGTGCCACGCCTTCTTGGTCAATACCCCTTGACTCTTCCTCCACCCGAAGGAAACTCTCCTAACCCTCGCTCCTCCGCCCGTCTTCGCTGTCGAAGGCTCCCAAACCTCATTTCAAGGCTCAATCCTCCAGGGCTGGTTCCACCACACCCGCTGAACGCCATCAAGTAGCCCCCAGTTTCCTCCCCCGCCAGTTCTCCCTGCTCAGACCCCCGTTGACCCCCGAGCCTCTGCCCCCTGCGCCCCGCCTCCAGCCTACCCGCCCGGCCCTCACCGTGGATGCTGCGTTCTCGGTCGGCCGCCAGGACCCCAGAGAGGAGCAGCGATCCCAGCAGGGCGAGAAACGCCCGGCTCCGCCTCAGCCCGCACAGCTGCGCCATGGCCAGCTCAGCCGAGACGCGCAGGCGACGCCACCAGCCGTTGGGGTCTCGCGATCAGGTGCGGGAAGCCCCTCAACGCGCACGCGCAATGGAGCGCCTCGCGTTCAGGTGCCGACGCTCCGGGAGGGTCCGCCAGGTGCCAAAGCCCCCGGAAGTCGCCTTTCCGGACCTTCAGTGTGGGGACGCCCGGCCTTCTCGGCGCGCGATGCCTGGGTCTGCTCCTCACTCGCGCCCTCGCCGCCTGCGACACTCAACGGCCCTCAGCGCGTTCAGAGCCGCGCTACACCTCCCAACGCGCGGAGGTCGCCAGAGCCAATGGCGAACGCCTATTGGAAGCGGCTCCCGAAGGTGGCCGGGCAGGCAGGGGGCGGGGCGCACCTGGCTAGGCAGGGCGAGCTGGGCGCAGGCGCAAAGGGCAGGCACCTGCGCGGCCGCTCCCCGGCCCTGGGCGCACCTGGGCCCGCCCCTGGTGCCGGGGAAGAGGCGGGGCTTGCGCGGGCCTCGCCCCCAACAGAACCTGGCGGGGCGGGGCGGGGCGTCTGCCCGCTGAGCACCTGCCACCCTTCCCTTGGGCTTGGTGACGACGTCGGAGGAGGGCCTTCGCTCTAGGACTGGCCTCAGGGTGGGAGGAGGGGGCGGCAGACACGCGTTTCTTGGAAGCCTGTGGTTTTCTGCCCGCCTCGCCGCAGCTTTCCTGTGAATTCCTTCCTGAATTTCAAAGTTCACTGGGCTCATGCTCCAGGGCTTAATGCTGGGGACCCAGCGGTGGCCATGCCAGACTGGTCCCTGAGTCACCAAACAGGAACGGCCCAGAGTAGTGATAGCGGAAGCTTAGCACAAAGTGATGAAAGCTGTGATGGGGAAGGCCAAGCTTAGGGATCAGAGGCTGGGTCGCTAGAAAACCAGGGCATGATGGGAGCCCAGACAGCTTTCCCATCCAGCCTGAGAGAGGGCCAAGGAGGGCTTCCTGGAGGAGGTGATAGGCCCATGCAAAAACAGCCCCGAGCCCTGGCTCCAAGGTTCTCAGGACAGATATGGAGACAAATACTTAGCACAGGCAGCATCAGAATTGAGAGGAAGGAAGCCCCTGGGGAAACCCAGAGAAGACACCTGACCAAGCCTGGGAGTCAAAGAGGGCTTCCTGGAAGAGGAGTTACGTGAACAGACTCTAGAAAGGGGAATGGAGTGGGGCAGGCACACGAGTAGAGGATAGCCAACAAGGTAATCAACATAAATGCATTATTATTGAAAACACTTTTAGATTATTTCTTTTTTTTTTTTTTTTTGAGATGGAAGTTTTGCTCTTGTTGCCCAGGCTGGAGTGCAATGGAGTGATCTTGGCTCACTGCAGCCTTGACCTCCTGGGCTCAAGGGATCCTCCCACCTCAGCCTCCCAAGTAGCTGGGACTACAGATGTGAGCCACCACATCCAGCTAATTTTTAAATTTTTTGTGGAGACAGGGGACTTGCTATGTTGCCCAGGCTGGTCTCAAACTCCTGGCTTCAAGGGATCCTCCTGTCTCATCCTTCCAAAAGTGTTGTATTACAGGCGTGAACCACCACACCTGGCCTGAAAACACTTTGACAGTGCTATACAGAAAAGGAATCAGGGGCTGGGATGGAAAATAACAAGAGATCTTTTGAATGGGGTGGCGGAGGAAGGGCTTTGTGAGGGGTGGCTTTGATAATGAACTCTGAAGGATGATAAAGGCCAAGGGACAAACATTCCAAGAATCAGGAATGGCACATGCGGAGGCCTTCAGGCAGGAAAGAGAATAGTGTGTTCAGGAGCCAGGGCCACTCCCACTCTTCAGCCTCCCTCCTAGCATAATAATACATGAAAAGCCGTAACTGAGTTATCAAAATGGTATTTACCTTAAACAATGGAAGTCTAACCTTGCAATGAGATCATGGGACTCAAGGTGGAATCTGAATGTGAGGCCAAAGGTCTCCCCCAGCACTTGAATCTCCCACTGCCACTCAGGCCTACTAAACCTAGGCTTGAGCATGAAAACAGAGAAGTATGTGCTGAGCCGTCAAGGCTTGGAAGAAGGTATAGGCCTCTTCTTTCTTTATTTTATTTTATTTTGAGACAGAGTTTCACCTGTTGCCCAGGCTGGAGTGCAATGCTGTGATCTCAGCTCACTGCAACCTCCACCTCCTGGATTCAAGCAATTCTCCTGCCTCAGCCTCCTGAGTAGCTGGGATTACAGGCACCACCCGCCACCACGCCCAGCTAATTTTTGTATTTTTTGTAGAGATGGAGTTTCACCATGTTGGCCAGGCTGGTCTCGAACTTCTGACCTCACGATCCGCCCACCTTGACCTCCCAAAGTGCTGGGATTACAGGCGTGAGCCACTGCATCTGTCCAGTTTTGAACTTTAAACACAAAAACTCAAAAGGAGGGCTGAGCGCAGTGGCTCATGCCTGTAATCCCAGCACTTTGGGAGGCCAAGGCGGGTGGATCACGAGGTCAGCAGATCAAGACCATCTTGGCTAACACGGTGAAAAAATCAAAAAGATTAGCCGGGCGTGGTGGCGGGAGCATGTAGTCCCAGCTACTCGGGAGGCTGAGGCAGGAGAATCTCTTGAACCCGGCAGGCGGGGTTTGCAGTGAGCCAATATTGTGCCACTGTACTCCAGCCTGAGCAACAGCGCGAGAGTCGTTCTCAAAAAAAAAAAAAAAAAAAAGAGGCCGGGCTCACACGCCTGTAATCCCCAGCACTTTGGGAGGCCTGGGCATCTCCATATCTGTCCTGAGAAACATTCCAAGCATCAACATTCCTGATGCTTGGAATGTTTGTCCCTTGGCCTTTATCATCCTTCAGAGTTCATTAAAAAGAGGTGGCTCACGCCTGTAATCCCCAGCACTTTGGGAGGCCGAGGTGGGCGGATCACGAGGTCAGGAATTTGAGACCAGCCTGGCCAACATAGTGAAACCCTGTCTCTACTAGAAATACAAAAATTAGCCGGGCGTGGTGGCGCGCGCCTGTAGTCCCAGCCACTGGAGAGGCTGAGGCAGGAGAATCGCTTGAACCCGGGAGGTGGAGGCTGCGGCGAGCCGAGATCGCCCCACTGCACACCAGCCCGGGCGACAGTGTGAGACTTCGTCTCAAAAAAAAAAAAAAAAAAAAGAAGGGCCGGGTGCGGTGGCTTATGCCTGTAATCTCAGCATTTTAGAAGGCTGAGGTGGGCGGATCACGAGGTCAGCAGATGGAGACCATCTGGGCTAACACGGTGAAACCCCGTCTCTACTGAAAAAAAGTACAAAAGACTAGCCGGGCGTGGTGGTGGGCGCATGTAGTCCCAGCTACTTGGGAGGCTGAGGCAGGAGAATCGCTTGAACCTGGGAGGTGGAGTTTGCAGTGAGCCGACATTGCGCCACTGCACTCCAGCCTGAGCGACGGCGCGAGACTCGTTCTCAAAAAAAAAAAAAAAAAAAAAAAAAAAGAGGCCGGGCGCGGTGGCGGGCGCCTGTAGTCCCAGCTACTCGGGAGGCTGAGGCAGGAGAATAGCTTGAATCCGGGAGGCGGAGGTTGCAGTGAGCTGAGACTGCACCACTGCCCTCCAGCCTGGGTGACAGAGCGAGACTCTGTCTCAAAAAAAAAAAAAAAAAAAAAAAAAAAAACACCAAAAAAAAAACCTTGACAGTAGGCCAGGCGTGGTTGGCTCACACCTGTAATCTCAGCACTTTGGGAGGCCGAGGCGAGCGGATCACCTGAGGTCGGGAGTTCAAGACCATCCTGACCAACATGGAGAAATCCTGTCTGCTAAAAATACAAAATTAGTCGGGCGTGGTGGCGGATGCCTGTAATCCGCGCTACTCAGGAGGCTGAGGCAGGAGAATCGCTTGAACCTGGGAGGTGGAGGTTGCAGTGAGCTGAGATAGTGCCATTGTACTCCAGCCTGGGCAACAAGAGCGAAACTCCGTCTCAAAAAATGAAACAAAAACAAAACAAAAAAAAAACCGACAGTAATTGCATCAATTGTTTTTTTCCCCCTTTTTTATATTGCATCAATTGTTTAGAAAGCAGACCACCAAAAGGTTTTTGTTTCTGTTTCTTCCCTGGGGAGGACTATTTTATCATTGACACTGTTTAGAAATGTCACTGCAAAGTAAAATAAAAATTAGACCAACTTTTGGTCAGTTTTTTTGAAATGGAGTCTCACTCTGTCTGTCGCCTAGGCTGCAGTGCAATGGCACGATCTTGGCTCATCGCAACCTCCACCTCCCGGGTTCAAGCGATTCTCCTGCCTCAGTCTCCCAAGTAGCTGGGATTACAGGCTTGTACCACCACACCCGGCTAATTTTTGTATTTTTATGGAGATGGGGTTTCACCATGTTGGCCAGGCAGGTCTTGAACTCCTGACCTCAGGTGATCTGCCTGCCTTGGCCTCCCAAAGTGCTGGGATTACAGGCATGAGCCACCATGCCCGGCCTTGGTCAGCTTTTTATTTTTAAATTCTCTACAGACAGTGCACCCTCTTTTTGCCTGTACCCAAAGTGGACCAGTCCTGTCCCCCTGCCTTTAGTATGCTACTAGTTGGGAAACAGACAATAATTTTTTTTTTCTGTCACTGCACAGAACAGAAAATATGACATTTTTCTTTTTGAGACAGGGTCTCACTCCATCACCCAGGCTGGAGTGCAGTGGTGCAATCACAGTTCACTGCGTCCTCCATCTCCTGGACTCAAGTGATCCTCCCAACTCAGCCTCCAGAGTAACTGGGACTACAAGCATGTACTATTGCACCTGGCTTTTTTTTTTTTTTTTTTTTTTTGTAGCGACAGGGTCTCACTATGTTGCCCAAGCTGATCTTGAACTCCTGGATGTAATTGCTCCTCCTGCCTCAGCATCCTATAGTGCTGAGATTACAGGTGTGAGCCACCACGCCTGGCATGGACAATACATTAAATGAGTACATTATATATAATGTTAGAGGCCAGGCATGGTGGCTCATGCCTGTAATTCCAGCACTTTGGGAGGTCAAGACGGGCAGATCGTCTGAGGTCAGGAGTTCGAGACCAGCCTGACCAACATGGTGAAACCCCATCTCTACTGAAAATATAAAAAGTAAGCGGACACAGTGGTGTATAACTGTAGTCCCAGCTACTCAGGAGGCTGAAGCAGGAGAATCTCTTGAACCCAGGAGGCAGAGGTTGCAGTGAGCCATGATCACAATACTATACTCCAGCCTGAGGTGACTCCAACTCAAAAAAAAAAAAAAAAAAAAAAAAAAAAAAAAAAAAATATATATATATATATATATATATATAATGTTAGAAAGTGGTAAGTGTTATGTATCAAACAGAGCTGGATGAGGGGCACGAGAGTTGCAGTGTGAAATAGCGTGGCCAGGGAAGACCTCACTGAACAGTGACATTGGAGGGAGGTGAAGGAGTGAGCCCTGATGATATTCTAGGGAAGAACCTTCCTGGCAGAGGGAACTGCGAGTGAAAGGTGCTGGTGCTGAAATGGGACTGTCCCTGGCAGAGATGGGACTGCTAAACCAGAGTTTGGCCTTTAGACTGAAGGTCATGGGTAGCTATGGATAGTTGTTTTTTATTTTTGTTTTTTTAGAGATGGGGTCTTTCTCTGTCGCCCAGGCTGGAGTGTGATGGCACGATCTCAGCTCACTGCAGCCTCCGCCTCCCAGGTTCAAGCAATTCTCCCACCTCAGCCTCCTGAGTAGCTGGGATTACAGGGGTGCACCACCATGCTTGGCTAATTTTTTTTGCATTTTTAGTAGAGACGGGTTCACCATGTTGGTCAGGCTGGTCTCAAACTCCTGACCTCAGATAATCCACTCACCTCAGCCTCCCAAAGTGCTGGGATTACAGACGTGAACCATGGCGCCTGGCCTGTTTTTAATTTTGAAATAAAACAGCTTTATTGAAGCCGGGCACGGTGGCTCACGCCTGTAATCCCAGCACTTTGGGAGGCCTAGGCAGGTGGATTACCTGAGGTCAGGAGTTCAAGACCAGCCTGGCCAACATGGTGAAACCCCGTTTCTACTAAAAATACAAAAATTAGCCAGGCGTGGTGGCACACCCCTGTAATCCCAGCTACTCGGGAGGCTGAGGCAGGAGAATTGCTTGAGCCTGGGAGGCAGAGGTTGCAGTGAGCTGAGATCATGCCAGTGCACTCCAGCCTGGCCAACAGAGCGAGATTCTGCCTCAAAAAAAAAAAAAAAAAAAAAAAAAAACACAGTCTTATTGAGATATAACTCACATACCATACAACTCACCCTTTATTTATTTAGAGATGGAGTTTCACTTTTGTTGCCCAGGATGGAGTGCAATGGCATGATCTCAGCTCACTGCAACATCCCCCTCCCAGGTTCAAGCGATTCTCCTGCCTCAGCCTCCTGAGTAGTTGGGATTATAGGCATGTGCCCCCATGCCCAGCTAATTTTTGTATTTTTAGTGGAGATGGGGTTTCACCATGTTGGCCAGGCTGGTCTCTAACTCTTGACCTCCGATGATCCATCCGCCTTGCCCTCCCAAAGTGCTGGGATTACAGGCGTGAGTCACTGTGCCTGGCCCAACTCACCTTTTTAAAGTGTATAGTTTGGCCAGGTGTGGTGGCTCGTCCCAGCACCTTATGAGTTTCATGACTGCAATTTTTTTCCTCCCATTCCATGGGTTGTCTCTTCACTTTCTTGATGATGTTCTTTGAAACTCAAAAGTTTTACATTATGGCTGGCTGGTGGAGTGAGGTGGCTCATGCCTATAATCCCAGCACCTTGGGAGGCCGAGGTGGGAGGATCGCTTGAGCCCAGGAATTGGAGAACAGCCTAGGCAACATAGGGAGACCCTGTCTCTACAATTTTTTTTTTTTTTTTTGAGATGGAGTCTTGCTCTGTCACCCAGGCTGGAGTGCAGTGGTGCGATCTTGGCTCACCGCAATCTCTGCCTCCTGGGTTCAAGCAATTTTCCTGCCTCAGCCTCCCCAGTAGCTGCAATTACAGGTGCACACCACTACGCCTGGCTTTTTTTTTTTTTTTTTTGTATTTTTAGTAAAGATGGGGTTTCATCATGTTGGCCTGGCTGGTCTTGAATTCCAGACCTCGTGATCTGCCCACCTCGGCCTCTCAAAGTGCTGGGATTACAGGCATGAGCCACCATGCCTGGCCTTTTTAAAAAAATTATTTATTATTATTTTATTTATTTATTTATTTTGAGACAGAGTCTCGCTCTTGTTGCCCAGGCTGGAGTGCAATGGTGCTATCTTGGCTCACTGCAACCTCCACCTCCCGGGTTCAAGCGATTCTCCTGCCTCAGCCTTCCGAGTAGCTGGGATTACAGGCATGTGCCACCAGGCCCAGCTAATTTTTGTATTTTTAGTAGAGATGGAGTTTCACCATGTTGGCCAGGCTGGTCTTGAACTCCTGACCTCGTGATCCACCCTCCTTGGCCTCCCAAAGTTCTGGGATTACAGGAGTGAGCCACTGCGCCCAGCCACATTTAAATTTTAGAGTATAATTATTGCTGCTTATAATTAGAAGTGAGAAGACTGTTTTGAAGTAAGGGACTTCCCTGGCCACCCTCGCTAAAATTGCAACCTTACCCTCACTCCATTTCTCCTTCTCTGCTTTATATTTCTCCAAAGCACTTATATGATAATAAACTGTATAATACCGTACTTACTGTGTTTCTCATGTATCCCGGCTACAACTGTCAACTGCGTGGGACTGGTTTTGTCTGTTTTGTTCCCTGCTCTATCCCTGGAGCGTAAAGCAGTGTCTGGTATAGAGTGGATACTTAATAGATATTCGTTGAACCGGGCCAGTGGCGGTGGCTCACGCCTGTAATCCCAGCACTTTGGGAGGCGGAGGCAGGCAGATCACTTGAGGTCAGGAGTTCGAGGCCAGCCTGGCCAACATGGCGAAATCCCGTCTCTACTAAAAATACAAAAATTAGCCGGGTGTTGTGGTGCATCCCTGTAATCCCAGCTACTTCGGAGGCTGAGGCAGGAGAATCGCTTGAACCTGGGAGGCGGACGTTGCGGTGAGCCGAGATCGCGCCATTGTACTCCAGCCTGGGCGACAAAGAGAGACATCGACTCAAAAAAAAAAAAATTCGTTGAACGGAATGAGTGAACAAACAAATGGATGGATGAGTGAATGAATGAACGAAGGAACAAGTGACCGCTCGACCTTCTACAGCGACAGCGGCGCAGGCGCTCCCGCACCAACAGCCCCCCACCCCGCCACCGCCAGAGGGCGCAGACAGGCCGGGTCCCGAGTGTCTGTCCCAGGCCCCCGCCCCACAGGATCCCGGCCCGGGAGCCCCCGATGCAGGGACCCGCCCGGGACTCTGGGTCCCCGCCCATACCTCAACTTCGCACGACTGCGTGCCTCAAGCCGACGCAGCGGCCTACTCTCGCACTGCAGACGGGGAAACTGAGGCCTGAGGCGGCCGGGGTGGGGCAGACCTCCCGGCGAGCCCGAGCCCCCGCCCCCGGCTAGCCCCGCCCTGGCCCGTAAGAAGCACCCGGGGCGCGAGGCGAAGGCGCACAGCGCGGGGCCAGGCTGGGTCCAGCAGCGCGATGGCAGCTCAGCGGCTGGGCAAGCGCGTGCTGAGCAAGCTGCAGTCTCCATCGCGGGCCCGCGGGCCAGGGGGCAGTCCCGGGGGGCTGCAGAAGCGGCACGCGCGCGTCACCGTCAAGTATGACCGGCGGGAGCTGCAGCGGCGGCTGGACGTGGAGAAGTGGATCGACGGGCGCCTGGAGGAGCTGTACCGCGGCATGGTGAGCCCGGGGAGGGCTCGGGGGTGGTCGGGGACAGATAGAGCCCGGGCGCGGAGACCCCACGCCCTTGGGGTCTCGGTGCACACTCGCTGGTGCACGGCCAGCCTGGTCTGCACAAGAGGACGAGCGCCCCAGGGCCGGGCACTCATTGGCCTGGCCATCCGTGCTCTATGGCATTGTGCTTGTGGACACACCGAGAGCAACACACAAAGACTTGGGTCTCCAGAGATGTGTCCAAACGCCTGTGGAGGGCCAGGGGTTTAGCATGAGGAGGGAGGAGGCTAAGTTGAGCTGAAACCGCCACGTCTGGAGAAAGAGTGGGGGAAGGGGGGTGTCATAAAGCCAAACACAGACATGGTGACAGGGGAGATACAGCCACACAGAGACCCACGGCAAAGGAAGCAAAAGCAGACACAGATGTGCACAGTGAAGGAAGCTATAGCCACTCACGGACACAGCCCAGAAGTAACAGCCATGCACAAACCCACAAGGACACAAGCGGGGGCTGGGGGGGGGTCACCTACAGTTCAACATATGCTACAGTCACAGCCACCCGCAGACACAGCGGCATGGGCCACAGCCGTAGGCAGACACAGCACAACCCCACTGGAACACAAAATGACTCAAGTTACGGCCCTTCCTTATCTCCTAAAGAAAAAACTGACCACCTTCAAGCACAAGCGCTGATCCGCAGCCACTCAAAGACATAAAACAACAGAAATTGGCCCAGCACAGTGGCTCACGCATTTTGTGAGGCCGGGGCAGGAGGATTGCTTGACGTCAGGAGTTCAACACCAGCCTGGGCAACATGGGGAAAACCTGTCTCTACCAAAAATCTTAAAACTTAGCCGGGCGTGGTGGCATGCACGCACTTGTAATCTCAGCTCCTCAGGAGGCTGAGGTGGGAGGATTGCTTGAGCCTGAGAGGCCAAGGTCACAGTGAGCCAAGATTGCACCACTGCACTCCAGCCTGGGCAACAGAGCGAGACCGTGTCTCAAAAACAAACAAAACCCAACAGAATTTATAACTACACCCAGACATAAAACTGTGTAAGCACCGGGCACGGTGGCTCACGCCTGTAATCCCAGCACTTTGGGAGGCCGAGGCGGGCGGATCACCTGAGGTCAGGAGTTTGAGACCAGCCTGATCAACATGGAGAAATCCCGTCTCTACTAAAAAATACAAAATTAGCCGGGTGTGGTGGCACATGCCTGTAATCCCAGCTACTCGGGAGGAGAATCGCTTGAACCCGGGAGGAGGAGGTTGCGGTGAGCCGAGATCCCGCCATTGCCCTCCAGCCTGGGCAACAAGAGCGAAACTCCGTCTCAAAAACAAACAAACAAACAAAAAACTGTAAGCTATAGGAACAGGTGGACATACAACTGCAGAACCCACCGCTGCTCACAGGCACACAAGAGCCTAAGCCACAGCTACATGTATTGACACACACAGGTACTTCATCACTTGAGTTTCTGCTTGAAGTCACACTTTCAGTGACTTCTTTTTTCTTTTCCTTAGAGGTGGGGCCTCATTGGCCGAGCACAGTGGCTCACGCCTGTAATCCCAGAACTTTGGGAGGCCAAGGTGGGCAGATCACTTGAGGTCAGGAGTACGAGACTAGCCTGGCCAACATGGTGAAACCCTGTCTCTACTAAAATTACAAAAATTAGCCGGGCATGGTGGCAGGCAGCTGTAATCCCAGCTACTTGGGAGGCTGAGGCAGGAGAATCACTTGAACCCGGGAGGCGGAGGTTGCAGTGAGCCAAGATCGCGCCATTGTACTCCACCCTAGGTGACAGAAGGAGACTTTGTCTCAAAAAAAAGAAAAAAGAAAAAGAGATGGGGCCTCGCTATGTTGCTCAGGCTGATCTTGAACTCCTAGGCTCAAGCAATTCTCTCTTGTCGGCCTCCCAAAATGTCAGGATTACAGGCGTGAGCCACTGCGCCTGGCCTTCTGTGACTTCTGTATGCTACAGTGTACACAGGACCCACGAGTCCTCCTCTTCATGGTGCGACAATGGTGGAAGGCATGGCCCTTCTCCCATGGTGACATGCAGTCCCTCTGTTCTCAGACTCACACCTGGGCCCATACAGGTGAACCAATCTGGTTGCTAGTGGCAGGTGGCATCTATGAGGCCATTCTCAGGTGGTGGGCCCCACAGCTGACTGTGGACACATGCTGATGTGTCACACACCCAAGCCAGAGCCACACACCTCACACCTGCAGGACCACAGTCCACTATACGAAGCCACTGCACGATGCCAGGTCCCTCTGCATCCTCGGCCAGCCCCAGGCCCTTGGCATCAGGCTGTGGCCCTGGCAGAGACTCACACACCTGTGTCCTTGCTGAAGCCCCTTCACCACACATGAACCAGGACCATCCAGCCCTGAAGCCCCAGGCCTGAAGCCGACAGCCGGACTTTGGGTTGGGGAGGAAAGGATTCATAACCCCAAGGCTCTCTTGCTCCCTCGACAGCTGGGGACAGCTGGGTCCTATTCCCAGCAGGGGTACTGAGCCAGCCTGCGCTTGGGCCACTGCCTGTAGAGGCCACACTCAGCGCCCCGCTCTTAGCAGCTGAGTTGAGCCATGACTCATCCCACCCACCCACCTTGAGGGGCCTCGGTGGTCCTCCCTTCGGTCTCACCAGGCTGCATTTTGGCCCTCTGGGGGCTGGCCCAAGCCGTCCCCTCCCTTCCTGTCCCCTCCCTTCCTGTCCCCTGGGGGAAGGGGCCGCCCCAGCTGGCTGCTGGCTGCCAGCCTCTCCTCCCCTGCACCTAGTGCTAAGACTTTTCCTTGAAAGGGCAGAAGCCAGCTCCTCTCCCGAATCCCAGAATCTGACATTCCAGGACTCCACTAGGCCTGTTTTCCTCTGTGGGAACTAGAGCCAAGGCGAGAGACCCGTGCCAGCCCCGAGGCTCCCGGGGCCCATGGGCCCAGGCATCGGGCTGGTACAGGGCCCCGGGGCTCTCTCAGCCCATCTGTCACCCCTCCCCCCCAACACCCAGATGTCCCGTCTTGGCAGTGCTGTCCCGGACTGCCACATTAATGCTCCAGAACCCGCCAGCTGGGCCCTGGGGCCGGTGGGGCTCCTGCAGAGCCCTGGACAAAGGCGAGGGAGGGAGGGAAGGGGATCCTAAGCACCCCTCCCTCCCTGGCCCTAGGAGGCAGACATGCCCGATGAGATCAACATTGATGAATTGTTGGAGTTAGAGAGTGAAGAGGAGAGAAGCCGGAAAATCCAGGTAGGTGGGGGGACGTGTCCCCCAGCCTCCCACTTTGCACCTCCCTAAAAATAATAGCAATAGTTCACGTGTTTACTGAGTGCTCACTAGATGCCGGGCACTGGTGTGATGGCTTTACATGTATTCACTCACTTAACCCTCACAAAACCCTCCGAAGCAGGCGCTAGTGTGAGCTCCATTTTCCCCATGAGGAAAATGAGGCCCAGAGAGGTTGAATCCCTTGCCCAGTGTCACACAGCTCAGAAGGAGCAGAGCTGGGCATCGAACCCAGGCAGTTTGGCAGCCATGTCTTTGCTTATGGCTTATACCTTTTTAGAGGAGGGAAGTGCTGTGTGACCCTCTCGCCCTCTCTGGATCTAGTAACTCACCCCTGCCCTGAGTCGATCCACATGCCCCTTGGGCTCTGTTCCTCTCTTGAAGCTTGGTGGGCAGTCCACCCTGGAGTCTGACTTCCATTTGTCTTGCTGCTGGGGCCTTTTGGGAAAGGGAAGGGGCTGGAGGGGAGTAGGTGTTAGTCATTTACTGTTTTGTTTTGTTCTTGGTTGGGGGTTTTAGGGACTCCTGAAGTCATGTGGGAAACCTGTCGAGGTGAGTTTTCTCTCCCTCATTCTCTCCCTGTTCTGGCCCCAAGTACTCTGATGGGGGAGGGGGAAGAAGCTGGCAGAAGGGTCTCTGGGGAACACCACCCGGCCCCACCACCCCCGGCCCCAACCTGCCCTCCGCAGCTCTTTCTGGTCTCCAGGGGTGTCTTTTGTCCTCCTACTTGTCTCTCTCCCTCTCTCCCCCATCTGCTGAGGGGGCTCCATTCTGTCCTCCCCCATCTGCCCTGTTTTTGCCTCTCCTGTGCCTGTCCTTTGGCCACCAGCCTTCGGGCTCAGTCTCCCTCTGTCCTCCCCTGTCACTGCCTCCGCCACCCCGGGCTCCCTTCCCCACCTCTGGGGGCCCTCCATCCTCCCAGGCCCTGAAGCTGAGCGGCCCAACCCCTCCCACTTCCTTCCCTGCTTTAAAAGGGAAAACTATTCATGTTTCTCCAACTAGCTCTAGGGACAAACGTCATTGCATTTCTGTTCGCCCTGGATCTATCTCTGGGGACCTGTCTCCACATGTCTCTGTTTCTTTCTCTGTCCTTATGTCTCTCTCTGTCTCTATCTCTACATGTCTCTCTGTTTCTGTGTCTGTTTCTCCCCCTCCCCCACTCCGTATCTGTCTCCTTGGATCTCTATCTCTCTTCCTAGCTCTTTCTCTCCATCCCTCCCATCGCCCTTTCCCCATCTCTGTCTTTCTCCCGGCTCACTTTTCTCTCTATGTCTATAGCCTCCGCCCCTAACTCCCCCCACCCCACAATCAGAGAACAGGAGGAGGCGCCCAGGTCAGGGACTGGGCTGGACAGGGGCAGAGGGTGCCCCCGCACTGTTCCCATGTTCTCAGCTCCCCCACCCTGTCTCAGGACTTCATCCAGGAGCTGCTGGCAAAGCTTCAAGGCCTCCACAGGCAGCCCGGCCTCCGCCAGCCAAGCCCCTCCCACGACGGCAGCCTCAGCCCCCTCCAGGACCGGGCCCGGACTGCTCACCCCTGACCCTCTTGCACTCTCCCTGCCCCCCGGACGCCGCCCAGCTTGCTTGTGTATAAGTTGTATTTAATGGTTCTGTAACAATAACACTGTGTGGCTGTTTTTCCTCCCCCCGGGTTACCATGGGCTTCCCCGAGCTCCCCCCACAACCTCCCTCTCTCCTCCTGTGGCCTCTGCTCATGTCCCTGTCCCAGCACTGCAGCTGGGCCTGCCAGATGGAGAATCACTCCTCCCGGGCCAGAAAGCATGAGAACGGGCCCTGCTGAGCCCACGCCCTTGGGATTTATATCCTAGACCTTGCCTTCCCTTGAACTCCCCACCCCACCCCCATCCCCAGTCCCAGCAAGCAGGGCCCCTATATGCAGGCTCCTGCAGGAATCTGGGTCAAGGGGCATGCTCATGACCAAAGGTGACCGATATTGACTCAGTACAGGTGATCACACAGCAAACAAATCATTCAGCCACTCCATGAAATCTGCGCTGTGCTTATAATGGCCCTTGGTACTGAGGCTGCAAAGATGAGAGGAAGATGGTCTCTGGCATCAAGGTGCTCACACACTATGGGGGGAGAAGGGCCTGAGTGTGAGAATCAGAACAAAGTGTGCTGAATGGCTCAAGATACCTGGGAGCTTGGCAGAGGGGAGGGAGCTATTCACTCTGGGGGTGGTGAAGAAATCTGGGAGGGCCTCCTGAAGGAAGTGGCATTAAGGTGGGCTTTGAAGGATGCATAGGAGTTCTGTGAAATGGATACCCTTCTCTGAGGACTCTGAACTTATGGGTGGAGGGATTGATATTGGGGCAGAGCCAGGGAAAACACCAAATATTGCCAGGGCCATCCACCAGTCAGGAAGGACAATGGCCCCCAGAGCTGGATCAGGGAAGCCCCCTATTGAACCCAGGTTAATCCTTTCATGCTGGGGCATGGAGAGGCCTGGAGGGTCCCAAGGGAGCAGCTGGGCCATCAGAAGTGGGTAGTGGCTTTTTAAAAAAAATTTTATTTTATGTTTTTTAATTTTATTGTTTAAAAAAAATTATTTTGTTTTTTGAGACAGGGTCTCATTCTGTCACCCAGGCTGGAGTCCAGTGGTGCAATCTTGGCTCACTGCAGCCTTGACCTCCTCAGGCTCAGGTGATCCTCTCAGTTCAGCCTCCCAAGTAGCTGGGACTACAGGCATGCACCACCATGCCTGGCTTTTTTTTTTTTTTTTTTTTTTTTTTTTTTTTTTTTAAGAAACAGGATCTTGCCGTATTGTCCGGTCTGGTCTTAAACTCTTGGGCTCAAATTATCAGCCTGTCTCGGCCTCCCAAAGTGCTGCAATGACAGGGGTGAGCCACTGTGCCTGACCTAATTTTGTTTTAGAGACAGAGCCTCACTTTGTCACCCAGGCTGGAGTGCAGTGGTACAATCATAGCTCACTGTAGCCTTGACCTCCTGGGCTCAATAAATCCTCCTAACTTGGCATCCCAAAATGCTGGGATTACAGGTGTGAGCCATCATGGCTGGCTATTTTTTTACTTTTTTGTAGAGACAAGGTCTCCTTATGTTGTCCAGACTGGTCTTGGACTTCTGGGCTCAAGCAATTCACCCACCACACCCAGCCCTCTATTTCAACATTGTCTTTTTTTTCTTTCTTTCTTTCTTTTTTTTTTTTAAGATGAAGTTTTGCTCTTGTTGCCCAGGCTGGAGTGCAATGGTGCGATCTCGGCTCACTGTAACCTCTGCCTCCTGGGTTCAAGCGATTCTCCTGCCTCAGCCTCCTGAGTAGCTGAGATTACAGACATGCGCCACCATGCCCGGCTAATTTTTTGTATTTTTAGTAGAGATGGGTTTTACCATGTTGGTCAGGCTGGTCTTGAACTCCTGACCTCAGGTGATCTGACCGCCTCGGCCTCTCAAAGTGCAGGGATTACAGGTGTGAGCCACCGCGCCCAGCCGTATTTTTTTTTTTTTTTTTTTTTTTTGAGACAGAGTCTCGCTCTGTCATCCAGGCTGGAGTGCAGTGGTGTGATCTCAGCTCACTGCAGCCTCTACCTCCCAAGTTCAAGTGATTTCTCCTGCCTCAACCTCTCAAGTAGCTGGGATTACAGGCACACCACTATGCCTGGCTACTTTTTGTATTTTTAGCAGAGATGGGGTTTCACCATGTTGGCCAGGCTGGTCTTGAACTCCCGACCTCAAGTGATCTGCCCACCTCAGCCTCCCAAAGTGCTGGGTTTACAGGTGTGAGCCACTAGGCCTGGCCTATATTTCAACATTTTATTTTATTTTATTTTATTTTATTTTTTGAGATGGAGTCTTG
Organism: Homo sapiens; assembly: GCF_000001405.40. Lineage (NCBI taxonomy): Eukaryota > Metazoa > Chordata > Mammalia > Primates > Hominidae > Homo > Homo sapiens. The sequence goes on along the minus strand of NC_000019.10, from coordinate 38,249,023 downwards.
CTCTGTCACCCAGGCTGGAGTGCAGTGGCGAGATCTCAGTTCACTGAAACCTCTGCCTCCTGGGTTCAAGTGATTCTTCTGCCTCAGCCTCCCGAATAGCTGGGATTACAGGCGTGCACCACCACACCTGGCTAATTTTTGTATTTTTAGTAAAGACAGGGTTTCACCACCTTGGCCAGGCTGGTCTTGAACTCCTGACCTCGTGATCCACCTGCCTCGGCCTCCCAAAGTACTGGGATTACAGGTGTGAGACACCATGCCAGGCCTTTTAATGGCCTTTAATGGCACGGCTACATTCTAATGGTTCTGGTTGGACCAGTGGTCCCAGGTGTGTATAATCAGGAGCTGGGGTGGGGCTGTGGCCGTGCTTAGGACCAGGGCAGGGTCAGAGCTGGGCTGTCTCACCAAGGACAAAGTACATCTCCCACGTGGCCTCCACTGACTGAAGTTGGGGCCCCAGGGCCCTGTCCCCACCTGTGCCATTAAGTGGCCCCGCCAGGATTAAGCACTTATCCCGGGTGTCTGAGCTCCAGTCTGGGAGGAAGAGAAGACCCCCCTGAGGAGGAGCATCCAGGAGCACCCTGGCCTGTCCAGCCGTTCAGGTGACCTTGCTGTCTCTGTGCAGATGGACCCAAGGCTTCCAGTGCTCCCTTTCCTCCACACTGTATAGAGAATGGGCAAGTCCCTCCTGCTGACATCCCAGCTCCTAAGCCCGTGTCCTAGAACACCCCACTTGGGCCTGCAGAACCCTTTCTACTTCCCTCTCACAGAATCTCGTTTGGGTTCCTTGTCCTGGTGGAGGCGGTATGCGCTCAAAACCCAGGTTCTAAAGTCCTGTGTGTGCGTGTGTTAGGCCTCAGTATCCTCATCTGGAAAATGGGTACTTTGCAGATGAGGAAACAGAGGCCCAGATTAGGGATGTCACTTGTTCAAAGTCACATGGCTGGGAAATGGTGGTGCTGGGCTTCAGTCCCAGGCATTATGACTCCAGAGCCCAACTATTTAACTCCTGCTCTACAGGGTCCCTTTAAACCACAGCAACAATTGCTATTGTTCAGTGATGGGAAAATATTGGCTAATTCATACTAAGGTCTTCATGATTGCTCGCAATCCGTGGAGATAACCAATCTAAAGGGCAATACAATTAACTGAGAACAATGCTACAGTGAAGGACTGGGAGGCCAGGCGGGGTGACTCAAGTCTCTAATCCCAGCCAAGGTCACAGGATTGAGCCCAGGAGGTCGATCACACCACTGCATGCAGCCTGGGTAACGAAGCAGTGTCTCAAAAAAAAAATAAAATAAAATAAAAAAGGGCCGGGTACGGTGCACGCCTGTAATCCCAGCACTTTGGGAGGCCGAGGCAGGTGGATCATCTGAGGTTGGGAGTTTGAGACCAGCCTGACCAACATGGAGAAACCCCGTTTCTACTAAAAATACAAAATTAGCCGGGCGTGGTGGCGCTTGCCTAAAATCCCAGCTACTTGGGAGGCTGAGGCAGGAGAATCGCTTGAACCCGGGAGGCAGAGGTTGCCGTGAGCCGAGATTGGGCCATTGCACTACAGCCTGGGCAACAGAGCAAAACTCTGTCTCAAAAAAAAAAAAAAAAAAAAAAAGGAAAAGAATTGGGAAACGGCACACCACAGTGGTTAGTGGTTAAGAACATGGATTTTGGATTACTGCCTGGATTCAAGTGGCACTTCCTAGCTGTGTGATCTTGAGAAAGTCACCTAACTTCTCTGTGTCTGTGTCCACATCTGTAAAATGAAGGTGATTTTAATAGTACCTACCTCCAGGGATTATTGTGAGGTTTTGTTTTATTTTGTTTTTTGAGACAGGGTTTCACTCTGCCACCCACACTGGGGTACAGTGGTGTGATCTTGGCTCACTGCTACCTCTGCCTCAGGGGCTCAAATGATCCTCCCACCTCAGCCTCCGAAGCATCTGGGATTACAGGCACACACCACCAAGCCCAGCTGATTTTGGTATGTTTTGTAGAAATGGGATTTCACCATGTTGCCCAGGCTGGTCTCGAACTCCTGGGCTCCAGCGATCCACCCGCCTTGGCCTCCCAAAGTGCTGGGATTCCAGGTGGGAGACACCGCGCCCAGCCTGTTGTGAGGTTTAAATGCAGAGAATACGCTAGGCCCAGGCACATGGTAAGCACTGTTATCAACCCTGTCATTGTAAGGAGGGGACTGATCATTAGCTCCTATGGTCACCATTTCTGGCCAGCAGGAAGTCCCTTAGGAACACTGAACCACAGCTCTTCAGATACAGAAAAGCCCCAAAGGGGCCAGGAGCAGTGGCTCACACCTGTGATCCCAGCATTTTGGGAGGCTGAGGCGGGTGGATCACCTGAGGTCACGAGTTCGAGACCAGCCTGGCCAATATGGTGAAACACCGTCTCTACTAAAAATACAAAAAATAATAACTGAGCATGGTGGCACATGCCTGTAATTCTAGCTAGTCGGGAGACTGAGGCAGGAGAATAGCTTGAACCCGGGAGGCAGAGGTTGCAGTGAGCCAAGATCGCGCCATTGCACTCCAGCCTGGGCAACAAGAGCGGAACTCCGCCTCAAAAAAAAAAAAAAAGCCCCAAAAGACACAGTGTACTTAACCCACCATGCGCCGCCCTCCCCGCCTTGTAGCCACACTAGCCTCCCCACCCAGCTGGCTCCTTGCCTCCCACCGTCTGTGGTCCGTTTCCCACTCAGCAGCCAGACAACGCCTTTTCTCACTCTCACCCTAACCTCCATCCACCCTGTTCTCTCTTCCTCTTTCCTCCAAAGGTTACCATTTTAAAAAGAAAATCAATTTCTTAGTATTACTGCAATATTTTTTTCTGCAAATACAAACAAGTGTGAAGCTATGTTCTAGTCACCCCTTTTGTACCAACAAGGCAGACATTCCGAACATTACTCTTTGCTTTTTTTAATTTTACTTTTTTTTAGAGACAGTCTCACTCTGTCACCCCGGCTGGAATGCAATGGTGCAATCATAACTTACTGCAGCCTCTAATTCCTGGGCTCAAGCAAGCCGCCTGCCTTAGCCTCCCACATAGCTGGGACTATAGGTGTGCACCACTATGCCCAGATAATTTTTAAATATTCTGTAGAGATGAGGTCTCACTATGTTGGTCAAGCTGTTCTCAAACTCCTGAGCTCAAGTGATCCTCCCGCCTCAGTCTCTCAAAGTGCAGGGATGACAGGCGTGAGACACCTTGCCGGCCATTTAACAACTTACCCTGGGCCAGGTGTGCTGGCTCATGCCTGTCATCCCAGCAATTTGGGAGGCCGAGTCAGGAGGATCACCTGAGGTCAGGAGTTCGAGACCAGCCTGGCCAATGTGGTGGAACCCCGTGTCTACTAAAAATACAGAAAAAAAAAATTAGCCGGATGTGGTGGTGCATGCCTGTAGTCCCAACCATTCCAGAGGCTGAGGCAGGAGAATTGCTTGAATCTGGGAGGCAGAGGTTGAAGTGAGCCGAGATCATGCCACTGCACTCCAGTCTGGGCGACAGAGCGAGACTCCGTCTCGGGGCGGGGGGCGGGGAGGCAGGGCCCAGTGGCTCACGCCTGTAATCCCAACACTGGGAGGCCGAGGCGGGCGGATCACAAGGTCAGGTGATCGAGACCATCCTGGCTAACAAGGTGAAACCCCGCCTCTACTAAAAATACAAAACAATTAGCCGGGCGTGGTGACAGGTGCCTGTACTCCCAGCTACTCAGGAGGCTGAGGCAGGAGAATGGAGTGAACCCAGGAGGCGGAGCTTGCCGTGAGTGGAGATCGCGCCACTGCATTCCAGCCTGGGTGACAGAGCGAGACTCCGTCTCAAAAAAACTAAATAAATAAAAAATTAAAACCCATCCTGAAGACATTTCATGTCACCACTTTTCACAGTCACCACTTTTCACAGCCTTTCCTTGGTAGTCCTCCTGGCCACACTGCGCCCTGTCACCTTCCTGCCTTCAGCCCTCTGCTGTCTGACCCTCACCCACACCAGCTTCTCTCCCGTCCTCAGACCCACCTACCGGCCCCTCCATGACCCGTGGCCACATTGCCTCTGCCTGCAGTTCTCCCCGTGTTTCTCTCATCCTCACCATCATGTAGATGTCATCTCAGAGAGGTGTTCTGCAGCACCTAATCTAAGGAGCACCCTCAGTCACTATCCTGTCACTTGACCGATCGATCGATTGATTGATTTTAATTTTTTTGGAGACGGAGTCTCACTCTGTTGCCCAAGCTGGAGTGCAGTGGCATGATCCCTACTCAATGCAACCTCCACCTCCTGGGTTCAAGCAATTCTCTGCTTCAGCCTCCCGAGTAGCTGGGATTATAGGCACCTGCCACCACGCCCAGCTAATTTCTTTGTATTTTTAGTAGAGACAGGGTTTCACCATCCTGGCCAGCCTGGTCTTGAACTCCTGACCTCATGATCCACCTGTCTCGGCCTCCCAAAGTGCTGAGATAACAGGTGTGAGCCACCGTGCCCTGCTGATTTATTTATTTTTTTATAGAATTTATTGGCCAGGCGTGGTGGCTCATGCCTGTAATCCTAGCACGTTGAGTGGCCGAGGTAGGAGGATCACTTGAGGCCAGGAGTTCCAGACCAGCCCAGGGGAGACCCTGTCTCTACAAAAAATAAAATTAGCTAGACGTGGTGGTGCATGCCTGTGTTCTTAGTTACTCTGGAGGCTGAGGTGGGAGTATTGCTTGAGCCCAGGAGTTTGAGGCTGCAGTGAGCTATGATTGCACCACTGCACTCCAGCCTGGGAAACACAGCAACACCCTATCTCAAAAAAAAAAATATTACACTCTGGTCTGTCTATTCTATTGTCTGTTCACCGCCCCCCACCACCATCTTCAGAATATTAGCTCCTCGCCTACCTTGAAAAGCGCTGTGTTCCTGTGTAGAACGGCGCCGGGCGCACAGTAGGCGCTTGCCCAAGAACCGTACTCCCAGGTGGCCACGTTGTCTCCAAGCACCGCAGCCCTCTACGTGTGGACGTGAGGCCTCAGCGCCCCCTCGTGGCTATGTGAATTGGTTTTATTTTATTTTATTTCTTTGTTTTGTTTTTTTTTTTTAATTTTCGTTTCTCCTTTTTACTTTTTCTGTTTTGTTTCTTTGTTTGTTTTTTGAGACAGAGTTTTTGCTCTTGTCCCCCATGCTGGAGCGCAATGGCGCGATCTCGGCTCACTGCAACTTCCACCTCCCAGGTTCAAGCGATTCTCCTGCCTCAGCCTCCTGAGTAGCTGGGACTACACACGCGCCACCATGCCTGGCTAATTTTTGTATTTTTAGTAGAGACGGGATTTCACCATATTAGTCAGGCTGGTCTCAAACTCCTGACGTCAGGTAATCCACTCACCTCGGCCTCCCAAAGTGCTGGGATTACAAGCGTGAGCCACCGCACCCGGCTGTTTTGTTTTCATATCTTATCTTTTTTTTTTTTTTTTTTTTTTTTTTTTAGAAAGGGGTCTTGCTCTGTCGCCCAGGCTGGAGCACAGCAGCACTATGATAGCTCACTGCAGCCTCGAAATCCTGAGTTCAAGCGATCCTACCTGCTTCAGCCTCCTGAGTACCTGGGACTACAGGCACCCGCATCATGCCCGGCTTGAAGTGGTTTTTGTTTGTTTGTTTGTTTTGAGACTGAGAATCGCTCTGTCACTGAGGCTGGAGTGCAGTGGCATGATCTCGGCTCAATGCAATCTCCGCCTCCCGGGTTCAAGCGATTCTCCTGCCTCAGCCTCCTCAGTAGCTGGGATTTCAGGCACGCGCCACCATGCCCGGCTAATTTTTGTATTTTTAGTAGAGACGGGGTTTCGACATGTTGGTCAGGCTGGTCTCGAACTCCTGACCTCATGATCTGCCCAAGAGTTTGCAGTGAGCCGAGATCCTGCCATTGCACTCTGGCCTGGGCCACAGAGCAAGACCTTCCTCTCAAACAAACAAAAAAAAGAATAATGTCTCCAGCTCCATCCAAGTGGCTGCAAAATACATGATTTCATTCCTTTTAACGGCTGTATATGTACCACATTTCCTTTATGCACTCATTGGTTGATGGGCAGAACTTTTTTTTGAGACACGGTCTCACTCTGTTGCCCAGGCTGGAGTGCAGTGGAACCATCATAGCTCACTGCACCCTCAAACTCCTGAGCTCAGGTGATCCTCCCACCTCAGCCTCCCAAGTAACTAGGACTACAGGCACGTGTCATCACACCTAATTTTTTTTTCCTTAGACGAAGTCTCGCTGCTGCCCACTGTGCCCGCCCACAGCAATCTTCATCAAAATTCCAGATGAACTTTGGGAGGCTGAGGCGGGTGGATCACCTGAGGTTAGGCGATCGAGACCAGCCTAACCAACATGGTGAAACCCCATGTCTAGTAAAAATACAAAAATTAGCAGAGTGTAGTGGTGCATGCCTGTAATCACAGCTACTTGGGAGGCTGAGGCAGGAGAATTGCTTGAACCCAGGAGGCGGAGGTTGCAGTGAGCCGAGATTGTGCCGCTTGGGTTCAAGCAATTCTCCTGCCTCAGCCTCTTGAGTAGTTGGGATTACAGGCATGAACCACCACGCCCGGCTAATTTTTTTGTATTTTTAGTAGAGAAGGGGTTTCATCATATTGGTCAGGCTGGTCTCGAACTCCTGACCTCATGTGATCCACCCACCTTGGCCTCCCAAAGTGCTGGGATTACAGGCGTGAGCCACCGCGCCCAGCCTTGGAGGCCATTATTCTAAGTAAAGTAACTGAGGAATGGAAAACCACAAACCGTATGTTCTCACTTGTAAGCGGGAGCTAAGGTATGAGGACACAATGGCATAAGAATGATATAATGGACTCTGGGACTTGGGGCAGGGAAGGTTGGGAGGTGGTGAGGGATAAAGACTACATACTGGATACAGTGTACACTCTTCCAGTGACAAGTGCACTAAAATCTCAGAAGTCACCACTAAAGAACTTATCCATGCCAGGCGCGGTGGCTCACGCCTGTAATCCCAGCACTTTGGGAGGCCGAGGCGGGTGGATCACGAAGTCAGGAGATTGAGACCATCCTGGCTAATATGTTGAAACCCCGTCTCTATTAAAAATACAAAAAAATTAGCCAGGCATGGTGGCGGGCGCCTGTAGTCCCAGCTACTCAGGAGGCTGAGGCAGGAGAACGGCATGAACCCGGGAGGCGGAGCTTGCAGTGAGCCGAGATCGCGCCACTGCACTCCAGCCTGGGTGACAAAGCAAGACTCCATCTCAAAAAAAAAAAAAAAAAAAGAGCTTATCCATGTAACCAAAAACCACCTGTACCCCAAAACTATTGAAATTTTTTAAAAAATTTAAAAATAATCCTACTAAAGTGTCCCTATGTAGCAGCACATACAAAAATAGACTCCAGATAGAATAAAGACCTAAATGTAGAGTATAACAATTGAGTTGGCTGGGCGCAGTGGCTCACACCTGTAATCCTAGCACTTTGGGAGGCCGAGGCAGGTGGATTGCTTGAGCTCAAGAGTTTGAGACCAGCCTGGGCAAGACGGTGAAACCCCGTCTCTACTAAAATACAAAAAATTAGCAGGACGTGGTGGCATGCACCTGTAATCCCAGCTACTCGGGAGGCTGAGGCAGGAGAATTGCTTGAACCCGGGAGGTGGAGGTTGCAGTGAGCCGGGATCACACCACTGCACTCCAGCCTGGGTGACAGATGGAGACTCCGTCTCAAAAAACACAAAAAAAACAACAAAAAACACCAATGGAGTTGATTATGGAAAATGGAAGAGAATATCACTGTGACATGCCAAATTATTTCTCACTCTCCCATCAAAAGGTGGTGTCTCATTCCCTTCCCCTTGTATTTTTTTTCTTTGAGACAGAGTCTCACTCTTTTTGCCCAGGCTGGAGTGCAGTGGCGCAATCTTGACTCACTATAATCTCTGCTTTCCGGGTTCAAGTGATTCTTGTGCGTCAGCCTCCTAAGTAGCTGGATTACAAGCGTGTGCCACCATGCCCGGCTAATTTTTGTATTTTTAGTAGAGATGGGGTTTTGCCATATTGTCCTGGCTGGTCTCGAACTCCTGACCTCAGGTGATCCGCCCCCCTAGGCCTCCCAAAGTGCTGGCAACTCTCTGTCTTCTGCAAGTGTGTGCCCTCATTGGTTAGCATGGTTGGAGGAAACACAAGTTTTCACTTTAAATTCCTGACCCTCCCCTCCAGGCGTCCACTGGGGTGGGAGCCACGCTCCATACCTCCCTTGCTCATAGTGAGGGTTCCAAGTGTGTCTCTCTCCTTTCCCCATCCTTGCTCACAAGCTTCACTAGAAGAGAACACCCTAATTCCCTCGTCTCCTGCCGACTGCCCCACCTCCTGGCTTCTGTGCTGGTAAGTGCTTTTGGGTCCTGTTGGGATGGATCAGCTGTCTCTAACGTCACCCCCCTTGGGGATTTCCCCCATTTTCTTTTTTTTTTTTTTCTTTTTTGAGATGGGGTCTCTGTCACCCAGGCTGGAGTGCAGTGGCACCATCATGGCTCCCTGAAACCTCAACCTCCTCGGGCTCAGATGATCCTCCCACCTTAACCTCCCAAGTAGTAGCTGGGATTACAGGCACGTGCCATCATGCCCGGCTACCTTTTTTTTTTTTTTTTTTTTTTTTGTAGAGACGGGGTTTTGCCATGTTGCCCAGGCTGGTCTCGAGCTCCTGGGCTGAAGTGATCTGCCCACCTCGGCCTCCCAAATTGAGCCACCGTGCCTGGCCTATTTTCCCCATTTTCTCTTGCTTCCTGAAGGTCATTGCTCCAGCAGGTCCCCAGCCCCCACGTACTCATTCCCACGGGCACACAGACACATCGTCACTTCTTCCACATTAAAACAAAATCACAACAAAAACTCTCTGGACTTCCTCCAGCTCCAGCCCCATTTCTCCGTTTCCTTTTACAGCAAAATTTCTCACAAGAGACGTTCTCAGTTCTCTCTTACACCATTTCCAATCAAATGTTCACATCTTGCTGTTCCTACTCTGGAAATGCTCTTGTCGGGGTCCCCATGGTGTTGGGTCCAACATCACACCTCCTGCTTGTCTTGACCTCTCAGCTACATCCGGTGCAACACTGGCTCCCACTCCCCTGAATGCTTTCTTTCTTTCTTTTTTCTTTTGAGATGGAGTTTTGCTCTTGTTGCCCAGGCTAGAGTGCAATGGCGTGATCTCAGCTCATCGCAACCTCTGCCTCCTAGGTTCAAGTGATTCTCCTGCCTCAGCCTCTGGAGTAGCTGGGATCATAGGCGGGTGCCACCACGCCCGGCAGTTCTGTAATTTTAGTAGAGATTGGGTTTCTCCATGTTGGTCAGGATGGTCTCAAACTCCCAACCTCAGGTGATCCACCCACCTAGGCCTCCCAAAGTGCTGGGATTACAGGCATAAGCTACCGTGCCCAGCGAATATTTTCTTTTCTTTTCTCTTTTTTTTTTTTTTTTTTTTTTGAGACAGAGTCTTACTCTGTCGCCCAGGCTGGAGTGCAGTGGCTCGATCTTGGCTCACTGCAACCTCCACCTCCCTGGTTCAAGCAATTCTCCTGCCTCAGCCTTCCGAGTAGCTGGGATTACAGGCACGCACCACCATGCCCAGCTAAGTTTTGTATTTTTAGTAGAGAAGGGGTTTCACCATATTGGCCAGGCTAGTCTCGATCTCCTGACCTTGTGATCCACCTGCCTTGGCCTCCCAAAGTGGTGGGATTACAGGCATGATCCACCGCGCCCAGCCAGCCACCGCGCCCGTCTGCTTTCTTTTTATAAAATGTTTATTTATTTTATTTATTTATTTTTGAGACGGAGCCTTGCTCTGTCTCCCAGGCTGGAGTGCAGTGGCACGATAGTGGCTTACTGCAACTTCCACCTCCCAGGATCAAGTGATTTTCCTGCCTCAGCCTCCCAAGTAGCTGGAATTACAAGCGTCTGCTACAGCGCCCAGATAATTTTTTGTATTTTTAGTAGAGACAGGGTTTCACCATGTTGGCCAGGCTGGTCTCGAACTCCTGACCTCAGTTGAACCATCTGCCTTGGCCTCCCGAAGTGCTGGGATTACAGGTGTGAGCCACCACTCCCGGCCTTATATTTATTTTTTTAAAAGAATCTCATTCTGTCGCCTAGGCTGGAGTGTAGTGGCGCAAGGCGTGATCATGGCTCACTGCAGCCTTGACCTCCCAGGCTCAGGTGATCCTCCCTCCTCAGCCTCCCCGGTAGCTGGGGCTGCAGGCGTGCACCACCATGCCCTGCTAATTTTCTTATTTGTTGTAGAGATGAGGGTCTCAATATATTGCTCAGGCTGATCTTGAAAACTCCTTGGCTCAAGAGATCCTTCCACCTCAGCCTCCCAGTGCTGGGCTTACAGGCTTGAGCCACCATGCCGGCCTGAATGTTTTCTCTCTTTTTTTTTTTTTTTGAGACAGAGTCTCGCTCTGTCGCCCAGGCTGGAGTGCAGTGACGCCATCTCGGCTCACTACAAGCTCCGCCTCCCAGGTTCACGCCATTCTCCTGCCTCAGCCTCTGGAGTAGCTGGGACTACAGGCGCCCGCCACCAGGCCCGGCTAATTTTTTGTATTTTTAGTAGAGACAGGGTTTCACCATATTGGCCAGGCTAGTCTCGAACTCCTGACCTTGTGATCCACCCGCTTGGCCTCCCCAAGTGCTGGGATTACAGGCGTGAGCCACCGCGCCCGGCCAACAGCCTGAATGTTTTCTTTACAGGGCCGCTGTCTCTGGCCTCCTCTCACCTCCTGCCTCCTCTGTCTCCGGCCTCGTTCTCACCTGGTTCCTCCTCACTCTCTCTCCTGTCAATGCTGGCCAGCCGGGGTCTCCAACTTTTGGAAGACTGTTGATGTTACCTAAAGTGAGAAGGCTGAGTGAGCTCCCCTGGGGAGAATGCCTGCATGGAGAAGATGACTTTAGGTACCATCAATGGTCTTCCAAAATTCTCTCCAGCCTGACCTCTTCTCTGACCTTCAGACTCACCCAGCAACAACACTTGGATGTCTGATGCGCATCTCAGACCCAACACCTCTGGATCTCCTGGCCTCTCCCTAACCTGCCCCTTTCTCATGCGGCCCCGTCTCAGGGGCCTCTGATTGCTCTGGTTACAGACCCTGGCATCATCCTCATTCTTGACACTCCACAGTCAGATTTGTAAATTATCCACCCTCAGATTCTGTCCACTCTGCTGAGGGAGGCAGAATCATGCCTCCCCAAAGAGATCCTAGTTCCGTAGAAGGAAAAAGAGTCTTTGCAGATGAGATTGAGTTAAGCATCTTAACATGGGGATCTGGCTGGGTGCGGTAGCTCATGCCTGTAATCGCAGGGTGTTGGGAGGCTGAGGTGGGAGGATCACTTGAGCCCAGGAGTTTGAACCAGCCCGGGCAACAAAATGAGACACTCTCTCTCCAAAAAAAAAAAAAAAAAAAAAAAAAGCTGGGTTTGGTGGCTCACGCCTCTAATCCCAGCACTTTGGGAAGCTGAGGTGGGCGGATCACGAGGTCAAGAGAATGAGACCATCCTGGCCAACATGGTGAAACCCTGTGTCTACTAAAAATACAAAAATTAGCTGGGCATGGTGGCATGTGCCTGTAATCCCAGCTACTCGGGAGGCTGAGGCAGGAGAATCGCTTGGACCTGGGAGGTGGAGGTTGCAGTAAGCCGAGATGGAGCCACTGCACTCCATCCTGGCGAGAGTGGGATTCCATCTCAAAAAAAAAAAAAAAAAAAAAAAAAAAGCTGGGCATGGTGGTGTGCACCTGTGGTCCCAGCTATTTGGGAGACTGAGGTGGGAGGATTGCTTGAGCCCAGGAGGTCAAGCCTGTAGTGAACTATGATGGTGCCACAGCACTCCAGCCTGGGTGACAGAGTGAGACTTTGTCTCAAAAAAAGAAGGGGGACCTGAGGGGAGGTAGATTCTCCTGAATTATCTAGGTGGGTTCCAAAAATGATCACATGTGCCCTTTAAGAGGGAGGCAGAGGGAGACTTGACATAGACAGAAGGTGCTGTGTAGGCAGAGCAGAGATGTGGAGATGCTGGCCTTGAAGACTGGCGTGATGTGGCCAAGCCCAGGACTGCCAGCAGCCCCCATAAGCTGGAATTGGAGAGGAACAGATTTTCCCCCAGAGCCTCCCAAAGGAACACAGCCCTGCCCACACCTTGCTTTCAGCCCAGTGACACTGACTTTGGACTTCTGGCCTCTACGCTGTGAGAGAATACATTTCTGTTTATTTTGCTTTGTTTTGTTTTGTTTTTGTTTTTGTTTTTGTTTTTTTTGAGACAAAGTATTGCAATGGCTCCATCACGACTCACTGCAACCTCCGCCTCCTGGGTTCATCAAGCAGTTCTCCTGCCTCAGCCTCCCGAGTAGCTGGGATTACAGGCATCCGCCACCACACTTCTTCACTCCTTCAAATCAATCTGTTTTATTTTTTAAAATTATTTTTTATTTGCTTCTTTTTTCTTTCTAGAATCTGTGTTCTGCTGAACCTATTTCTTCTTTTTCTTTTCTTTCTTTTTTTTTTTTTTTTTAGAGAGAGACTCTCTCTGTTGTCCAGGCTGCAGTGCAGTGGTGTGATCATAGCTCACTACTGCTTCCAACTTTCAGGCTCAAGTGATCTTCTTGCCTCAGCCTCCTGAGTAGCTGAGACTGCAGACATGCATTACCACACCCAGATAATTTTTGTATTTTTAGTAGAGACGGGGTTTCACCATGTTGGCCAGGCTGGTCTTGATCTCCTGACCTCAAGTGATCTGCCCTCCTCGGCCTCCCAAAGTGCTGGGATTCCAGGCATGACCCTTGCCCGCCCATTTCTGTTGTTTTAGGCCACCACTTTGGTGGTCATATAACAGCCACATTCTCTTACTTCCCATCCCTTTCTCATACCCACACTGTTGCTCCCCCTCCCCTCTGACCCATCTTGGCACCACTTCCCTGGTCTCTGCTCTCCCCTTTGCCTCCACAGTCTGCATCCCCACCAATAATCAGAGAGACCTTCCCTTCCCTTCCCTTCCCTTCCCTCCCCTCCCCTTCCCTTCCCTTTTTTTTTTTTTTTTTTTTTGAGACGGAGTCTCGCTTTGTCGCCAGGCTGGAGTGCCTTGGCGCAATGTCGGCTCACTGCAACCTCTGCCTCCTGGGTTCAAGCGATTCTCCTGCCTCAGCCTCCCGAGTAGCTGGGACTATAGGTGCGTGCCACCACGCCCAGCTAATTTTTGTATTTTTAGTAGACACGGGGTTTCACCATGTTGGCCAGGATGGTCTCAATCTTTTGACCTTGTGGTCCGCCTGCCTCGGCCTCCCAAAGTGCTGGGATTTCAGGCTTGAGCCACTGTGCCCAGCCTGAGCCACCGCTCCCAGCCTGATATATCTTTCTTTCTTATTTTTTTTTTGAGCCAGAGTCTCACTCTCCTGTCTGTGTCAAGTCTCCCTCAGCACCCCAGGCTGGAGTGCAGTGGCACAATCATAGCTCACTACTGCCTCGACCTTAGCAGTCATGTCTCCTTCAGAAGCCCAGGCTGGGCTCCAGTGATCCTCCTGCCTCAGCCTCCTGAATAGCTGGGAGTATAAGTGCCCCTCACCACACTTGGCTAATTTATTTTTAATCTTTTGTAGAGATGGGGTCTCACTATGTTGCCTTGTCTGGTCTCAAACTCCTGGGCTCAAACAATCCTCCTGGCCAGGCACGGTGGCTCATGCCTGTAATCCCAGCCCTTTGGCAGGCCGAGGTGGGTGGATCATTTGAGGTCAGGAGTTCGAGATCAGCTTGCCCAACATGGTGAGACCCCATCTCTACTAAAAATACAAAAATTAGTCAGATGTGGTGACGCATGCCTGTAGTCCCAGCTACTTGGGAGGCTGAGGCAGGAGAATCACTTGAACCAAGGAGGAGGAGGTTGAAGTGAGCTGAGATGGCGCCCCTGAACTCCAGCCTGGGCGACGGAGTGAGACTCTGTTTCAAAATCAAGCAAAAAAAAAAAAAAAAAAAAAAAAAAAAAATCCTCCCACCTTGGCCTCCCAAAGTGCTGGGATGCTGGGATTACAGGCTTGAGCCACCACACCCAACCAGATCTGGGTTCGAATCCTACTTCTCCCTGCCATGAAGGTTGAGGGCTTCCCGTCTCAGCTCATTGCTGACATTTGGGTGCCTGCTTCCCAAGTGTGGTCTGTATGATTCAGTGATGTGTGTAGCTTGTTAAAGCTCAGTACAGGTCCTGACTCAGGAGGAGCTGAACCAATGAGTCTTTATTTGCTGTTACGATTATTACTGTTGCTGCCCTGATACTGCATGGCCCCCCAGCCCCACCTCTTCTGCGCCTCAGCATCCCCATCTGGGCAGGAAACTTTTTTTTTTTTTTTTTTTTTGATACAGGGTCTCACTCTTGTTGCCCAGGCTGGAGTGCAGGTGGCATGATCTCAGCCCACTGCAGTGTCTGCCTCCTGGGTTCAAGCTATTATCCTACCTCAACCTCCTGAGTAGCTGGGATTACAGGCACCTGCCACCATGCTCAGCCAGTTATTTTTTGTACTTTTAGTAGAGACAGGGTTTCACCATGTTGGCCAGGCTGGTCTTGAACTCCTGACCTCAGGTGATCCGCCTGCCTCCGCCTCCCAAAGTGCTGGGGTTACAGGCGTGAGCCACCGCACTGGGCCTGGGCAGGAAACTTCTGAAAGGTACATCTGAACATCCCAAGGGCCACTTAGGGAAGGCTTCCTCTGAATTGTAGCGGGCAGGAGAGGGGAGAAGTGGCTGTTAGCAGTTGCATTTCCTTCAGAGGCCAAAGCTGGACCCAGTGGGTATGGGGCAGAGTTTTCTGTGATTCCAGGTCCACCGGAACCTTGGATTAGAGGCGTGTGTGTGTGAGAGAGAGAAGGAGAGGGAGATACCCTGGTGACCAGGTCCTGGGCAGGGTCTGAGGCTCAGGGTTGGGGGCCCAGTGTCTCTGCGGGCAGCCCCATGGCCTGCAGGATGTCTCCCGGATCTGAGGCTTCCGAAGCAGCCTCTGCTGGACAAAGACTGGGGCCACAGCGCCCTCTGGTGGGCAAACCCTTGGGTTCCAGGGTTAGGAGAAGTGACCACAGGTTGAGACTTTTAGGGTTTGTTCCTCAAAGCTTGAGTGATGGGCATTAAGAAGATCAGGCATTAAGGCCCCAAGAGGTCAGAGCAGGAACCTTGCCCTGTGTCTGGGTAGATCAGGGGGTCAGGACTCAAAAGGATTCACATGCAGGCCGGGTGTCCTCTCCTCCAGGAAGGCATCCCTGACTGTCAGGCTAGGCCAGGAGACAGCCGCCTCTGGGCTCCCACAGTGCCCTGTGTCTCCCCCGCTCCAGCCCCGACCCCTCTGCCTGTGCCCCCCAATCCCTGCCCGGACCCCTCTGCCTGTGTCCTCCTTGTCCCAGCCCCGACCCCTCTGCCTGTGCCCCCCAATCCCGGCCCGGACCCCTCTGCCTGTGTCCCCCTTGTCCCAGCTCCGACCCCTCCGCCTGTGCTCCCCATCCCACCTGGACCCCTCTGTCTGTGCTCCCCATCCCACCTGGGCCCCTCTGCCTGAGTCCCCCTTGTCCCAAACCCAACCCCTCTGCCTGTGCTCCCCAATCCTGGCCCAGACCCCTCTGCCTGTGTCCCCCTTGTCCCAGCCCCGACCCCTCTGCCTGTGTCCCCTAACCCCACCTGGACCCCTCTGGACATCACTGTCTGGTGATGAGTCTGTTACTCTTCTGGACTCCAAGCTTAAGGCAAAGTCTGGGGCCATCTTATTTGCTGCTGTGTCCCCAGCACATCCACAGAGGGATGGAGACCATCATCGTTCTCTAGAAATGAGTGGATGTGACATTTATTTATTTATTTATTTTGGGATGGAGTCTCACTCTGTTGCTCAGACTAGAGTGCAGTGGTGCCATCTCAGCTCACTGCAGCCTCCACTTCCTGAGTTCAAGTGATTCTCCTGCCTCAGCCTCC
Organism: Homo sapiens; assembly: GCF_000001405.40. NCBI lineage: Eukaryota > Metazoa > Chordata > Mammalia > Primates > Hominidae > Homo > Homo sapiens. The sequence continues at coordinate 38,233,054 of NC_000019.10, read as the reverse complement.
CTAATAGCTGGGACTACAGGCGCCCGCCACCACGCCCGGCTAATTTTTGTATTTTTAGTAGAGACAGGGTTACACCATGTTGGCCAGGCTGGTCTCAAACTCCTGACCTCAGGTGATCCACCCTCCTCGGCCTCCCAAAGTGTTGGGATTATAGGCATGAGGCACCGCGCCCGGCCAAGTGTGCCTTTTAATGTATCCCTTCTCTCTGCCTTGAAGCCTTAGGTCCAGATGCTGTGCTGGGCACTTTTCCTTAAAAAAGGCCCCAAATTTGCCCCTCACTTCAGGTTGTCCAAGTGTCCATATGGGGTAGGGCAGAGCCTGGATCCCACCTGATTCTCTTCATGCTGGGTGCATGCTTTTGGACACTGGGGAGAGGCATGGAGCATGACTAATTGATACATTTATTTTATTTTATTATTTTATTTTGAGATGGAGTTTTTTGCTCTTTTGCCCAGGCTGGAGTGAAGTGGCACAATCTCGACTCACTGCAACCTCCGCCCCCTGGGTTCAAGTGATTCTCTTGCCTCAGCCTCTTGAGTGGCTGGGATTACAGGCACGTGCCACCACACCTGGCTTATTTTTGTATTTTTAGTAGAGCTGGGGTTTCACTGTGTTGGCCAGTTGGTCCCTAACTCTTAACTTCAGGTGATCCACCCGCCTCGGGCTCCCAAAGTGCTAGGATTACAAACATGAGCAAACTGCACCTGGCCAATACATTTATTTATTCATAATTTTGGCTGGGTGTTGTGGCTCGCGCCTGTAACCCCAGCACTTTGGGAGGCTGAGGCAGGAGGCTAGGGGCTGCAATTTTAGCTAGGGTTGTGTCTGAGGAGGTGGCATTTAACCGGAGACCTGAATGAAGTGCGGGATGGAGTGAGGCAGGTGTCTGTGGGAGGAGCACTCTAGGCAGAGGTGCAAAGGTCCTGTGGCTGGAGTGGGATTGGAATGTTCCAGAAATAGGGAGGAAGCTAGTGGGGCTGGAGTGAAGTTAGCCAAGGGAAGGAAGGAGGTGAAAGAGGCCAGAAATGTGATGAGGGTTGAGGAGGGATGGAGGAGGGCGTAGCGAGGGCTTTGCATTTTATTCAAATTATGAAAGAAGCCGCTGGAGGTTTGAGCCAGAGAGTGGTTGGATGCAGATATATGCTTAATTAATTAATCATTATTATTATTAGTTGAGATGGAATCTCTCTTTTGCCCAGGCTGGAGTGCAGCAGTGCGATCTTGGCTCGCTGCAACCTCTGTCTCTCAGGTTCAAGCGATTCTCCTGCCTCAGCCTTCCGAGTAGCTGGGATTACAGGCATGCACCACCACAGCTGGCTAATTTTTGTATTTTTAGTAGAGATGGGGTTTCACCATGTTGGCCAGGCTGGTCTCAAACTCCTGACCTCAAGTGATCCACCCACCTTGGCCTCCCAAAGTGTTGGGATTACAGGCATGAGCCACTGTGCTCAGCACAGAGATATGCTTCAGATAGCCTGCTCTGGCTGTGTGGGGAGAGCAGACTTGAGGGGCAGGAGCCCAGTGATGAAGCTGCTACCATAGTCCAGGCAGCAGACAATGATGGACAGGACTGGGGTGCAGGCCATGAAGTGCAGAGAGTGGGTGGAATCTGGATATGTTTTGAATGTAGAGACAACAGAATTTGCCGATGGGCTTGGAGTGTGTGTGCGAAAAAGAAGAGGAGAAGGAGAGTTCAGGATGATTGATTGCACTTAGAACAAAATCCATTTTCTTTATAATGACCTACAAGGTACTACATGAGCCGGGTCCTTGCTCTCTCCCCAGGCTGTCTCCCCCTGCTCACTCTGCTCCAGTCACACTCAATTGCTTCCTGATCTTTGAACATGCCACACTTGTTCCCAGCCCAGGGCATTTGCACTTGGTGATCCTGTGCCTAGACATGCTTCTTAGTGCATGCTGGCAACTTCTAGACCTTAGCTCAAATGTCATCTCTTCAGAGAAGCCACTTCTTCACTCCTTCAAATCAATCTGTTTTCTTTTTTTAAAATTATCTTTTATTTGCTTCTTTTTTCTTTCTGGAATCTGTGTTCTGCTGAATCTATTTTATTTTCTTCTTTTCTTTCTTTTTCTTTCTTTCTCTTGCTTGCTTGCTTGCTTTCTTGCTTTTGACGGAGACTCTCTCTGTTGTCCAGGCTGGAGCTCACTACTGCCTCCAACTTTCAGGCTCAAGTGATCTTCTTGCCTCAGCCTCCTGAGTAGCTGAGACTCCAGACATGCATCACCACACCCAGATAATTTTTAAACTTTTTGCAGAGATGGGATCTCACTATGTTGCCCAGGCTGGTCTTGTGCTATGGGGCTCAAGCAATCCTCCTGCCTCAGGCTCCCAAAGTGCTGGGATTATAGGTGTGTGCCTGGACTCTTCTCTTTTTCTTTTTCTTTCTTTCTCTCTCTCTCTCTCTCTTTTTTTTTTTTTTTTTTTTGAGACAGGGTCTCGCTCTGTCACCCAGGCTGGAATGCAGTGGTACAATCTCGGCTCACTGCAATCTCTGCCTCCCAGGCTCAAGTGATCCTCCCACCTCAGCTTCCTGAGTAGCTGGGACTACAGGCATGCACCACCACACCCAGCTAATTTTTTGTATTTTGGGTAGAGACGGGGTTTCGCCATGTTGCCCATATTGGTCTTGAACTCCTAAGCTCAGATGATCCACCTGCCTTGGCCTCCCAAAGTGATGGGATTACAGGCCTCCCAAAGTGATGAGCAACCACGACTGGCCCCATTTTCTTTTCTTTATAGCACCTTTCACTGTCTGAAATGATTTTATCTATTTATTTTCTTATTATCTGTCTTTCTCCACTAGAATGTCAGCTCCTTGAGAGCGGCAACTTTGTTTTGGTCATTGCTGTATCCCCAGTGCCTAGAAGAGTTCCTGGAACACAGCAGGCACTCAGTAAATGAACAAAGGCACTGATTAACCCCTGTGCTTGTTCACAGGCTGTCCGACATAGAAGAGACACCCAAATAGGCCTAGACAAGAATACACGACAGACCCTAGGGTCATCCACATACCCTGGGGACATCTAGAAGCTAGGGACCACCTGCTTCCGCGCCCGCGGTGCCTGGAGGGTGGAGATCCCGAGTTGGAGACCGAGCACTCCCAGGGAGGGAGGAAAGATGCTCTGGGGGGAGCCCCGCCCCTCCCTGTATCCCCAGCAGCCAATGGGAGCGCGGTCCTCCTGACGCCCCCTGGGACGTGTAGTCCGGGCAGGGGCGCCCTCGGGCGCCGCCGCGCGCCCCTAGACTCCACGTCCCGTCGTGCGCTGGGAGGCGCGGGGATTGGCTGAGCCCCGCCCCCGGCCCGCCCCGCTCCGCTCGCGCCGCAGCCCCAAGAATGAATGAAATCGTAGCGCGCTGGGCGGCAGAGCGGGCGGCGCAGGCCGGGCTGGGCCCGCGCGCGGCGGCAGCGGCGCCCCGGGCCGGAGGCGGCCCAGCCGAGCGGGCCATGGCCACCGCCATTCAGAACCCGCTCAAGTCGTGAGTGTCCCTGCCGTCCCCGCCCCCTGTCCAGACCCCCCCACCAGGAGCCCTTCCCCCGCCCGCCCTGGGGCTGAGGAGGGGGACGCAGCGCGCGGACCGTAGTTGAATGGGGGCCCCCAGCGCGAACCCTTGCCCCGGGGGTCCCCACCCCCTGTCGCCCCCTGGGGTTGGGGGCGGGAGCCCCTCCAGGGTCGCGGGGGCGCCTCTTCTTTGTCGCTGTCAGTGAAGGAATGCGGCGCGGGCTGGGGGTGGCGGAGGCCGTTTCCCCACCCAGAGTGGGGGTAGGGGTTTCCCTCTCCTCCATCTCTCCCTCAGGGTCTCCGGAGGTGCCGGGCCTGCCCCGGCCGGGGCTGAAAGCTCGAACACCTAAGTCCGGACCTCGGTCTCCAGGGTTTCCATCACCCGCTCTCCGCTCATCAAAGCGCCTTTCTCTCTTTCCCCTTCTTTCTCTGAGGACCCCGGCCCTCGCGGCCGCAGGGTGGGAGCTGAGACGTCGGGGGTCCCCAGTTCCATCCCCGCTGCCTCCCCTTTTTCCTCCCGGGATCCCGGGAACTGGAAGCCCCGAACCCGCCGTCAGTCTGGACCGCGGCATCCCTCCCTCTCCCCGCGCATACACATCAAACGGGAGCATCTCTGATCCCTTTGGGGACCGGCTGCCCAGGAGGGGGTGCCGGGAGCGCCCTCGGTCTCCGGGGATTCCCTCCCTTTCTCCCTGGCCGCGGTCCTCCGAGCGTTCGCCTCTTCCCGGGCCCGGTGGCTGGGAATCCGGAAGCCTGGGTCCGAGCCTGGCCCCTCCTGACCCTCTCCTCTCCTTGCCATCCCTCGCGCTCTCCACACCTCCCCTTCCCCCTCTCCATCTCGCTCTTGCTTCCTCTTCGGGATCCCGGACTCCACGTCCCAGCGCTCCCCACCCCCCGTTCCCAGGCGGTGACAGCGGGCTCCAAGTGACAGGCACTCGGCCGCTCCCGCCCTCCCTCCCCGCAGGCGAGCGAGGCGCTCCCCTCCCCCTCCTCCCGGGCCTGGTGGAGGAGGCGGAGGGCGAGCGCCCGCGGCGTCGCACAAAGGGGCCGGGGCGACCTCCCCCACCCTTCCCCCAACCCCGTGCGCTGGCTGCCTTGACCTTGAACATCGAGGGCTGGGGGCGGGGGTGGGGGGTGGGGGGAGAGAGGGAGAGAGGGAGCGCCCCCCTACCCCACCCACGAGAAGGGATGCGCCTGCTGGCTGGACCAGAGGCCGCCAGTTGCTTCTGGTTTCTGGCGGGAATGGGGGTGGGAGGTGGAGGGTGGGAGTTGGGAGAGGAAGGGGGGCAGGGACTTAGAGGCAAGCGCCTACACGTGTGGCTTCGCCGTGAGCAGGGTGCCGGGAGCGGGTGTGTGGGGCTCGGGTCCGTGTGAGGTGGTGTATGATGGTGACACCCCTCTGCTGCCCTCTCACCCTAAGTGGCACACACAGACAGCTGTCTCTCCTGTGAGGGGACATCCGCAAAATGGCTGGGAACGGGGCTCTTGTGCAGGTTGGTGGATCTACAGGCGATGGGGCCCCTCACCCTGACCCTGGCCCAGACCCCTGGGAGGAGGTGTGCTACAGCCGTGAGCAGGGGCCCAGCTACAGTAAGCCTGGACTGGGAGGGCCCTACCCCTCTGTGCCCTTCCCTTCCAAAAGGTCTCTGTGGGGGTGAAGGTGGGGACTCCCTGGCTCCTGAAAGAATGTGAGTCAAATCCCCTGGGGAGAAGGAGCTGCAGGGTGCCGCCCTCGGAAGTTCCGACTGCCTGAGTTCCAAAACCAGCTTGAGCCACGAATGTTCCCTGCCGTGAGCCTCAGTTTTGCCATCTGTGTATGGGGGCTTCTAACAGCCCTTACCACCCGATGGGACTGTCGTGGGGCTAAGGCCATCTTTGTAAAGCAGTTAGCACAGAGACTGACACTGACCAAATGTAGTGATTATTATTAGTAGTATCAATATTGATTTATGAAATTGATTTCTACTGTGGGCCAGCTCCCACACAGGGCATTGGGGGATGGGGCAGGAGGATTGTTTGGGCCAGGGAGAGGACTGGGAGTTCAAGTGTGTAGGAGAGTATGTGGGAGTGGTGTGTGCAGGTGGTTAGGGCAGAAGGAAAGAAAGGAGAGCCCGCTGCAAGTGTCAGCCTGCGTCTGTGGGTAGATATCCTGCTGGTGGGCCGGGCATGGTGGCTTATGCCTGTAATCTCAGCACTTTGGGAGGGCAGGGTGGGCAGATCACTTGAGCTTAGGAGTTTGAGACTAGCCTGGCCAACACAGGGACACCCTGTTTTTACAAAAATACAAAAATTAGCCGGGTGCGGTGGCACAGGCCTGTAGTCCCAGCTACTTGGGGGTTTGAGGTGGGAGGATCGCTTGAGCCTGGGAGGTGGAGGCTGCAGCGAGCTGTGTTCATGCCATGGCACTCCAGCCTGGGCCATCGAGTGAGACGCTGTCCAAAAAAAAAAAAGAGAAAAAGAGAAAGAGGAAAGAAAGAGAAGAAAAGAAAGAAAGAAAGAAAGGAAGGAAGGAAGGAAGGAAGGAAGGAAGGAAGGAAGGAAGAGAAATAAAAGAAGAAAAGAAAAGAAAGAAAAATAGAAATTCTGCTGGTAGAGGAGGACTGTTAGGAAGGTCTGCACTCAGTGTCTACACTCGGGCTTCTCTTAATCAAATCGACATGAGAGTTTGGGGTGGGGCAGGAGTGAGTCTGCGTGTCTGAGGCTAGCGGTGTGGGAATCAAGTGTAAGAGGGTGTGTTACGGGACCTGTGAGCTAATGGGAGGTGAGAGAGGAAGGTGGGGTCACAGCTCACCGTGGGTAAGGTGTGAGGTGGCCACTATAGGGCCCTGGAGGCCAGAGTGATCGTAGGGGTGTCAGTGCCCCTCACTTAATCCCCTTGTCACCACTCCAGGCCATATGTGAATCAGAGACCTACCTCCTGTTCCAGGAGAGGGGCCGGCCAAGACCTTACCTGGCTTAGATGGGCGAGTTTGTGGAAAGGGTCTAAGACTAGAGGAGTGTGTGTGTGTGTGTGTGTGTGTGTGTGTGTGTGTAGAAGTGACCGTGAGTGTAGGAGGCCTTGACTGGATCTCTCTCTTGGGGGGATTTCAAGTGACAAAAATGGTGAAGGCTAGCGGGCCACTTCTGTCGGCTGGGGCGCCCCCTGGTGGATGAGGGCGTTTGTGGGCGTGTTAATTACAGCAGCCGCCCAAATTTGAATGCTGGCTCTACAGGGGTCCGGGTGGAAGAGGGGAAGGGGAAAGGGGGAGAAGGGGTGGGAAGGGGAAAGGGGGAGGAGGGGTGAGACGGGAGGGGGGACGGGGTGGTGGTGTTGCAGAGAGACTGGGTCAGTTTGTGACTCAGTGGGTCTGCTCACTCCCTGGGGATCTCTTCGGGTGGAGTCAGTGTGGGTGACAGTGGGAGAGAGAAGGAGGTCAGGACTACTTGGGGAGGGCCGTCAGGGGTGCCTGCCTCCTTCCTTCAGTCTTACCTTCAAAGAGCCGCCAGGGCATGCGGGCATGTGAGGTTACCTTCCTGTGCCTCAGATTCCTCACCTGGAAAATGCAGATAATAAAAGCATCCCGGGGTGAACTGTGCCCAGCACATGATGGGTGCATTTACTCATTCAACAAATATCTACTGAGCATCTATTTTTTTTTTTTTTTTTGGAGACAGGGTCTTGCTCAGTTGTCCAGGCTGGAGTGTAGTGGTGTGATCATAGCTCACTGCAGCTTCGATCTCCTGGGTTCAACCAATCCTCCTGACTCAGCCTCCTGAGTAGCTGGGACCATAGGCATGTGCCACCATGCCCAGCTATTTATTTTTTTTTTAGTAGAGACCAGGTCTCGCTATGTTGCCCAGGCTGTTCTCCTGAGCTCAAGCGGTCCTCTCATCTCAGCCTCCCAGATTGCTGGGATTACAGGCATGAGTCACGGCGCCCTGCTTACTTAGTTTTTTGTTTGTTTGTTTGTTTGTTTGTTTGCTTTTAGAGACAGAGTCTCGCTCTGCCACCCAGGCTGGAGTGCAGTGGTGAGACCACAGCTCACTGCAGCCTCAGCCTCCCAGGTTCAAGCTATCCTCCCACTTTAGCCTTGCAAGTAGCTGGGACTACACTGCTGCGCCATCATGCCCAGCTAATTTTAATTTTTTTTTGTAGACACAGGGGTCTGGATATGTTGCCCAGGTTGGTCTCAAACTCCTGGGCTCAAGCAGTGCTCTCATCTAGGCCTCCCGAAGTACTGGGATTGCAGACTGGAGCCATCGCACCTGGCCGCATTATTCTTTCTTTCTTATTATTTATTTATTTATTTTTGAGAGGGAGTCTCACTCTTGTTGCCCAGGCTGGAGTGCAATGGCACGATCTCAGCTCACTGCAACCTCCACCTCCTGAGTTCAAGTGATTCTCCTGCCTCAGCCTCCTGAGTGGGGGAGTATAAGCATGCGCCACCATGCCCGGCTAATTTTGTATTTTTAGTAGAGACTACTACCATGTTGGCCAGGCTGGTCTCGAACTCCCATCCTCAGGTGATCCACCTGCCTGGGCCTCCCAAAGTGCCGGGATTACAGGTGTGAGCCACTGCGCCTGGCCTGCCAGTCACCTCTTAAAATGCTTTACCTATATTTACTCATTTAATCCTCACAACACTCCAGTGAGGCATCATCCTCTTTTTACAGATGAGGAAACTGAGGCCCAGAAAGGTTAAGTCATTTGCCAAGGTCACATGGCCACCAAGTGGCAGAGCTAGGATTTGAACCCTGGAGGTGTGACTACTGTTTCTAACCTGCACTGCTGCTGTCAGGCCTGCAGAAGGCGTTGAGCAGGGCGGGGTGACCGTGAGCGTGGCTGCTGGGAGAGACAGCCCCGGGTGGGGTCTCTGGAGCCAGGAGGGACTTGGGTGGGGGGCGGTGAGGGGGTGTCTGCTGGAAGCATGTTGGTGAGAAGTCTGTGTGGGCACCTGGGAGGTGTCTCTGCGTCTCTTAGTATTGCAGTGTGTGTGCGTGTGGCTGTGTGAGTCCGTGCGAAGGTGTGTGAGTAGGAGTGTGTGGGAGGCTGTGAGTATCCGCGTGAATGTGTGTGTAAACTGCCATGCGTGGGCGTGTGCGAGTCCAGGTGTGCATGTGGTTGTGTGCACGCGAGAGCAGGATATGTGGACGAGTGAGGGCGGGTGAGTGACGGTGCGTGCCCCGGGCCCCTCCTCCGCGCCGTCCCGTCCCCGCGGGGTCCCGGGGGCCCCCTGGCCTGGGACTACCACTCCCAGCATGGCCCGGGCGGGCCCGCCCCGTCGCCGCGATTGGCCGTGGCCCTCGTGCTCCCGCCCCCCGGGAATGAATGGATGGGCGGCCTCAGCGCCCGCCCGACCGCTGGGAGGACCGACCCGGCGGGGACCTGCTGGGGGCAGGACCCGGGGAGCAAGATGGCCACTGTCATCCCTGGCCCCCTGAGGTGGTGCGGGCCGGCGGGAGGCGGAGAGGAAGCGCGGGCGGGTCTACGCGGGCCTGTGTGTGTGTGGCGACCGGGGGTGGGGCCGAAGGGGTGTCTGGGGGGCTGTCACCGAGTGCGGGGCTGCGCGGGGGTGCGAGAGTGTGTGACTGTGGGTCTCTGACAAGAATGGTGTCGGATGCACCGCTCCCTGGCGGGGTGGAGGGCGTGGGGGGCCTCCAGATTCTTTTTGGGGAAGGGAGACATCATCCCTTCCCTGCAACCCTCGGGTCTGGGAGAGACTGAAATGACCCGGGGGTGCGGGGGCCTTGGCAACTGGAGTGAAGTCCACACTACCTTTGTCTTGGGATGTGGAGTGTGTGTGTGTATCACTTATTTGTGTTCTGGTTTTTTTAAGAATTTTTGGGGGATAGGTGTGTGGACATGTGTCTGTTTCCTTTTATTCTGCACTAGATATCTTTGGATATTTGGGTCTCCCAGTGTGTGTCCGTGTCCTTTGGAACTATATGTCATTTGTCTTGTGTTCTGTGTTTTTGGGTATGTAGGGCTGCGTGTATTTGTGTGTAAATTTTTGTGTGACTATGGGTGGATTTGGCTGTTTCTGTGTTTTATATGTGTGTGTGTCTGTGTGGATGTGTGATATTTTAGATACTGGTTGCGCATCGTGCATCTTTGTAAATGTGTGTGTGTACCTGTGTGAATCTGTGTGATTTCTTTGTGTTGTGTGTCTGGATATTGTGTGTGTGGTTTGTGTTGTGTCTTTGGATACATGGGTAAGTGCCTAGGGGCGCAAGTGGTTTCTGTAGTTCCTGTCTTTTGACATGCTTGTGTCTTTGGATGCATGAGGGGGTGTATGTGTGTGTGGTGTGATGTTTCCATGTTGTGTGTCTTTGTGTGGGTGATGTGTTTCTGGTGTGTGTCTGTGGATATGTGATGTGTCTTTGTGCATGGTTATTTGTGTGATTTGTCTCCACACTATGGAACTTGGGATATTTGTCTTTTTCAGTAGATATTTATGTGTGCACGTGTGTGAGGTTTGTCTGTTTCTCCTTTGTGAGTATTGGGATTTGTCTCTCTTTGTGTGTGAATCCCGTGTGACTGTGTGTGATTTGTGTTGTGTGTCTGCATGTGTTCAGGTAGGGATACGTCCCGGTGTGTTTTTGTTTGTTTCTGTATCGTGTTTCTACTCATGAGCTGGGGGCCTGTTTGAGTCCCAGTTTGGGGGCCCCTGGGCCCTGTCCCCTTCCCCCAGCCTGGGTCCCGGAGTGGGAGGAGGGGAGAGGTGAGGCTGGAGGGGTCGGCCCACCCCTCCCGAGCCTGGGCGGCCCGGCAGCCGGGGAAGGGGTGCTGGGCGACCCTGTGCGCCTGCCCTTGCTGACAGCCGCCCGCCCGTTCGCCGCCCCTCTAGCCTAGGCGAGGACTTCTACCGCGAGGCCATCGAGCACTGCCGCAGTTACAACGCGCGCCTGTGCGCCGAGCGCAGCCTGCGACTGCCCTTCCTCGACTCGCAGACCGGCGTGGCCCAGAACAACTGCTACATCTGGATGGAGAAGACCCACCGCGGGCCGGGTACCGCCGGGAGGGCTGGCGCAGGGCGGGGCGGGGCCAGGCCGCCCCACCGCCGCCGCCCTCTCACCCCCCTCTCTCTCCAGGTTTGGCCCCGGGACAGATTTACACGTACCCCGCCCGCTGTTGGAGGAAGAAACGGAGACTCAACATCCTGGAGGACCCCAGACTCAGGCCCTGCGAGTACAAGATCGGTGGGTGCAGCCGCTGGGGCCCCCATCGGTGTCCCAGCGCCTGCTGTGTGTCCTAGCACTCGTCCATCACCTTTATCGCCTTCTAGCAAGTGTCTGCCTGGCTGGCTGTGTGTCTGTCTGCCCATGTGCGTCCCGGGTGTTTCCCAGAGATTCCACAGTTTCTCTGAGTCACTGAGTGGCGACTGCATCTCCTCCTACATGGGCCCAGGTGCCCAGTTGTTGTTATTTATTTATTTATTTATTTATTTATTTATTTTTGAGACAGAGTTTCACCCAGGCTGGCGTGCAATGGCGTGATCCCCCAACCTCCACCTAGCGGGGAGTTGAACCTTGAACCCGCAACTTCCGCCTAGCAGGTTCAAGCGATTCTGCCTCAGCCTTCCGAGTAGCTGGGATTACAGGCATGCGCCACCATGCCCGGCTGATTTTGTATTTTTAGTAGAAACGGGGTTTCACCATGTTGGTCAGGCTGGTCTGGAACTCCTGACCTCAGGTGATCTGGCCACCTCGGCCTCCCAAAGTGCTGGGATTACAGGTGTGAGCCACCGCGCCTGGCCTGTTGTTTTTTAAATAGAGGCAGGGTGTTACTATGTTGCCCAGTCTGGTCTTGAACTCCTGAGCTCAAGGGATCCTCCTGTCTCAGCCCTCCAAAGTGCAGGGATTATAGGCGTGAACCACCATGCCCCACCAAGGGTCCCAGTGGTATTGGAGGGCATAGTGATATCTGTTAGGTGTGTGTGGGTGTATGGAGTTGCTGACTGTGTCCCTTCCCCTGGGAACTGGGATGGATCAGTCTGCCTGTATTTTTTTTTTTTTTGAGATGGAGTCTGGCTCTGTCACCCAGGCTGGAGTACAGTGGCGCAATCTCAGCTCACTGCAACCTCCGCCTAGTGGGTTCAAGCGATTCTCCTGTCTCAGCCTCCTGAGTAGCTGGGATTACAGATGCACACTGACATGCCCGGCTAATTTTTTTGTATTTTTAGTAGAGACAGGGTTTCACCATGTTGGCCAGGCTGGTCTCGAACTCCTGACCTCAGGTGATCCACCTGCCTTGGCCTCCCAGAGTGCTGGGATTACAGGCTTGAGTCACCATGCCCGGCCATCTGCCTGTATTTTTTTCTGTGGGTGCCTGAGGGTGTCTGCCTCTGTATCTCCCCAAGGGCGTCTGGATGTCTCAGTGTCTGGTTGGAGCTCTTTCCTCTCTTAGGTGTATCTTCCCAGGTGTCTCCAAGTGTCTTAGAAGGCTTGTGTCTTGTGTATGTCTGGTCTGTCAGGGTGTCCGGCTCCTCCCGAGTGTGTCTGGGTGTGTTAGGCGGTGCGGCCGTCTCTTTCTGTGGGTGTGTGGGTGCCTCGGAGTGTCTGGGAGAATCTTCCTGATGGTGTCTGGCGTATCAGGTGTATTTCTGCACGTGTGTGCCAGTCCATCAGAGGATCTGGACTTACCCTTGAATGTGTTTAGGAATATCGGGATCCTCGGGGTCAGTTTCTCTTCCTGAGTCCGAGGGTCTGTGTGTACCCAGGAGCGTGGCAGTGCCCACCTGGCTGTGTCTCTTCCTGTCTGTCTCCTGTGTGTGTTTGTGTGTATCTAGCTGAGTGATTCTCCCTGAGTATGTCGGTATCTCCCCGCTATGTGTCCAAGCATCTCATCTGGCTGTGTCTTCCCCAGGGTCTAGGTGTATCTGGAGGGCTAATTGTTTCTTTCTTTTTTTCTTTTTTCTTTTTCTTTTTCTTTTTTTTTTTTGAGACGGAGTCTTGCTCTGTCGCCCAGGCTGGAGTGCAGTGGCGCGATCTCACTGCAAGCTCCGCCTCCTGGGTTCACGCCATTCTCCTGCCTCAGCCTCCCGAGTAGCTGGGACTACAGGCGCCTGCCACTACGCCCAGCTAATTTTTTGTATTTTTAGTAGAGACGGGGTTTCACCGTGTTAGCCAGGATGGTCTCGATCTCCTGACCTCATGATCTGCCCGCCTCGGCCTCCCAAAGTGCTGGGATTACAGGCGTGAGCCACCGCACCCGGCCTCTTTCTTTCTTTCTCTTTCTTTCTTTCTTTCTCTTTCTTTCTCTCTCTCTCTTTTTCTTTTCTTTCCTTCCTTCCTTTCTTTCTTTCTTTCCTTCCTTCTTTCTTTCTTTCTCTCTCTTTCTTTTTCTTTTCTTTCCCTCCTTCCTTCCTTCTTCCTTTCTTTTTTTTTTTCACCCAGTTTGGAGTGCAGTGGCACGATCTCGGCTCACTGCAACCTCCGCATCCCGGGTTCAAGTGATTCTCTGCCTCAACCTCCTGAGTAGCTGGGATTACAGGCATGTGCCCCTACACCCGGCTAATTTTTGTATTTTTTTTTTTTTAAGTAGAGATGAGGTTTTACCATGTTGGCCAGGCTGGTCTCAAACTCCTGACCTCAAGTGATCCACCCGCCTCAGCCTCCTAAAGTGTTGGGATTACAGGTGTGAGCCAACGCGCCTGGCCAGCTAATTGTCTCTGAGCATTTCTGAGTGTACCCATGGGTCCAGCTATGTCTCCTCCCTGTGTCTGGGTGTCTCCAAGGATCTGGCTATACCTCTTTGAGTCTCTAGGCTGTATCTGAGAGTGTGGCTTATGCCTGTAATTCCAGCACTTTGGAAGGCCGAGGCAGAGGATCGCTTGAACTCAGGAGTTTGAGACCAGCCTGATTAACACGATGAAACCCCATCTCTACCAAAAATACAAAAATTAGCCCAGTGTGGTAGCATGCCAGCTACTCTGCCTGTAGTCCCAGCTACTCAGGAGGCTGAGGTGGGAGGATCACTTGAGCCTGGGAGTCGCAGTGAGCTGAGATTGCGCCACTGCACTCCAACCTGGGTGACAGAGCGAGACCCTGTCTCAAAAAAAAAAGAAAAAAGACAGCATGGCTGGGCCTCTTCCTTCCCGCATCTGTCTCAGACGATCTGTCTGGATGTCCCCTGCGGGTGTCCCTGTGTCTCCTCTGCGAGTGTCTGGATCTGTCCATATTTGTCTGGGTATGTTTGAGAGTCGCTGTGTCTTCCCTGAGTAGGTCTGGGTGTGCCTGATGGCCTAACTGTGTCTTTTTCTGAGGCTTTCTGGTGTATCCAAAGTTCTGACCGTGTCTCCTGCTGTGCATCCCAGGGCATCTGAGGGCGTGACTGGGTCTCCCCAGAGTCTGGGCCTCCCTCCTAGGGCATGTGGTTAAATCCTTGCCTCTGCAGCCTCTTCCCTCCTGCAAAGAGCATGGTCCCCCCACCTGCATAGTTTGAGGAGTCCTCCGGGGTCAACTTCCCCATCTGACCCCCCCATGGCCCTGTCCCCAGACTGTGAAGCACCCCTGAAGAAGGAGGGTGGCCTCCCGGAAGGGCCGGTCCTCGAGGCTCTACTGTGTGCAGAGACGGGGGAGAAGAAGATTGAGCTGAAGGAGGAGGAGACCATTATGGACTGTCAGGTGGGCCCACCTCTGGGGGACCCCCGCTGCATGGCTTCGTCTCACCCCTGCCTGCCACCAGCCCGGGCCCTCACGTTCCTGCTCTGAAACCCCCCCGGTTTCTTCTGGCTGTTGGGCATCCCAGTCACCATCCTCCCAGACTTCATCTCTATTTGGAAGAACTCCTGACTTATACTCTCACCCCCAATCTCCACCTTTGCCCAGAGCCCCTCAAAAGCAGGTCAGTGGCCCCCACTTTCTTGACCCGTCTCCTTTCTCTATTGCCCAGAAACAGCAGTTGCTGGAGTTTCCGCATGACCTCGAGGTGGAAGACTTGGAGGATGACATTCCCAGGAGGAAGAACAGGGCCAAAGGAAAGGTATCACCCCAAGCTTCTCCTCTTCCCCGCTCCCCTCAATGACAGGTCTCATTCATGGAGCAGGTGCAGTGGTCCGCCCCTGCCACAGTCTGACCTCAGTCTGACCTCATTGAATCCCCAGAGCGGCCTGCAGGGGTGGGGGATTTTATACCCATTTTACAGATGAGGAAACTGAGGCTCATCTGTATTAAGCCATTTGCAAAGCAGAGATTATGCAGTGGGTTAGAGCTACCTTCATCCCCATGCCACAGAGGAAGAAGCTGAACCTTGGAGAGGTTCAAGGCCCCACAGCTAGGACATTTGTACAGCTGCAATTTGAATTTGCAAAAGACACTGTTTTCTCACTTTCTTTTTTCTTTTTTTTCTTTTTTTTGAGACGGAGTCTCGCTCTGTCACAGGCTAGAGTGCAGTGGCGCAATATCTGCTCACTGCAACCTCCGCCTCCCGGGTTCAAGCGATTCTCCTGCCTCAGCCTCCCGAGTAGCTGGGACTACAGGCACGCGCCACCATGCCCAGCTAATTTTTCTATTTTTAGTAGAGACGGGGCTTCACCATGTTGGCCAAGGTGGTCTCGATCTCTTGACCTCGTGATCCGCCTGCCTCGGCCTCCCAAAGTGCTGGGATTACAGGTGTGAGCCACCACGCCTGGCCTGTTTTCTCACTTTCTTGGCCCCTCACTCCTGACTCTCCCCACAGGCATATGGCATCGGGGGTCTCCGGAAACGCCAGGACACCGCTTCCCTGGAGGACCGAGACAAGCCGTATGTCTGTGATAGTGAGTCCTTCTGAAGAGGGGGAAAGGCAGAGAGAGGGGTGCCCAGAGACTCCCCACCTCGTGGCCCTCTCCCTCCCGTTCCAGACCCGGGTTGGGAGGCTGCTCAGGTCTCTGGCTGAGGGGGGAGGTGTGATCCTGGAGGCCAGGGTGGAGGCGGCAGGGGCCCGGAGGGGCTGACAGGCCCTCCTGGCTCGCTCGCTCCCCAGTCTGTGGGAAACGGTATAAGAACCGGCCGGGGCTCAGCTACCACTACACCCACACCCACCTGGCCGAGGAGGAGGGGGAGGAGAACGCCGAACGCCACGCCCTGCCCTTCCACCGGAAAAACAACCATAAACGTGAGCTGGCAGGCCAGGTGGGGGTGGCCAGGGGCCCTGGGAGTGGGGAAGAGGAGCCCAGCTGGGGGTGGGGGTGGGGGGGCATTAGACATTTCTGGAAAATCTCCAGCTCAGCCGTTCCCTCCCCCCACCGACCATGGGGATGCTGGCTCCGGGGTTGCCATGGCAACCAACCATCGCTCCTTCGCTCCTGGCCGGGCGTAATATTTCTGGGTCTGATTTATTGTTTCAATTAGAGCTTGGGGAGGGGGGGTGATAGATGGCTCCCCTCCCGCCCTGCCTTCCCTTTCTCCTTTCTCTGCTAAGCTTTGGTCAAGGGGCAGGGTCTGTGGCCTGGGAGCCCTTGGCTTCCGCCCTTGCCAATCCCATGCCAGTTCTGACAGCTGAAGGATGGGGGAGGGGAGGAGGGTTTGGGAGAGGCAGTAGGGAGACACTGTCTTCCCACCTATCTCTCAGAGGCAGAGGCTGAGTGTCTTCACCCCTGGCCACTACACACCCACGCACCTCAGTGTTCGGAGTTTTTCTTCCGAGTGTCTGTTTCCATACCAGATCTTGGCTGGGGTACTCGCTGAATTTGTTAGATACAAATTACTGAGGGTGCAGTTGGGAGTGGCTGGCTGGGAGACATGTATGTGAGAAGGGAGGCAGGGAGCCCTTCCTCAAGCTGTCTACCAAGTTTTGACCCAATAAAGAGGACATGTCAGTTGTCTCAAGGAGTTGGGAATCCTGGCTGGGTGCAGTGGCTCACGCTTATAATCCCGCCACTTTGTGGCAGTGGCCGAGGTGGGAGGATCACTGGAGGCCAGGAGTTGGAGACCAGCCTGGGCAACATACCAAGACCCTGCCTTTATTTTTAATTGAAAAAAAAATTTAAAAAGGCAGAGTTGGGAGTCCCGATGAGAACTGTTTTCACCTCTCCCCACAGCTTGGGGTAGCTACTCACTCTTCCCAGCTCCCCACGCCTGGACTAAGAGGTCCATCCTTGGGGCTGAGGCTGGGGGCAGGGTGGAGCCTTGCCTGTGGTGAGAGTCCCTCTCTCTGTCCCCCCTACCCCAGAGTTTTACAAAGAATTGGCCTGGGTCCCTGAGGCACAAAGGAAACACACAGGTACGGATGCCTCCTTCTGCTCCTAAAGTCTGCAGCCACCTTTGCGGGGTGCCCTTGCCTGCCCCGTGCCAATGCCTGTCTGCTGTCTTGCAGCCAAGAAGGCGCCCGACGGCACTGTCATCCCCAACGGCTACTGTGACTTCTGCCTGGGGGGCTCCAAGAAGACGGGGTGTCCCGAGGACCTCATCTCCTGTGCGGACTGTGGGCGATCAGGTGATGCTCCCCACCTGAGGTTTCTGGGGGCCGGGTGCAGAGGACATTCAGGAGTGCAGACCTGGAGGGAGGGAGGCAAGGCGGTGAGGACCGAGGGGACCCGGAGCATGTAGGGGATACTGTGGATAACCAGAGCTAGCGAGGCTGATGCAACTGCTGAGGATTGTGGGAATTGGGTCGGATCAGTGAGGCTTTAGGGATAATGGGATGTGGCTCTCATGGCACTGTGGGTAGCTGCCTGTGCTTAGCATGGCATCAAGAGTAGTGAGAGGCCAGGTGTGGTGGCTCACGCCTGTAATCCCAGCACTTTGGGAGGCAGAGGTGGGAGGATCACTTGAGGCCAGGAATTTGAGACCAGCCTGAGCAACATAGCAAGACCCCCATCTCTACAAAAAATTTAAAAATTATCCAGGTGTGTTGTTGTGCACCTGTAATCCCAGCAACTCAGGAGGCTGAGGCCGGAGGCTCCCTTGAGCCCAGGAGTTTGAGACCAGCCTGGGCAACATAGTGAGATCCCATCTATATATAAAAAAAGTTAGCTGGGCATGGTGTTGCACCCCATTAGCCCCAGCTACTCGGGAGGCTGAAGTGGGAGGCTCGCTTGAGCCCAGAAGGTTTTTGTTTTGTTTTGTTTTGTTTTGTTTTTTGAGACAGAGTCTCCCTCTGTCACCCAGGCTGGAGTGCATTGGCATGATCTTGGCTCACTGCAACCTCCGCCTCCTGGGTTCAAGTGATTCTTGTGCTTCAGCCTCCCGAGTAGCTAGGATTACAGGCACCCGCCACCATGCCTGGCTAATTTTTAATATTTTTAGTAGAGACGGGGGTTTCACCATGTTGGCCAGGCTGGTCTCAAACTCCTGACCTCAGGTGATCTGCCTGCCTTGACCTCCCAAAGTGCTGGGATTACAGGCGTGAGCCACCGCAGCACCCAGCCCCTTGAATCTGGGAGTTTTTGACTAGCCAGGGCAACATAATGAGAGCCCATCTATTAAAAAAAAAATAGGCCAGGCTGGGTGATGTGGCTCACATCTGTAATCCCAGCACTTTGGGAGGCTGGGGCGAGCAGATCATGAGGTCAAGAGATCAAGACCATCCTGGCCAACATGGTGAAACCCCATCTCTATAAAAATACAAAATTTAGCTGGGTGTGGTGGTGCGTGCCTGTAGTTCCAGCTACTCCGGAGGCTGAGGCAGGAGAATCGCTTGAACCCGGGGCTCAGAGGTTGCCATGAGCCAAGATTGCACCACTGCACTCCACCCTGGGTATCAGAGCAAGACTCCGTCTCAAAAAAAAAAAAAAAAAAAAAAGGCTGGGCATAGTTTCGCACCCCATTAGTCCCAGCTACTCGGGAGGCTGAGGTGGGAGGATCGCTGGAGCCTGGGAGGTCAAGGCTGCAGAGTGCACTGTGATGGTGCCACTATGCTGCAGCCTGGGCAACAGAGTGAGACCTTGTTTCAAAAACCAAAACAAGACAAAAGGAGTAGCAAGAGACAGGGGCCAAGGCATGGCAGGTAGTGGGCTGTGTGGTGTGAGTGACGGACACCACCACCTGGGCACCGGTAGCAGGATGAGCTCGCCATAGAGTTGTGGTTAACAGAATGTGGTTTCCCATGGTGGGCTTGTGGGCAATATAGACTCTGGTTGCCTCAGCACAGTAGGTCATGAATTGTGGTTGTCGTGGCATCATGGGTAGTGAAATATGGTTGTCATGGCAACTCAGTATAATGGAATGTAGTTGTGATGGCACCGGGGCCGTGGTTGCAGGGGGCGGGCGCCATGGGTCGTGGCTGCAGGTAGCGGCTGCGGGTGTCTCTGCAGCGGGGCTGTGGAATGACTAAGCCTGGCGCTGCACAGTGCTGTGATGTGAGTAACAGTTTTGTTGCTGGGGCACCAAGTGGAATGGACTTCAGTTGCATGAAACCGAAGTGTGGGGACCCCGTTGTGGAAGGTGGTTGCCATGGCATTGTGGCTGGGAGAGTGTGGTTGCCACGTTGCTGTGGTTAACAGGACCCCTGGCCGTTCTGCTGTGGGTAATGGAAAGTGGCTGTCTCAGCACGGTGGTTAACAGAATGTGGTTGCCACGGTGTTGTGGGTGGTAGAAAGTGGTTGGCACAGCACTGTGGGTAATGGAATGCGGTTGCCATGGCGTTCTGGGGAGCAGAGTGTGGTTGCCATGGTGGTTGTGGTAGGAGACTGTGGTGGCCGGGGGACTGCTGCCGGCCACGTGGTTGCTGGGCAGGTGTGGGGTCAGGCTGTGGATCCCGGCAGCTCATCCTGGCGTCATGAGCCAGGGGTAGGGGCTGAGCTATGGCTCCCCTGCCGGTCAGTGCCCACCAGGGGCACGGTGACCTCCTAACTGCACCCCTGCCCCTTGGCCCCCAGGACACCCCTCGTGTTTACAATTCACGGTGAACATGACGGCAGCCGTGCGGACCTACCGCTGGCAGTGCATCGAGTGCAAATCCTGCAGCCTGTGCGGAACCTCCGAGAACGACGTGAGTGCCGCCCGCCCCCCGCGTGCCCTGCTGCCCGCCCCGCCTGGCACGTCCACCTCTGCCCCTTAAGCCTAAAGCCTGTGCCTGAGCCTTCCCTGGTGAACACCAGTCCCCTGTGTTATCATTATGCCGGTGTCCATAAATCGAACCTGGCCCTTTTTCCTCTTCATCTCTCTGGATCCTCCCAACCACCCTCTGAAGCAGGTGGTCTTGTTTCCACTTCACAGGGAAGAAACTGAGCTCAGAGAGGGAAAGAGACCTGCCCAGGGTCAGCCAGCTAGGGAAATGGCAGAGCTGAGATTTAAAGCCATGACCACTGCTGGCAGAGCTGGTATCAGATCATCTTAGGGTTGTTTAAAGCCTTCCACAGGCGGAGCGCGGTGGCTCACGCCTGGAATCCCAGCACTCTGGGAGGCTGAGGTGGGTGGACCACCTGAGATCAGGAGTTTGAGACCAGCCTGGCCAACGTGGTGAAACCCCATCTCTACAAAAATACAGAAATTAGCTGGGTGCCTGTAATCCCAGCTACTCGGGAGGCTGAGGCAGGAGAATGGCTTGAGCCCAGGAGGTGGAGATTGCAGTGAGCCGAGATGGCGCCACTGCACACTCCAGCCTGGGTGACAGAGCGAGATTCCGTCTCAAAAAAAAAAAAAACAAACAAAAACAAAAGCCATGACCGTTTCTGGCAGAGCTGCTATCAGATCATCTTGGTGTCATTTAAACTTCCCACAGACCGGGAGCGGTGGCCCACCTGTGTAATCCCAGCACTTTGGGAGGCTGAGGAATTTTGAGCCCAGGAGTTCTAGACCAGACCAGCCTGGGCAACATAGTGAGACTCCCGTCTCAAAAAAAAAAAAAAAAAAAAAAAAGTCGTGCATGGTGGCGCACACCTGTAGTCCCAGCTCAGGAGACTGAGGCAGGAGAATCACTTGAGCCCCAAGGAGTGTGAGGCTGCAGTGAGCTGTGACTGCACCACCGCACTTCCAGCCTGGGCAACAGGGTAGGACCCTGTCTCTAAAAATATAAAATAATAATAATAATAAGCCTTCCACAGAGCCTTATAAAACCCCCACTATAAATCGCAAAGGGACTGTCCTGAGGGATATGTGTTTGGCTAAGCAGTGTTGCGCACACATTTCCTGCTGCAAAGACCTTCTCAGAACCTTTCTCGGAAGGCCTCACCTCCCCCAGCCCCCTTGACCTAGCCCCTGCCCCAGCCCCCCACCCCCGTTTCTGGTGCCCGTGCCCCCAGGGTGCCAGCTGGGCGGGTCTCACCCCCCAGGACCAGCTGCTGTTTTGTGATGACTGCGATCGGGGTTACCACATGTACTGCCTGAGTCCCCCCATGGCGGAGCCCCCGGAAGGTGAGAGGAGAGGTGGGCATCCCATGGGGCGGGTGGGTGGGAACGCCATCTCCTGGTTGTGGAAGACTGTGTGTCCTCGGGGTGGGAAGGGGCTGGGGCAGCCCTCCCGGACCCGGGCCTGACTTCAGCTTCGGCTGCCCCCGCAGGGAGCTGGAGCTGTCACCTCTGTCTCCGGCACCTGAAGGAAAAGGCTTCTGCTTACATCACCCTCACCTAGGCCGGCTCGGCTCGCCGCGACTCTGGGGTGGTGCTCGCCTACCTGCCTCTCCGAGCTCCTCAATTCTCCCCCACCCTGAACATCCCGCAGGGGGAGGGGGAGAGGGGGAAGCCGAGAGGGGGCTGGGCCACCCCCTCCCCTCTGTGCAAGTGGAATGTCTGCCCTGTGGGTGGGTGGGCCCGGCCAGGGCCTCTCCCTCCCTCCCTCCCTCTCTGTCCCTTGGCAAATGGACACCAGGGGCTTCTCCCCTCAAAGCCATACCCCGCCTCTGGGCGGGCATGGGGGGTGGTGGGTGCCAGCCAGGGGCATGGACAGAGCCTTTTTCTAAAGAAAAAGACAAAAAGTTAAAAAAAAAAAAAAGAAGAAAAGAAAAGAAGTTAATATATACAAAGAGTCCTCCAAGGCCTGGCTGGGTGGAGGGGCGCTGCTGAGAGTGTCCACCGGGCACCCGCCTCTGCCGGCCCCCCGCCGGGCGCCCCAACCCCAATTTCTGGAGCTGCAGCCGTCCCGCGCCCCACCCAAGGTGGGCGCCTTCCCCTCTTGTGCCCAGGGCGGTGGGCGTGGTGTCCACCCGCCCCTCCTGGTGCCCACGGTGGATACTGCATGATGTGAACCTTGGTTTTGAACTCTGTTCCTGCCCCTCCCCGACCGCCCCAGCCTGTGCCCGCCCCGTGCCTGCCGTGGCTGGTGGGTGGCGGTGGTGGGGCCGGGTGGGCCCCCGCCCAGCGCCTGCTGGAATGAGAAGCACAGACTCCGCCACGGACTCCTTTTCTCTCCCTCCTCCCGCCCCGCCAGGCCTGGCGGCCCCCGCCCCCCTCGCTGGCCATTTTGGGGGAGTGAGGGGGCGTGGTTGTTTCTTGTGGTTGTGTGTGTTTGTTGTTCGGGTTTTAAAAAAGGGAAACTGAGACTGCAGGTGGGGGAGGTGGTGGGTTTTGGGGGGATGTCCCCTAATCCAGGAGTGCCCCCTCACTTGTCACCGAGTCTCCTCTATTGCCTGCCTCTGCTGTGAATTAACTTGTTCTGTGTATTAAACTGGGCCTGACCCCTCTGCCCACGACTGCCTCGTTCTCCCGTCTGGTTTGGGGCATCACCAAGAAGGAGGACCGGGGGTCGACGGGCCTTGTTGGGGGTGAGGCGACCAGCCAGCCCCTACCTCCATCCACCTCCTTCTTCCCCTGCCTGCACCCTGCCTCTCCCCGGCTTTGTCCCAGCTCCGCCCTGCTTTGCCAGAAAGGAGGAGAAGGGGGATGGGGTGGAGGGGCTCCCGCCCAGCCAGCTGTGGTTGCCCTGGCAACGGGCTGCTGCAGCTGCAGCGGGCGCAGCCGGGAGGGAGGCGGGAGCCGGGCCGGGGGAAGGGAAGGGCTGGGAAGAGGACGGTGGGTTGGCCCCTCCTGAGGCTGGGGTGGGGAACGGGGGTGTCAGGAGGTGTCATCCCAGACCCAGACATCTCCAGGGGGCTCCGTGTCCTGGATGTGGGGCAAATCAGCGGTGGCGATAAGGTGGAAAGAGAGGCGCTAAGGGAGGGCAGGAGGGTATCTAGACACGGGCACTGGGAGAGAGACTGAGATGTGGGCGACGGGTGGGGGGCGGGAGTGAGGAGTGAGGGAACTAGGACACAGATCAGGAGAGAGAAAGAGACGAGGACAGTCACACAGTTATTGAGAGAATCAGAAAAAAGAGCAAGAGGGTGCAGAAGGGAGAGAGACAGGAGGAAGGACCAGGAGAGAGGAAGGGAGCAGGGGTGAGAAGGAGGTTTAACGGCAGAGAGGGAATAACTAATAAAAAATAGCTGACATGCTGGGAGAGACGGGAGGAGGAGAAGGAGGACGGTGATTGGGGAAGAGCAGCAGCAGATTTAGGGAGAGGTCCTCCAAGAGGGGAGGCAGAGAAGGAGGTAACATCTATCAGGAGAGGGAAGAGTGAGAGGGAGCCACATTGCGGGTGGAGAGAGAGAGACTTGGGATCAGGGGCAGGCAAAGTCCCAGGACAACAGGCAGAGATGGGGAGAGACGCGGGCGGCAGGGGAGAGAAGGAGACAGACTTTAGGGGAACAGCAGAACAATCTGCAGAGAGAGCCGGAGGTATGAGGGACCCAGAAAGATTGGGGAGGAGAGACAGGGATGTCCGAGACGGGCAGAGGAAGCTGGAAACTGGGACACGAAGGGAAGGGCCGGGCCTCAAAGCACAGTTTGGGCGCGACCAGGGGCTGGCGTGCGCGCGAGTTGTGGGGTGCTGGAAGCAGCTGGCGTGGCTCCGGCGCCAGGAGAGGATGTGAGAACAGCCTGTTCCCAGGCTTCCCGCCCCCTTCGCCCGGTGGCGGGGGGAGGGCAGTGCGGGTTGAGGACGGGGCCTCGAGGAGGAGGAGGGCGGAGACAGGGAGGGTGTCTAGAACTCCAGAATTTTTAGGAGATGTGGGAATGGCTGGTCCTGCTCCTCCGGATGCCAGCCCCACGCCTTTTGGAAAAAGACATTTTTTGGAGGGGGCAGGGTCTGAGTCAGAGAAGCACTGGGTTTTAGCTCAGAGATGTGAAACTCCACGACAGGTACATGGGTAAGGGAGGCAGAAAGACCCCACCTGGCCAGCCCCGTCAGGAGGCTAGGCTTCCCTCAAGGGGCTGGACTTCGGGATTTTCAGGAGGAATTTCCTGATTCAGAAACCAGTTTGATCCCGGTTCCCAAAATGCAAATGTTCACCAGGCCAGATGCAGATCTGGGGCGATCAGGGGCTGCTTTCTACCCCCAAAGCATTCACTTGGCAAGTGGCAGCAGGGGTCTGCTCCCACCTCTACAGACAGAAGGGGGAAGAGTGTCCCAAATGCAGCCATGTGGCCAGGGCCAAAGGAGGCAGGGGCCCCTTGTGAGTCTTGCAGCAAAGGACAGATCAACCAAGCTGGAAACCTGGCCTTCCTCATGTGCAATATCCATTAAAAAAAAAAGTTAAGCTGGGCGCGGTGGCTCACACTTGTAATGCAGCACTTTGGGAGGCCGAGGTGGGCAGATCAGTTGAGGTCAGGAGTTCGAGACCAGCCTGGCCAACATGGTGAAATCTCGTCTCTACAAAAACACAAAAATTAGCCGGGTCCCCGTAATTCCAGCTACTCGGGAAGCTAAGGCAGGAGAATCACTTGAACCTAGGACGTGGAGGTTGCAGTGAGCTGAGATTGCACCACTGCACTCCAGCCTGGGTGACAGAGTTTCTGTTTCGAAAAAAAGTTAAAAAAAAAAAAAAAAAGGTTTTTTTAGAGGTAGGATCTTGCTATGTTGTCCAGGCTGGTTTTGAATTCCTAGGCTCAAGCAATCCTCCTGCCTCAGCCTCTCAAAAAGTGCTGGGATTACAGGCATGAGCCACTGCACCTGGCTGAATGTCCAGATTAAAAGTTGGCCACTATTTCTAAGACCCAACACAACCCTCTGGGCTGGGGCTGGCCTTCAGGCCTCCAGTATATGACCTCTGAGGCAGAATCTCACTCTTTTGAACTTAAGGACATTTCACATTCTGAGTGTTGGATTTCTGTCCTTTGGATTCCAAGGAAAAGAAGTTAGCAAGGCAGGTGCCCCTGGTTCTTAGGACATGTGTGTGGTGGTCATGGTGTGGGGGATTTGGGGACAGGAGCAGGAGGAGGGGCCGATGCTGGACCACACCCTCTGGTCAGCAACTCCAGGCAGCTGCCCCAAAAGTGAACACACAAGCCATTTCTATGAAACCTTTATTTCCTTTGAAACCTCCAGAAACATGCCAGAAAATCTCAAGACAGGGATGGGGAAAAAAAAAAGACAATAAAGAATAATAAAAAAAAAATCCAAATGAAACAAATCAACATATGAAAAAAAAAACCTGCTGCTATCTTCGGCCATTGGATAGAACATCAACCTCAAATTAAATAGATCTGTTTTTGCAGAAATCCTTAAAAAATAACAGAAAACAAAACCAAAAATCATAATTTACACTTGTCCATGTACATGATTAAGTCCCCAAAATGATTCGAATGATCTGAAGATGGGAGGAGACAACTGAAAAAAAAAAAAAAAAAGGGACCCGATGAGGGTCTAAGGGGTGGGGGTGGGGGACGGGTGGGCCCCCCAGAGAAGGGGATGGGGGAGAAGATGGCATCACAGTAGCTGGCCAGGGCTGAGGACGCTGCCTGGGGCACGCCCACCTCACTCTTGGTGTTGGGGGTGAGGGTGGGGGCAGGGGCAGCGCTGAGGTTTCCTCCTCCAGGGGGCCAGAGGCTGATCACAGGAGACGCGATAAGAACCCTCTTCTCTCACCCCCACCCATCCACACCGGCACCTCCGAGTGCCTGCGTCCTATGCAGTCCCCAGAGCCCCCTCCTCTGAGGTTCCTGACCCCAGAGAGAAGGCAGCAGAGGTCCCTGGACAAGGGCCGGGTTGCCTGGTGCTGGCTCACAGCCAGACCTGCTCCGCCAACTCCTCCCCGCCTGGTGCCTCCCAAAAAGGGCACCGGCCTGCCCTGACTTCATCCCTCTGGTCCTCCCACTGACCCCCAGCCCACAGGGGACACGCCTTGGTCCTCAGCTTGAGGTTGGGGGGATGAATCCACAGACTGTGGCCATACAGGCTTGTTCTGGCGCCAACTCTACATGAAAAAATAAATATATATATATATATATATATATCTTTTTCTGTTTGCTTTTAAAGAAGGAAAAAAAGAAACGGTTTCCTGGAGGAACAGCGTGGTACCACACCGGCATGGCCGCCCCTTATTGCCTTTAGAGAACCAGCGTCCAGTGGGGTTCGCGGGGTGCAGTGCTCCCCGGGGAGCATGGTGAGGGGGTCTGGTGGCCGCTGCTCGGAGAGATGGGCTGGGAGACTTGCAAAGGAAAAAAAAACCAGAGGAGGAGATGAAGGCTGTTCTCCTCCAGCCCTGTCCTGAGGGCTTCGGGAGCCCCTCCTGGAACCCAGAAGAGGCCGAGGCTGCTGGTCAGGGCCAGGTCGTGCCGGGAGGAGGAGGAGAGAGTCGGCTGTGTGGTGGCTCCACCGCCCCGGCCTGGCCTGGTTAGCTGGAAGGTGGAGGGGCCTGTGGACCCCTAGCCCAGGTGCAGTGGCCTCTGGCGGAAGAGGAGCTGATAGAAAAAGATCGTATAAACCGTCCTGGAGATCCAAATAGAGTTTCTCTCTCAAATAAATCGGCTCTGGAGGCTAGCCTTGCCTCTCTCTATCCTCAGGCCCCCAAGAAAATAATTTAAACTCTAAGAAAGTGCTCCTGGCTGCTTTTTGGGAGGAGGGGGTTAGGGAGGGGATCATGTTCGTGCTTTTTGGAGCTCACGTGCTAGGGACCGAGGCGCCCTGGTCTGTGTCCACGCGGGCCTCACCTCTCTGGGTGTGGGGAAGAAAGGGTTGCTTTCACGCTGTACTTTTCATGCAGGGGCCTCGGCCCCACAAGCCGCAACTTTGTTGTGCGTGGTGCAGAAACCTGCTGTGTGACCTCCTGGAGCCGAGGCGTCTGGAGACTGGCTCCTCTCTCCGTCCCCATCAGCTTCGAAGGGCTGGTCCCAGGAAGAGGCTAGATGGGGACAGCGGGGCAGGCCCGGGAGCGGTGTAAGCACAGCCCAGCTCACCGGGACCACAGCTGGGCAGCTTGGAGGGAGGCCTGAGACCACTTCGCCCTCTGGGGCATGAGGGCTGTGCGCGCTGACCCTGACTCACAGCCCTAGTGAGGCCATCGGAGTTTCCGTGTCCATGGGGAGGGCCCTGGATGGGTCATCTTGGTCACACCGGCAGCTGGGAGCTGAGTGGAGGGAGAGAGGCAGCAGGGCCACGGCCTGAGGGGAAGGAGCGAAGGCGGGCGGCGGCCTCCCACCTCAGAGCTCCTTCTTCTCCCTGCAGAAGATCTCCGCAAACTTGCGCAGCTGCTCGCTGGCGGCCTGCGACTCCTCCTGCAGCCGCTGGTTGTTCTGCCGCAGGCTGGCCACCTCTGACTGGAGCACCACCTTGTCCTGCTTCTCCTGCACAGGGTGGGAAGCTGGCATCAGGCGGGTGGGCTTGGCCGCTCCTGGAACAGCCGATGGCTCCCTGAGGCCTGTGAGCCCTGGCCCGGCTGTGCTTTGGAGCCAACCACTAGAGCCAGGCCAGGCCGGGGCACACATCCCACTCTGCCTCTCCACAACCGAGGGACCCTGGGCAAGTCACTTGGTTCCCGCAACTCTACCAGGAGGCTGAGGGGTGTCTGGAGCTCATCTATGTAGAGCTCCCGGAACGCAACCACATGTGGAGTCATCGCTTGACAAACATCACTATTGTCACCGCATCCCACCTTCACACTACCCGAGGACTTGGGGACTGTCGCTGTCCCTAGTTTCCTGGAAGAGGACCCCAGCCTCACACAGCAAGTGGGGAGCTGGGACATGGATGCAGGGTGGCCTGAGCAGACCCCCTTCTTCCAGGAGGACGTAGCCCCCGAAAGGCAGGGACCTGTTTCAGGTTGCGCAGCATTATGCAGTGGGGCGGGGGTCAGAACCTGGGCCCCTTTGATTCCACGGCTCGAAGACTTACGCATTATATACTCTGCCACCTTTCTGGCTTTTACCCAGAAGTATAGAAACAATAGATAAAAGTCTCCTCCTCATTTTTTTTTTTTTTTTTTTGAGACTGGGTTTTGCTCTTGTCGCCCAAGCTGGAGTGCAGAGGCATGATCTCGGCTCACTGCAATCTCCGCCTCCTGGGTTCAAGCAATTCTCCTCCCCAGCTTCCCAAGTAGCTGGGATTACAGGCGTGCACCACCACACCCGGCTAATTTTGTATTTTAGTAGAGACGGGGTTTCACCATATTGGCCAGGCTGGTCTTGAACTCCTGACCTCACCCACCTCGGCCTCCCAAAGTGCTGGGATTACAGGTGTGAGCCAACGTACCCAGCCAGTCTCCTCCTCATCCTTCCGCCCCATGGAGACAAGTCCAAAGAACAAATTGACTGTCACCTTCTAGATGGCCCTCTCAACCATGGTGGTTAAACAATAAATAAATAAGTATGGTGATATTCTAGACAACACTGCTGCAGCTCGCTTTGGTTTTTATGTAAGTTACTGGACTTCTTTTGCGTGTTAGTAAATATATAGATTTGTTATTACTTTAATTGGCTGCAAGCTGTTCCGCTGCATGGACACCCTATAATTTACACAGCCATTCTCATGTTGAGTGACAGCCACGCTGGCTCCAATTTTTTATTGCCAATAGTGTGGCAACGAACGTCCTTGTTCACAATCTCTTTGTACCCATGCTGTCACGGATAAATTCCCACAAGTGGAATTACTGGATCAACATTTTTTTTTCTTTTTTTTTGAGATGGAGTCTCGCTCTGTTGCCCAGGCTGGAGCCCAGTGGCATGATCTCGGCTCACTGCAACCTCCACCTTCCTGGGTTCAAGCGATTCTCTTGCCTCAGCATCCTGAGTACCTGGGATTACAGGCACCCGCCACCACACCCGACTAATTATTGTACTTTTTAATAGAGATGGGGTTTCACCATGTTGACCAGGCTGGTCTCGAACTCCTGACCTCAGGTGACCCACCACCTTGGCCTCCCAAAGTGCTGGGATTACAGGTATGAGCCACCGCGCCCAGCCACAGTTTTTTTGTGTTTTTTTGATAAATGTTATCCAATTGCCTTCCGAAAAGCCTGGGCTGATTATTCTCCCCCCAAGAATGGATGAGTTTCTCTGAGCGCTTGGTAGCCTGGGGTGTTATCACTGTTTACTCTTCACCCATGACTACACTCAAACACAGGAGGTGTGGGGGTGGGGTGGGTCCTGCATGGCGGGGGCAGGTGCCTGATCCCTGCTGACTGCCCTGCCCAGTGTCTGGGAAGTGGGATGGAGAGGGCGTGGCCCCCGGCCTTACCTTCTGCAGGTCAGTGTGCAGCTGTTTCAGCATCACCTCCAGCTGGTACACCTTGCCTGTCAGATCCAGGGGTGGCTCCTCGCTGGAAAAACCAGGGACAAGGTCAGCCTGAGGCCCTAAAGCCCCTGGGGAAGGCTTCTGGCCCACATCTGAGGAGCCTGGGGGTACAGGCCCCCTTATCCCTGACATTCTAGCAAAGCCTGAGGAGAAGCTCTGAGGGGAAGCAGGAAGCCAGCCCTCCACCCGGCACACTCCACCCACCAAGGGCACCTCTGTGGATGTGGACGGGGTGTTAGGAGCACCAGGCCAGGGGAAGGGTGGCTGCCCACCCTTAAGTGTGCGTTTTCCCTGAGGCTGGGCCGTGCATGTGACTTCAGGGAGGACCCCTTCTTCGTACCTCCAGGATACAAAGAGCCCACTCTACAGACACCTGCTGAGCACCTGGCGGGTCCAGGCACAGGAAGCACGAGAATGGACAGATGGTCAAAAGGACCTGCCCTTGTGGGCAGGACCAACAATGGTCCTGGCAGTGATGCTGACCACGTGGCCGTCACTGAGAGCCACCCCGCAACAAGCCCCAGACTGCCCGGCTCATCTCACAGAGCTCCTCTGCCCACTGTGGCCTTTGGAGGTGCTGCATGGCTACCACGTGCTGGTGCTAGGATTTGAATCAGGGGCCCATGGCCAGTAGCTGCCCCTCTGCAGATCCTCCCAGCCCTGGGCCTGCCTGGCCGCTGCAGAGAACGCGCAGCCCTTTCCTGCTTGGAGTTGGGGCTGAAGGAGGCTCCACTGGATGCCGTGCGTGCACAGGCACAGAGGCGGTGGCGGTCGGGGGCTGGCCCTCCTGCCTCGCCCACCCTTTCCTACAACCTTGCTGCTGAGTCTTGGGGATCTGCAGCTGCAGAGGGAGATGGGGGCAAATGGACTCCAGGAGCGCCGCCCAGGGGCCACAGGTCCCGCTGCTTCCCACAGCCCATGCTGCTCCTGCCCCTCAGCCCAGCAGCACCATCTGGAACTGCTGATTTCTTGTAATTACAGTGGGGCCTACGTTCGTGGTGGAGGTTGAGTTCTGAAGCCAGAGTGTGAAAAGCAAGAAGTCAAAATTACCCTCAAAAATTGCTCCCACTGCCCATGAAGTACAGTGCACGGATGGTTGTATATAGAACCCTGAACCGTGAGGTGTGCAGACGAGTGTGAAATGCACTATTTAAATCCATGTACAGGCAGAATGTGCCATTTACATTCTCTCTGCCTCTTTTTAATTTTGTTTTCTGCCAAGTGAGTGCAGTCAAATATGCTGCGCTGAATGTGAGAAGCCACGCGTGAGATGACAAATGTGAGAGATCTGTCCCCGTCCTCTTCCTTCCCCCGTGAAGCTTCCTGAGGGCCAGGCCTGGCCTCAGTTGCCACTAGGTCCTCAGACAGCCCAGCACGGCACCTGGCAGGGAGGCTGGGAAGGGTGAGCGTGAGGCAGAAGTCTGTGAGGTTTAGGAATCTGCAGAGGAGGAGACGAAGGAGCAGACAGGCGGGAGATTGGCAGCGACGGGGCTGACGAGAGGCACAGGGCTGGGGGATTGGGAGACACTGCCTAGCAGCTTTCCTTTCTTTTTTTCTTTTTTTTGAGATGGAGTCTCCCTCTGTGGCCCAGGCTGGAGTGCAGTGGCTCGATCTTGGCTCACTGCAAGCTTCGCCTCCCGGGTTCAAGCAATTCTCCTGCCACAGCCTCTCGAGTAGCTGGGATTACAGGCACGCACCACCACGCCCGGCTAATTTTTGTATTTTTAGTAGAGATGGGGTTTCACCATGTTGGTCAGGCTGGTCTTGAACTCCTGACCTCAAGTGATCCACCCACCTTGGCCTCCCAAAGTGCTGGGTTTACAGGCGTGAGCCACCGCGCCCGGCCTGCTTAGCAGTGTTCAAAGTTGGAAGCGAAACAACTGTGTGTGTATTGATTCAAGTGTCGTCTCTGCTGGACTGGGAGATCTGTTGGGACTGGGCAGAGTCTGTCTTGGTCACTGTGGATCCCCAGTGCACAGACAGGTGCAGTGTAATGACTTCCAAGTCTGTTAGGAGGGGGGAGTAGCTGCTATATCAGCTTCCGCCCGGAGAGTGGTGGGGGTGACCCACATGGCTGCCTCTCTCTGGGTAAGCCTCTTCCACTGCACAGGCCTGCCGCTGGTATGAACCCGGGTGTTCCCAGGGAAACCTCACCTCATGGTAGGGGTGGTCCTGGGGGTCGGGGGTCCCCTCTCCAGGCTCAGGTGGCTGTGGACAGGACTGTGTGCAGGCGGGATGTCCGGGCTCAGGGCCGGGTCGTTCAGAGAGAAGAGTGAGACGGCTCTTTGCACTGCCAGGGAGGGAGGAGGAGGAGAGGGGTCAGCAAGGCTCCCGGCTTCTCCCGCAACAGACGGACCACGCCTCTCCCTGCAAACCTCCATGATGCCTCCTATCACACTTGGGACAGACTGCATCGGCACTTAGATAGATTCTTGCCAAAAAACCAACCAAATGAACACACAAAACAAGAACACAATCAAAATCCCATCCTGATTCCGATCGAGGCTTTCGATCCAACGACCAGTTCATACAAAACGCAAGGGCTGAAGAAGCCAGTTAGATGAGAGTGCGAGCTAGCAACCGACCGGATTCCGAACCTGGCGTGCTCTCAACATAAGTGACTTGACTTGGTCCACAAGTAAAAGGTAGGAAAAAAGGGTTACAAAGTGGACGGGCTGGCGCCAGGTCCACGGGGATTCGTTATACAATTCGCTCTCCTTCGGAGGAAGCTGGGAAGATTTCAAAAGCAAAAAGAGAAGTGAGACAGATCACATCATGCATATTGAAGACAGAAAAGAAATCGCACGGGGCTGCCAGTGAAAGTGAAGATTCCTGGGTCCCGCCTTGGACACGTGACTGGCACTGGGGGCACCTGAGCTGTTTGCGTTTTCAAACGTGACTTAGATTTTCTTCCTGTAATGGCAACAGCTGGCCACCGCCCTAGTGCCCTCCAACAGTGGCTGGTTCAGTGAGCTATGAACAGCCAGACAATGGAATCCTCGGAGGTGTTAAAAACACCAAGGCGTCCCTGTGTGCCGTGTGTTGAGGGCGGCACCATCAGGGGCAGGGCAGGGCAGGGCAGAGGGCCAGCCCCAGAGGCAAGCAGCTCCTTGGGTCCAACTTTCATTTCTGTGCCTCAAGAATAGCACAGTAAAAACCCCAGCACTCTTTCCCTGGCACCACTCATTGTTAATACTTTGCCCATTTACTTTTTTTTTTTTTTTGAAATGGAGTTTCGCTCTTGTTGCCCAGGCTGGAGTGCGATGGCGCCATCTCGGCTCACTGCAACTTCCGCCTCCCGGGTTCAAGTGATTCTCCTGCCTCAGCCTCCCAAGTAGCTGGGATTATAGGCATGCACCACCATGCCCAGCTAATTTTGTATTTTTAGTAGAGACGGGATTTTTCCATGTTGGTCAGGCTGGTCTCGAACTCCCGACCTCAGGTGATCTGCCTGCCTCAGCCTCCCAAAGTGCTGGATTATAGGCATGCACCACCACACCTGGCCATGATATTATCTAATATACAGTCATCTGCAAATGTTCTCCGATTCTCTGAATAATACCCTTTATAGCTATTTTTTTCTATCTTGAATTTAATGTATAATGACATCTGTTTTTTAAGAGACAGGGTCTTGCTGTGTTGCCCACGCTGGAGTGCAGTGGCTATTCACAAACCCGAGTCCATTACTGATCAGCATGGGAGTTCTGACCTGCTCCATTTCTGACCTGGGCCAGTACACCTGTCCTTAGGAAACCTGGTGGTCCCTGGCTCCCTGGAGGTCACCATATTGATGTTGAGTTTAGTGAAGACACCGCATCAGAACAGCATACTCCAGCCTAGAACTACTGGGCTCCAGCGATCCTCCTGCTTCAGCCTCCCGAGGAGCTTGGACTACAGGTGTGTGATACCATGCCTGGCTAATTTTAAAATTAGTACCTATAATCTCAGCTACTCAGGAGGCTGAGGCAGGAGAATTGCTTGAACCTGAGAGGTGGAGGCTGCAGTGAGCCAAGATCACGCCACTGAACTCCAGCCTGGGTGAAAGAGTGAGACTCTAAAAAATAAATAAGTAAAATAAATTTTTTTGTAGTGACAGGGTGTCGCTACGATGCCCAGGCTGGTCTCGAATTCTTGGCCTCAAGCCATCCTCCTACCTTGACCTCCCAAAGTGTTGGGGTTACAGGTGCGAACCACTGCACCCAACCTGGAATATTTTAAATCAAATTCTAGATGTCTTTGTATTTCATCTGTAGAAACTTCACTAAGTAGCTCTAGTGGATAAAATATATATATATATATTTAAGAAAATTACTATGCTATGAACACATCTACCAAAGTTAATGAGAATTCCTTTAGTCTTTTCCACTTATGTGAATTGCAAGGGAAAACCCACATATATCTTCATTAAAAACCACACCTCCAGGCAAGCTGAAACCACCCTGACCTGCACTCCCTGCCAGCCCCTTTCCGGCTCCCGGGGAGGCACCTCCATGGTGGTGCTGGTGTGCTTCCTCCCAGGTCTTTCTGCTACTCCCCCCTCTCCCCCGTAACCTTCTGTGTTTCATCTATTAATTTTATAAGGAAGCAAAAAGCTCCCTAGGCGACTGTGACGCACAGCCTGGGGGAGAAATCAGTGCCACCAGCCAGGCTCCCTCAGCTTTCTCACATGGGGCGCACAGCTCCCAGGCATGCCAGGCACACGGAGCGGCTGGGAGTGGGTAAGGGGCTCTGGCTATCCTAGCCCTTTCCTGTGGCCCACGGTTGCGGGGGAGTGGTCAGTGTCTGGGCAGCTCTGTCTTCCGCAAACAACACTACAACCGCTGATGGCATCTGGGTCTCCAGGGAGAGACCTGAGGCCTTCCTCACTTCCCACTGTCCTGGAACTGGCTGTCCTGGCCCCAGGATGCTTGGAGACCCACATGAGAGAGGAGATGCCACAGCTGCCTGGCCCCGTCAGCACGGACTTCCAGCACATAAAGGGCCCTGGGTGGCAGAGCAAACCCTGTCCACTGCTCCAGGGAACCCAGGGAGTGAGGATCCCTGCAGGCCTGGTATGGGGAACCCCCAACCCAGGATGCAAGGTCTTGGCAGGACCCTCAGGGCACTAAAAGTCTTCCGCTCCCTGGCTCCCAGATCTGGCGCTGAAAACCCAAATGTCCTCAGGGACAGATTTTTTTTTTCCCCCAGACACGGGGTCTTGCACTGTCGCCCAGGCTGGAGTGCAGTGAGTGCAGTGGTGTGATCACAGCTCACCACACAGCCTCCACCTCCTGGGCTCAAGCGATCCTCCTGCCTTGGACTCTCAGAGTGCTGGGATTACAGGTGTGAACCACTGTGCTTGGCCTCACGTGTTTTACACGTGGTGTTTTGTGTAATCGTCATGGCAGCCTCAGGCATGGTCACTTCCGCTTGTTGGTCAACGTGGTTCGCTGGCATCAAAGAGATGACGACGCTTGCCCGGGGCTGCATGGTAAGCAAGTGACGGGGCAGGACTTGAACCCTGCTCCCTGATTCTGGAACCTGAGTGGGTATCCCTGCAAAGCCATGAGGCCCTCCATGAATCCCTCTAGAACAGAGGACGGGGTGGGGGCCTGGCGGGACTGGGTGGAAGGCGCCTACCTTCGTATGCCTTGGCTGCGTTCACCAGGCTGGACCACTCGAGGCCAGCAGCTGTGTCAGGCAGGGGCATCAGCCCAGGGTCCAGGCGCCGCAGGGGGCGGTCCCGCCCATCAGCCAGCGAGAGCTCCGAGGCTGAGATGGTGGCTGGATGGGGAGGGTGGAGATGGCAGTGGTTGAGTGTGACAATGCGGGAGACACAAATACATGAAGACATCCCATTGCTTATGCAGAGATGCTACATGCCCAGGAAAACCTCCAGCAGGGTAAGGGGTCTGGGAGTGCTGGAGCCTACAGAGGCCTGACTTCAAACAGGGTGCTGGGCCAGGCCTGGCAGAGATGCCATCTGGACAAAACTCTGAAGGGGAGGAGGGAGTGCACCAGGCGGATTACCTGGGGGAGGAACATTCCAGGCAGACGGAACAGCCAGTGCTAAATCCCTGAGGCAGGAGTGTGCCTGGAAGGTTTAAGGAACACAGAGGCGGCCCCTATGGCTGGGAGAGGGTGAGCAAGGGAGGAAGCAGCAGGAGGCGAGAACAGAGGCAACACGGCCGGACCGTGTGGGGCCTGTGGGTCCCAGTGACGACTGTGTTCTCACCCTGAGTGCCCTGGAAGACTCCCTCTGGGTGCATGTGGGGGACGGACTGTGTGTTTGGGGGGGGATTTGGGGGGAGACAGGGAGCAGGTAGGAGCTGTAACCATAACCCACAATGGAGACGGTGATGCTGGGCAGGACCAGGGTGGGGCCGTGATAGGACACAGGGGCAGATTCTGGGCCTACTTTTCAGGGGCAGCCAATAGGATTTCCTGAGGGTTGGATATGGCTGTGAAACAAAGAGAAGGGCCAGGATTGCGGCTCTGATCGGGAAGGCTGGGGTGGGGGATCAGAAATCTGTTTCTGGAGGTGCTCGGTGGAGATGGCCCTGGACATTCCAAGGAGATGGTGGGACGGAGGCTGGCCACAGGAGCTGGCGACGAGGAGAGTCCCAGCTGCACCTGTGATTGGAATCGCCAGTGTATGGACAGTGTTTACACGGGGTGGGGTTGCCGTGGGGGGGCAGGTTCAGGTATGACACGCTGAGCAGAGGAGAGGCCTGTGACATCTCAGGAGTTGGAAGTGAGAAGCAACGGCGCCAGCACTGCACTCGCACCTGCTGCGGCTATTGAGAGAGTCCCAGGCACCAGGCTCGGGCTCTGGCCTGGGGCTCTGTGACTCCTTGAAGCCCCTGAGGGAAGGGGACAGAGGACAGCCAGGTACAGAGAGACCAGAAGACACACCTCAGGGCCCTTAGCTGGGAATCGGCAGAGCCTGACCGTGGGCCCAGCCCGCTCTGCATTCCCGGCACCTCCTCTGTGCAGGGCCAAGGGAGATCATCTCACAGCCTCACTGTGAGGCTGGCGGAGGCGGGGGGTGACATGATCTCTGCTCATGGAAGAGGAAAACTGAGACCCGAGCGAGGCGCTGCCTTGCCTGGGCTCACATGGCTTCCAGCTAGTACTACTCAGTGCTGACTACATATGAGGTATACACTACGTGCTTTCCACATATTCACTTGTTTGATTCTTTTAACCCAGGGATGTGGGCACTATTTTTTACATTTTACAGTCAAAGAAACTGAGGCACAGAGAGGTTATATCTGTGAGTGGAAGACGTGGGACATAAACTCAGGCCGTTCAGCTCTGTGATATGTGGTGTGCAGTAAGTGCTGGCTGAATGAACGAGTCCTTGGCCTCCTGGCTCGTCCCTCAGCCTCCTTGCTCCCCCCTCGGCCTCCTGGCTCCCCCCTCGGCCTCCATGCTCTGCCCTTGACTCTATGTTCCTCCCTTGACCTCCTTGCTCCACTCTTGACCTCCACGCTCCACCCTTGGCCTCCTTGCTCTTCCCTTGACCTCCATGCTCCACCCTTGACCTCCATGCTCTGCCCTTGACCTCCATGCTCCTCCCTTGACCTCCACGCTCTGCCCTTGACCTCCACGCTCCGCCCTTGACCTCCTTGCTCTGCCCTTGACCTCCATGCTCCTCCCTTGACCTCCTTGCTCCGCCTTGACATCCACACTCTGCCCTTGACCTCCACACTCCGCCCTTGACCTCCTTGCTCTGCCCTTGACCTCCATGCTCTGCCCTTGACCTCCTTGCTCTGCCCTTGACCTCCATGCTCCGCCCTTGGCCTCCTTGCTCCACCCTTGACCTCCATGCTCCACCCTGGGCCTCCTTGCTCTTCCCCTGGCCTCCTTGTTCTGTGCCTCTAGCCTGCTGGCGTCTCACTGCTCAGCTGGTGGGAGCCACGGGAGTGGCTGCCATTGCTGAGCAGGGCATCAGGAGCACCGTGTGACAGGCTCCTTGGTGTGGAGGGCACTTGGTTAGTGAAGCCCAGGCCAGGGATGACCATGTCTCTTCATCTGGGATGGGGCCCGGGAAGGGCTCTGGAGCAGGCACACAAGAAATGGAGAGGCCCAGGGTCCCTGGCCACACTGAGGCCAGACGGGACTCTCCCCAGCTCAGGGGTGTGGGGGAGTCAGATGGACAGAGAAGGGTGTGTGTGTGCTGTGTGATGCAGAGGGACCTGAGCTGGGGTCACAGCAGTGACAGAGAAAACCCCAGGCCCCGTCTTTGGGGGGCCCCCGGTATGGTGGTGGAGACAGACACATTCTCATCTAGTGACAGCTCAGGATGGTGATGGGGATACAAGGCGGTGAGTAGGGACGGAGGGGGGTGAGAGAAACCCGGGGGGGCGGGGGGGGACGGGGCCTGTGGTGGTGCCTGACTCAGCCTGGTAGGGGAAGGGAGGGCTTCCTGGAGGAGGGGGCATCTGAGCCAAGACTGAAAGAATGAGGTACAGCAAGCTGGAGGAATTCGGATCGGCCTGTGGAGTCTATGCCTGTGTTCTCTGTCACCACCTCTCCGTGGTGGCCGCTGTCCCCGTCCTTTGCAGTGACTGAACATCTACTTCGTGACCAGCCCTGCCTTGGGCAGAGAGACAGAGCAGCAGGGAGGAGAGGCCGAGGAAGGAGACGTGGAGGGAAGCCTGGGGAGCAGGGAAATTTCCACTAAAGTGGCAGCCCTGTGAGGGCAGGGGTGTGCTCTGCTTGCTCAGGGCCACATCCTGGCACCGAGGGCAGAGCCCCGCCCACAGCAGGCGCTGCAGGAACAGGAAGGGAGCGCAGGGGAGGGCCCAGAAGCTCTGGAGTTGAGATGGGGGCTGGGACCCAGTCCAGGGCTTAGAGGAGCCTTCCAGGAAAAAGCAGGAATGGAGCCAGCCCTGAAGGACAAGAGTGACCCAGAAGAGGACTGAGGGAAGAGCATGGCGGGCGGAGAGAACAGCCGTGCAGGATGCCCTGAGCAGGGAGGGTCTGGTGTGCTGAGTGATCAAAAGGAAGGCTCTGTGAGGTGGAGGAGCAGAGGTGGGCACCCCACACCACCAGGGCAAGGAGTGCAGATGCAAATGCCAAGGCAACGGAGCTGCAGGGGAAGTTTTTTTTTTTTTGAGATGGAGTCTGGCTCTGTCACCCAGGCTGGAGTGCAGTGGCTTGATCTCAGCTCACTGCAACCTCTGCCTCCCAGGTTCAAGTGATTCTCCTGCCTCAGCCTCCTGAGGAGCTGGCATTACAGGCACCTGCCACCATGCCCAGCTAATTTTTGTATTTTTAGTAGAGACGGGGTTTCACCACATTGGCCAGGCTGGTCTCGAACTCCTGACCTCAGGTGATCCACCCGCCTCGGCCTCCCAAAGTGCTGGGATTACAGGCGTGAGCCACCGCGCCCGGCCTGCAGGGGAGTTTTAATAGGGGAGACAGACTGCCCTTCATAAAATTCCCAGAGTCTCCTCCACCCCATCCCCCACAGCTCACAAGAGGCTCTGTACAGATGGCACAGGCAGGCACAGCCCCTCAGCTGAGACCCTTGGGGTAGAACATGCCTCTGAATTTGAGATGTGCTTGGATTTGAGAGAGTAAGTGTGCAGATGCTGTGTATTATGTAACAAACTCAAAAAGGTCAGGGGCACCCCACGCGCAGTGGCACGCCAGCGCTCTGCCCCAAGCTCCTCATTGCTAGCACTAAGTAGGGGGACTATGGACCCTAAACAGCCTCACGCCCCTCCAGGCCAGGTTTCGCCACCCAGTGAGCATGGTGCAAACTTACGTACTGTCTTTCAGTTGTGGGGGGGTTAGGAGGTGGGTAAGGGGGGTTACAGGGTGCATCTGGGGCACGGCCAACTCCAGCTGGCTCGTGGCTTTTGATGCGGGTGGTGTGCGCAGTACCTGTTTACGGGGAGTGCTCAGTAAATATTTTCTGGGTGATTAAGCAGTGAACAAGTCATACCATGCACCACCCCCAAGTGTGGCAAACATGGGAGCAGTCAGGAAAGCAAATAAAATGCTCAGGAAGCAAACCGCTTAGAGCTGGAATGGGTGGGAGGGTTGGGGGGTGCTAGGGCAACAGCTGGGCAGCCCCATTCCCTAGGCCTGTACCCTGAGGGTGGACTTCTTCTCTGGTCTCAGGTGACTCCAATCCTTGGGTGCTTCTGACTCCTAGGTGACCCTCTGATGCTTGGCCAATGATCCCTTGCTCCTTGGGTGACACCCAGTGCCCCACCATCAGGCCCCCCGAAGTTCCTGTGAACCCCATTCCTCCCTGAGATGGCCCCGACACTGATGACCTCTAGCCTTTGACCTCCAGGTGAGCCCCTGCTCGGGCATCCCCACCTCCCAACCTTGGGGTAACTACCGCGCCAGTCCCAGGGGGCCCAGGCTCACATTTCTTCTCGGGAAAGCCGCTGCCGGCGGCAGGGGTGGCACCGGGGCCGACGGGCGGGTGGGGGTGCTGGTGCTGGCGGCGTGCAGGCAGCGTGCTGGACGGGAAGGCGCAGGTGCTGGTGAAGAGCACGTCGCTGGGCAGCCCTGGCTCTAGGCCAGCGGGGCTGGCGAAGCTGGGCTCCCGGCGCCCGCTGCACAGGCTCTCGTCCGACAGCGTCCGCTGCAGGCCCTTCTGCGGTGACTGCTGTGGGGCGTGGGTGGGATGTTGGGGGAGGTCACAGACTGGCTCATAGCCAGGGTCCTCAGAGGCATCTTCCCCTCTAGGACATTGGTGGCGAGTCCTTACCTACCCAGCATCCATTTCTGCCCCATTTCCTTCCTTCCTCCCTCCCTCCCTTCCTCCCTCCCCCCTCCCTCCTTCCTTCCTTTTTTGAGACAGGGTCTCACTCTGTCGCCCAATCTGGAGTATAATGGGGCGATCTCAGCTTACTACAACCTTGACCTCCTGGGCTTAAGCGATCCTCCTATCTCAGCTTCCCAGGTAGGTAGCTGGGACCACAGGTGCATGCCACCACCCTTGGCTAATTTTTACATTTTTTTTATAGAGATGAGGGTCTCATTACATTGCCCAGGATGGTCTTGAACTCCTGGGCTCAAGTGATCCTCTCACCTTAGCCACCCAAAGTGCTGGGATTACAGGTGTGAGCCACCACCCCTGGCCTTCTGCCTCCTTTCTGATCAAAGCGCTCCAGTTTTCCCCCAGGGACTCCCACTCCCCAACCCCACCCTCCAGCTCCGGGTAAGGCTGGCGATCAAAGCCTGATGGGTTGGGGAAGGTGGTGTGAGCCAAGCTGGACCCACCAGAGTCAGTGCTGGGACCCCAGTGGGTAGCGCTGGGCTGATGTGCTCTCTTCCCCCAGCTGTAGGCTGGTGGGACCCAACCCTGGGGAGGCTGGGGTCCACCTCAGTCCCCACAAAACAGCTCCTGCCTGGCAGTGAGGACGAGTAGGGCAGGCCTGGCTGGGAGGGGAAGGGAAGTGGATGCTGTGGAGGTTCCCTGGCACCCACTGTTCTTTCCACCCGTGTCCCTGAGTAACAAGAGTCTGAACTTCCTCTGGGAGCCCCTGCTCCACTCTCAGTCCCTGTGGTTTGGGTGGATGTGGCTGTTTCTATCCTGGGCTGGAGGAGGAGGGCACGAGGCCCTCCAGTTGTGCGAGGTTCTCGGTATGGGGTAGATTCCCGAGTGCCTGCCTGGGCTTATCCTGTGATTCCATCCCAGACCAATGCGCTGCCCTCACTCCCAGCCATGAGCCCATAGCCCCCAACAGGACTGGCAGATGCCAAAGGCTGGGGACACGACGGGAAGGAGCTGGCGTGACCGTGGGGAGCACAGCCCTTCTCCTTGCCTGCCCAGATCTGGGATCCCCTTGGGAGCTGGGGGTCGGGAGCGGGGGACAGGGCCCTACGTACTCCCGTGTCTCTCTCCTGCTCTGGCCCCAGGTTGTCCATGATGATGAGTTTCTTCAGGTCATCCTCGATGGTGGATTTGTAGTTCTTCCGTGGTGACCGGAGGTCTCGGAGGGATGCCCTCAACCTCGGTTGCCCAAAGACATTTTTGGTGTTCGTGTCCACCTGCCTGGAATGACAGCGTCAGGGTCAGAGGGGTGTCAGGGAGGCTCAAGCCACTTTTCAAAGCTGTTTGGATTCAAGAGGGCCGGCCACCACGGGACGCATGGCCACAGCCTTCTCTCCTTCACCCAGCAAACGCGTGGCAGAGAGGGGCTTGGCTCCATTCCCTTCTTCCACAAACGTTTTCCGGGAACCACACAGAGCTGGCTGTGCTGTCCTGTCCCAGGTGCTGGGGACACGGCCGTGAGCACCGAGCTGGCAGCCAGTGGGGGAGGCCCACGCTGAACACATGCACAGAGACAGACCCCCTGTGTGAGGGGAGAGGCTTTTTTTTGTTGTTTGAGATGGAGTCTTGCCCTGTCACCCAGGCTGGAGTGCAGTGGTGTGATATCGGCTCACTGGAACCTCTGCCCCTGGGTTCAAGCTACTCTCCTGCCTCAGCCTCTGGAGTAGCAAGGATTGGGGCACCCACCACCATGCCCAGCTAATTTTTGTACTTTTAGTAGAGACAGGGTTTCTCCATGTTGGCCAGGCTGGTCTTGAACTCCTGACCTCAGGTGATCCACCCGCCTCGGCCCCCCAAAGTGCTGGGATTACAGGTGTGAGCCACCGTGCCCGACCTGTGTCTTTGCCTATTGTCAGTCTACCCAGCAGAACGTGAACCATACCAGAGCAAGGCCTGGGTTTCCCTTGGAACATATATGTAGTCATTTGTGTGTGTGTGTTTTTTGCTTTTTGGTTTTTTTTTTTTTTGAGACAGAGCCTCCTCCGTTGCCCAGGCTGGAATGCAGCAGTGTGATCACAGCTCACTGCAGCCTCAACCTCCTGGGCTCAAGTGACCCTCCTACCCTGGCCTCCCAAGTAGCTAGGACTACAGGCGCATGCCACTACACCCAGCTAATTTTTTTGTAAAGATGGGGTCCTACTAGGTTGCCCAGGCTAGTCCCAAACTCCTGGGCTCAAGCGATCCTTCCGCCTCAGCCTCCCAAAGTGCTGGGATTACAGGTATGAGCCACCATGCCCAGCTTATAAATTCATTTGATCCCCACCACAGCCATATATGTTAAAGACTATTGGTATCCCATCTCATGGATGAGGCTGTTAAGGTACAGAGGAGTTTAGCCACTTGTCCCAAGTCACACAGCCTGTGAAGGAGTCAGGTTTCAAATCAAGGCCGCCAGGCTGCAGTGCCTACCCACGCCACTGCCAAGCTTGACTGTCACGTGTATATCAGAGATGGCAGGAAACACGTATGGTGTGGGGAACAGCCACATTGGATTTAAAAATATGCTTCTGTCTGCAGATAACAATTTCTGGAAGAAATTATGAACCATGATAACCTCTGGGAGGTAGGAATCTTATTAGGAGGTGGAAAAATGGGACTTTTACTTTTCAACTGATATTCTTCTGAAGTGTCTGAATTTACTTAACCATAATCATGGTTATAACAATAAAAATAATAAAAACTAGCTTAATAAAAGCTTTTGCCTGGACTTCTTCATTCTGTAATGCAAGAAAGAAAAAGAGGCTTTGAACCTGGGGAAGAAATAAGATGTCTTGGGTTCCCGAGGGTTTTAAAGACTGGATTTCCTTTTTCTGTTTCTCAGCTGCCAGCCTTGGGATTTTAACAAAGGAAGGGCGAGAGCAAGGCCAGGTTTTTTCCTGGTCAGGTCATATTCCTCCCCAAATTGGAATTCCAGGTCTAGGGTAATGCTGGGTCTGTCAGTTATCAGGGATGTGTATTCTTTGGGCAAATTAAAAGCTTTAGATTCAAAAGAGAGAAATAGAGAGACAGAGAGACAGACACAAATCAAAAGGGGACTCCCCCACCCCTTTTGATTTCAATATTTCCCAGAATGCCCTGCACAGGGGAGTGTGACTCAGTGCAGGGCTCATGGTGCCCATCTCCCGGCAGTGAGGAAGCAGGCCTGGCCTTCAGCACGCCCCCCAGCCAGTGCACTGCCCACAGGCTCCCCTCGAGAGGGGCGTGCCAAGACCTCCTGGAAGCATGAATAAAATGTGCTTGCTCTCTGCACTAGCAGTCCTACTTCTGGAAACGCGTCCTTCAGAAAGGCTCACATGAGTCCACAGTGCCACATGTGCACGGACACTCCCAGGGTCCTGTCTGTGGAGCAGACAGCAGCCCCCAGCCAGGAAAGGGCCAGGCCCACCACCCAGAATCACACCCTCCAGAGACGCATGGCAGATCCACATGGCGTGCAGAGGCAATCCCAGATACGACGTCATGTGAAAAAAGCAGCATGTATAGCGCGAAACCATTTTTAGAAAACTCACACACAGCTCAGCTTGGTATACTGGAGTTTACCAAACTCTCGTTTCTAATACTGGACACGTGTGGGATTCACTTTCTTTTTCTATTTTTTTTGAGACAGGGTCTTGCTCTGTTGCCCAGACTGGAGCCCAATGGCACGATCTTGCCTCACTGCAACCTCCGCCTCCCAGG
Organism: Homo sapiens; assembly: GCF_000001405.40. NCBI lineage: Eukaryota > Metazoa > Chordata > Mammalia > Primates > Hominidae > Homo > Homo sapiens. The sequence goes on along the minus strand of NC_000019.10, from coordinate 38,189,687 downwards.
TTCAAGCAATTCTCCTGCCTCAGCTTCCCGAGTAGCTGGGATTACAGGCGCCTGCCACCACGCCTGGCTAATTTTTGTATTTTTAGTAGAGACAGGGTTTCACCACGTTGGCCAGGCTGGTCTTGAACTCCCGACCTCAGGTGGTCCGCCCATCTCGGCCTCCCAAAGTGCTAGGATTACAGGCATGGGCCACCGCGCCTGGCCAAAAATGACATCACTTTCTACACACTGATACGGAACTATTGCCAAGAAACTTAGGTCAGGCATGGTGGCTCATGCCTGTAATCCCAGCACTTTGGGAGGCGTAAGTGGGAGGATCACTTGAGCCCAGGAGTGCGGAGTGTGAGACCAGCCTGGGTAACACAGTGAGATCTCACCTCTACAAAAAGTAAAAAACTAGGTGGGTGTGGTTGTGTACTCCTATGGGCCCAGCTACTAAGATAGGAGACTGCTTGAGATCGGGAGGTTGAGGCTGCAGTGAGCTATGATGGCACCACTGCACTCCAGCCTGGGTGACAGTGAGAGCCTGTCTCAAAAAAAAAAAAAAAAGACTTGAAGAGCAAGAGCAAGTGAGGAAGTAGTTCATATGCAGGAGGTGACCACATTAATAAAACAGGTGCAAGGGAAGCCCACACAATCATGTGTGTGCAGTCACGTTTGGAACATTTCTGGAAGGATGCAGAAATGAAACAATGGCTGCTTTTGGGGAGGGAGCAGGATGGCTGAGGGCCAGGGAAGGGAGAGAGGCTTACTTTTTTTTTTTTTTTGAGACGGAGTCTCGCTGTCTCCCAGGCTGGAGTGCAGTGGCGCAATCTTGGCTCACTGCAAGCTCCGCCTCCGAGGTTCACGCCATTCTCCTGCCTCAGCCTCCAGAGTAGCTGGGACTACAGGTGCCCGCCACCACGCCCGGCTAATTTTTTTTAATTTTTAGTAGAGACGGGGTTTCACCATGTTAGCCAGGATGGTCTCGATCTCCTGACCTCGTGATCCGCCCGCCTCGGCCTCCCAAAGTGCTGGGATTACAGGCATGCGCCACCGCGCCTGGCCGAGAGGCTTACTTTCTATTGCAAACCCTTTTGTAGTATTTTATTTTTTACCTTGTGCATGTTTTATCTTTCAAAACCTCAGTGAAGAAAACATCCTCCAGGTTCTGACTGACAGGACTGGACATCATCTCTGAGTTGCCTCTGTTGTCTAAATTTTGGGCCTGGCATGGTGGTTCACGCCTGTAATCCCAGCACTTTGGAGGCCAAGGCAGGTGGAACACTTGAGGTCAGGAGTTCGAGACCAGACTGGCCAACATGGTAAAACCCCTTCTCTACTAAAAATACAAAAATTAGCCGGGCATGCTGGCGGGCACCTATAGTCCCAGCTACTCGGGAGGCTGAGGCACGAGAATCACTTGTACCAGGAGGCAGAGGCTGCAGTGAGCTGTGATCATGCCACTGTGCTCCAGCTTGGGCAACAGAGTGAAACCCTGTCACCACCACCACCACCACCACCACCACAACAACAAAACATGTTTAATCTAAAATAATTGAGTTAGAAGTGAAGTGACTCAAAAGTGCCTCTCACGATAACAAAGACACTGTCTCCAAAATGCTCAGTGAGCTACAGCACATACAAGGGGAATGTATGAACAAAAATAATAATTCTAAGTTAATATTTTATATATGCAATTTTTTTTTTTTTGAGACAGAGTCTCACTCTGTCGCCCAGGCTAGACTGCAGTGGCACGATCTCGGCTCACTGCAACCTCCGCTTCCTGGGTACAAGTGATTCTCCTGCCTCAGCCTCCCAATAGCTGAGACTACAGGCACCTGCCATCATACTCGGCTAATTTTTGTATTTTCGTAGAGACGGGGTTTCACTATGTTGGTCAGGCTGGTCTTGAACTCCTGACCTCAGGTGATCCACTCGCCTTGAAAAAAGTTTTTTTTTCCTTTTGTCTTTTTTTTTTTTTTTTTTTTTTGAGACGGAGTCTCGCTGTCGCCCAGGCTGGAGTGCAGTGGCGCAATCTTGGCTCACTGCAGGCTCCGCCCCCTGGGGTTCACGCCATTCTCCTGCCTCAGCCTCCCGAGTAGCTGGGACTACAGGCGCCCGCCACCTCGCCCGGCTAATTTTTTGTATTTTTAGTAGAGACGGGGTTTCACCGTGTTAGCCAGGATGGACTCGATCTCCTGACCTCGTGATCCACCCGCCTCGGCCTCCCAAAGTGCCTTTTGTCTTTTTTTTGAGAAAGAGTTTCACTCTTGTTGCCCAGGCTGTAGTGCAGTGGCACAATCTTGTCTCACTGCAACCTCTGCCTCCCAGGTTCTAGCGATTCTCCTGCCTCAGCCTCCCTAGTAGCTGGGATTACAGGTGCCTGCCACCACACCTGGCTAATTTTTGTATTTTTAGTAGAGATGGGGTTTCACCATGTTGGCCAGGCTGGTCTCAAACTCCTGACCTCAGGTGATCCACCCATCCTGGACTCCCAAAGTGCTGGGATTATAGGCGTGAGCTACCACGCCTGGCTGAAAAAAATTTTTTTATGCAGGTGGGACCTCACTATGTTGTTGCCCAGGCTGGCTTCCAACTCCCAGCCTCAAGTAATTCCCCCGCCTCGGCCTTCCAGAGTGCTGGGATTACAGATGTGAGACACTGCATCTGGTTGTGATTTTTTTTTTTTTTTTTTTTTGAGACAGAGTTTAGCTCTTGTTGCCCAGGCTGGAGTGTAATGGCACGATCTTGGCTCACCACAACCTCCGCCTCCTGGGTTCAAGCAATTCTCCTGCCTCAGCCTCCCGAGTAGCTGTACATGGGATGTGGAACAGATTACAGGCATGCGACACCACGCCTGGCTAATTTTGTATTTTTAGTAGAGACAGGGTTTCTCCATGTTGGTCAGGCTGGTCTCGAACTCCTGACCTCAGGTGATCCACCTGCCTCAGCCTCCCAAAGTGCTGGGATTACAGGCATGAGCCACCGCGCCACACTCGGCCTTGGTTGTGATTTTTAAAATGTATCTGCAACTAAATACATATGAAAAGGGGCCGGGTGCGGTGGCTCACAACTGTAATCCCAGCACTTTGGGAGGCCAAGGGGGGGCGGATTGCCTGAGGTCAAGAGTTCGAGACCAGCCTGACCAACATGGTGAAACCCCGTCTCTATTAAAAATACAAAAATTAAGAAGAACAAAACAAAACAAAACAAAACAAAACAAAAATTAGCCAGACATGGTGGTATGCGCATGTAGTCCCAGCTACTTGGTAGGCTGAGGCAGAAGAAGTGCTTGAACCCAGGAGGTGGAGGTTGCAGTGAGCCGAGATCACGCCACTGCACTCCAACCTGGGCAACAGAGCAACACTCCATCTCAAAAATAAATAAATAAAATAAATAGATTAATAAATAAATAAATATTAAAAGGAACTATGAAGCGATTTCATTTGTGTCTCCTGCTGATATTTTATATGCTTAGTTTACATATGTTTACACCAACACACACATATACAAGCCATCTCTGGATTTCATCACTGGGAAAGCTGTTGTTGGATAGGGTTGTTGTCTCTCCAGGTACATCTTCTGAGCACCTACTAAGTGTGTGGTCTGGGTGAGGTTCAGGATGTCTCTGTTCTGGGCCCCATGGGGGTGACAGAGAGGAAGCAAGTTGCCAAGGGAGTGGCGGTCGCTGTGCCCTGGGACAGGTGCTGGGGGTGGGCTGAGCCTGGTGTGGGGGTTCAGACAACTTCTGCAAGAAAGGCGTGTCTGTGTTGATACCCAAGGAGTGGTGTTATGGGTTGAACTGGGGCCCCACAAAAAGCTACATTGAAGTCCTAAGCCCCAGCATCTCCAAATGTGACCTCATTTGGAGACAGAGTCTTTACAGAGGCAATCAAGTGAAAATGAGGTCATTAGGGTAGACCCCTAATCCCGTTAGATTGGCGTCCTTGCAGAAAGAGGAAATGTGGGCACAGATGCAGGGAGAACATCATGCGAAGAGGAGGTAGAGACGGGGGTGATGAATCTACGTGCTGACACCCACCGGCTGCTAAGAGGGAGGCCAGGAACAGGTTCTCCCTCACCGCCCTTGGAGGGAACCACCCTGTTGACGCCTGGAACTTGGACTTCTGGCCTCCGCAACTGTGAGATGATACATTTCTGCAGTTTAAGCCACTCAGTGTGTGGTAGTTTGTTGCGGCTGCCCCAGCAAATTAACATGGGTGGGCAGGAGTGGGCCTAGAGTGGGGGTGCGGGTTGGGGGGTGGGTTCCAGGCAGAGGAAGCAGTGTGTACGGGTGATTGTTGAGGAGGGTAACAGGGTTCAGCAGGGCCCAACTTGGGCCACACTGAAAAGTGGGGGCCTTATAGTATCTACTTATTGGGGTCACGTGAGAATCAAACAAGATCCACACGTCTTATGTTCAGGATGGAGCATGCCCTGTGTGCCAGGCACGTTACAAGTGCCTTGTGACTAAGACGGTGGCACCTGTTTCCCATGGGGGACACGGGATGTGGAACAGAGTACAGTGACACAGAATGACAGCCTGGGCTACTGAAGGCCAGGAGGACCTGTTTGAGGGGGTGGCATTAGAGCGAGTCCTCATGAGCTGCACCCAAGAAGATCTGGAGGGAGCTCACTGGAGGCAGCAGTGAGAGCCAGTGCAAAGGCCCTGGGGTGTGCCTGGACGTGGAGAGTGTGAGGAACAGCAAGAGGCCAGTGTGGCTGGAACAGAGCAAGGAGGGGAGAGTGGATGGGAACGAGGGCAGAGGTGAGGGGCAGATCATCCAGGCTCTGAGCGGGAGTTTCGGCAAAGAACATGGCGCCTGGTATAAACGTGTGTAGTCAATGTGAGCCTGCATCATTAATCCCGGGAGCATGGGGAGGCTGCTGAGTTTTTAAGCAGTTTTAATCATCAGTCTAGTTTTCAGAATCCCCTCTGGCTCTCAGTGTGAGCTCAGCACACTTGCCTGCTGATATCTCCAGGGACACTGTTTCTGTCTCCTGACACGTCTCTCCCTCCAAGCTCTGTGTCATCCCCGGATTTGAATGTCTCCATGTAGGTCATGAAAGATGACACTACAAAGAACAGGATGGAGGAGGGCAGAGCCCCTCACTCAAGAGACGTGAGCCTTGACCCAGGCTTCCTGGGCTCTGATCCAGGCTGTGTTCCTCACCAGCCCTGTGACTCTGGGCCTCAGCTGCCTCATCTGTAAAAGGGGGAGGACAGGGGCCGGGCGCAGTGGCTCACGCCTGTAATCCCAGCACTTTGGGAGGCTCAGGCGGGCAGATCACTTGATACCAGGAGTTCAAGACCAGCCTGACTAACATGGTGAAACCCCGTCTCTACTAAAAATACGAAATTAGCCGGGCTTGGTGGCGCATGCCTGTAATCCCAGCTTCTCGGGAGGCTGAGGCAGGAGAATCGCTTGAACCCGGGAGGCGGAGGTGGCAGTGAGCCGAGATCACGTCATTGTACTCCAGCCTGGGCAACAAGAATGAAACTCCGTCTCAAAAAAAAAGGGGTGGGGTGGGGGGAGGACAGGTCCACCCCCATGGAGCTGTTGTGGGATCCAGTAAATTCATTCGCATCAAACCACTTAGAACTGAACCTCGATGTGGTGAGTGCTCAGGCAATGTTAGCTCCTGTATCCTCCGACTGAAAAACAAAACCCTTTCTCAACTGCACACCCCTCTCCTCTTTCACTTTAAAGCAAAATGCCCCAAATGAACTGCTCACGCAGCTCCTCAATTCTGCCTCACCCTTTTCTCCTGAACCCTCCGGCGACCTCTGGGAGGATTAACCCTATATAGTCGGTTCTCAGTCTCATCACCCTGGCCTGGGCCCAGCCTCCTCGCCCGAGCTCCGCCTCTCCTGGCCCTGGCCCCGCCTCCGCACCTCTCCGCCTCCGCACCTCCCCGCCTTCCCCGGCTTCTCACTTTGGCTCAACATCAAGGGGTTTCAGTCTCAGTCCCACATTTCTCCTCTCTCCACACCCTGCCTTAGGGGCTCTTCCAGCCTCGCAGCTCTAGGCTGATAACACCCAAAGTTCTCCCTCCAGCCTGACCTCTCCACTGAATTCGGGATTCCTTACTCAAGGGCCCCCCTCACGCCTCCGTCTGGATGTCTCCTGCGAATCTCGCACCGAAGCATCCAGGATTGAGCTACTGTGCCTTCCCCAAGCCTGCTCCCCACTCAAGGCAAGTCTGTCCTCCGGGCTTCAAGACGACGCACCATCCTCAACCCCTCTCTTTCTCTCACACCACATCCACCCTGCCAGCAAGCCCGGTCTGCTCCATTTCAGATAATCTATCCGGAACCGCCCCCTTCTCACCCTCTCCGCCCCCACCCTGCTCCCGCCCCTTCGTCTGCGCCTGGACCATGACAGCAGCTCCTCCCTGCTCCTCGCAGGCTGTTCCCCACACGCAGCCACAGCGACCCTGGAATGCCCAATTTAGATCCTGCCCCCTCTCTGCTCCATGCCCTCCCGTGGCTCCATCTCAGTCAGGGAAGATGCCAAGTCCCTTCCACGTGGCCCTCAAGACCCTCCATGGTCTGTCCCCATCCCTCCCTGACCTCATGTTCCCACACCCTCCCCTGGCCCAAACTGTTCCAGCCACCCCGGCCTGCCCACAGGCAACCGTGTCACTCACTGCCTCAGGACCTCTGCAGCTGCTATGCCTTCTCCCTGGAATGTTCCACACCCGGATATGGCACAAGGATAACCACCATTGACCTATTGCGTGCTTCTCTTATTCTACTTATTGTTGGTCACCCCAAATGGAATGCCAGCTCCCCAAGAGGGGTTCTCGCCTGTCCTGCTTGCAGCTGCAGCCCCAGTGTGTACACTGGTACACTGGCCCACAGTCGTCTGTGCAATGACAGCATGTGGCATCACCCTCTTTCCGCCCCGGAGACGCCCTGGTGTGGATCTGGCGGGCGCCTCGCTGGACGTCCAGGCACTTACTTCTTTGGGTCACTGAAGGGGAGTGGCCGTGGTGGGGGCTCCTCCGTTCTCTTCCACCCTGTTGGGTGCTTATTGCGTACAGGCTGCTTGGAGAAGAAGGACTTGGGGACGGAGGCGGAGAGCTGAAAGGGGCTGGGCTGGGCCAGCTGGGAGGGCCGAGGAGTCTCTGCACTGGCAGTTTTGTAAACCTGAGCGGGGTAGCCAACCCTCGAGCCCATGTCACTGCAAAGCAAAAATGAAAGAGATAAAAAAAACCAAATCCATTCCACATTTGGCAAGACAGAGCTATTGAAGTTTACTCTTGGGAATCAAAAAAGTTCATTTGCACAAGACAGACACAAATATATTACCGCTGTGGAAAATTCCAACAGTATAGACGCCTATCTGTAGAAAAGGGAAGACTGCCTGCACAGCGCCTAATCCCACCCAAGGATGGCCTTCTAGCACATTTGGTTCCTCTATAGGAATCTGAAAAATTCACTCCCGTCTCCTTGGTACAACCTACGCAGCTAAAGGTGGGGATCTTACCTCCTGCCCATCTCGACAGGGAACTATGGCTTACAGTTTGCTCTATTTCCTTCCTAACCTTTCTTTTTTTTTTTTTGAGACAGGGTCTCAGTCACCCAGGCTGGAATGCAGTGGCGCGATCTCAGCTCACTGCAGGCTCGACCTCCCAGCCTCAAGTGATCATCCCACCTCAGCCTCCGAGTAGCTGGGACTACAGGCATGCACCACTATGCTTAGCTAATTTTTGTAGAGATGGGGTTTCACTATGTTCCCAGGCTGGTCTTGAGCTCCTGGGCTCAAGCAATCCGCCTGCCTTGGCCTCCCAAAGTGTTGGGATTACAGGATGAGCCACTGGGCCTGGCCCTTAACCTTTTTTTTTTTTTTTTTTGAGACAGAGTCTCACTCTGTTGCCCAGGCTGGAGTGCAGTGGTGCAATCTCAGCTCACTCCATCCTCAGTCTCTCGGGTTCAAGCGATTCTCCTGCTTCAACCTCCCCAGTAGCTGGGATTACAGATGTGTGCCACCACGCCCAGCTAAGTTTTTTGTATTTTTAGTAGAGACAGCGTTTCACCATGTTGGCCAGGCTGGTCTCAAACTCCTAACCTCAGATGATCCGCCTACCTCAGCCTCCCAAAGTGTTGGGATTACAGGTGTGAGCCACCGCACCCGGTCAACCTTTTTCTATGCAAAAACATACGCATGTGTATATAAAAGGGGGCATTTTGTGGGGGATGGGTGGGAGGATTATTGGTTTTTTGTTTATTTAAAGAGACAAGGTCTCGCTATGTTGCCCAGGCTGGCCTCGAACTCCTGGGCTCAGGCGATCCTCCCACCTCAGCTTCCTAAGTACCTGGGAACACGGCATGTGCCAGCACACCCAGCTAGGATTATATATATAAGTTAATAAATCCCTTTTGAGGGTCAATTTAGCAGTATCACAGGATGGTACTTTGACTACAGTCAAATGAGAAGACTGGCACATCTCCCCAGAGATGACAACATTGACCACAAATGACCATTTCAGTACTCCGAAAATTGACCAAACACATACAACAATTTGAGAAGCATGTATGCTTGAGAAACTGAACTTTAGGGAAGAACAGAGGAAATTTGTCGCATTTTGTCCTCCCCCCACCTCTTCCCAGCTCAGTGAGTGAAGAAGTTCTTCCAGAGCAGAACCTTTGGGACGGTATCAAGGGTACCAACATATGTGCATCAGGAACTTTGGAAGGAGAGGAGAGAAGGGGCAGAAAAAATATTTGAAGAAATAATGGTTGGAAACTTCTTAAATCTGATGAAAACCTTACACATCCAAGAAGCTCAACAAACACCAAGTAGGAAAAATACAAAGAGATTCACACCTAGAAAAGGAGTTGAAAGTTAAATGCTGGCCGGGCGCGGTGGCTCACGCCTGTAATTCCAGCACTTTGGGAGGCCAAGGCGGGCAGATAACCTGAGCTCAGAAGTTCGAGACCAGCCTGACCAACATGGAGAAACTACATCTCTACTAAAATACAAAAAAATTAGCCAGGTGTGGTGGCGCATCCATATAATCCCAGTTACTTGGGAGGCTGAAGCAGGAGAATCGCTTGAACCCGGGAGGCGGAGGTCGCGGTGAGCCGAGATCACGCCATTATGCCGTTGCACTCCAACCTGGGCAAAAAGAGTGAAATTGTCTCAAAAAAAAAAAAAAAAAGAAAAGAAAAAAAGAAAAATGCTAAGATAAACATCTTGAAAGCATCAAGAAAAAGATGATGCATCGCATATAGAGGAGCATCAATACAATTAGCAGGCCTATAATCCCAGCACTTTGGGAGGCCAAGACGGGAAGATCACTCAAGCCCAGGAGTTGGAAACCAGCCTGGGAAACACAGTGAGACCCCACTTCTATAAAAAAGAAAAAAAAACACAATTAATTGCTGACTTCTCATTTAAAAGAATGAAATAAAATGTAACTTTTAAAGTGCTGAAAGAAAACAACTGTTAACCAGGAATTCTATACCCAGCAAAACCATCCTTGAAAAATGAAGGCAACAGAAAGATGTTCCTATATAAACAGAGATGGAGAGAATTTGTTGCTAGCACACCTGCCTGATACAAAATAATTTTAAAACTCCTCGGGTTAATCCCAGCACTTTGAGAAGCCAAGGCAGGTGGATCGCCTGTCAGGAGAGCTCGCAGCCTGGCCAATATGGTGAAACCCCATCTCTACTAAAAATACAAAAATTAACTGAGTGGTGGCGGGCACCTGTAATCTCAGCTACTCAGGAGGCTGAGGCAGGAGAACTGCTTAAACCCAGGAGGCAGAGGTTGCAGTGAGCTGAGATTGCGCCACTGCACTCTAGCCTGGGTGACAGAGTGAGACTCCATCTAAAAAAAAAGAAAAAAAAAGTCCTCAGGCTGAAAGAAATGACTCTAGACAATGACCTGAGTCAGTAGACAGAAATGAATAGCCCAAGATGGCAAACTGTGGTTTAAAATAAGATTCTATAAAAGTATATGCTTTCTTATTTCTTCTCTTAACTTCCTTAAAGACATAAGACTGTATAAGGCAATAATGACAATACTATACTGCTGGGTTAAAACACATATGGATGTTTATGATAAACAGAGCACAAAAAAGGGAGAAGGAAATAGGACAATATTGGAGAAAAGTTTTATATTTTATTGGAATTTAGTATTAACCTGAATTGCAGTGATAGACGCACATTATAATAACTAAAAAGATAGTTACACAAGAGTAGAATCCAAATGTTATACTAAATTATATATATTTTTTATTTTTAACTTTTGAGACAGAGTCTTACTCTGTCACTTAGGCTGGAGGGCAGTGGTGCAACCTTGGCCCACTGCAACCTCCGCCTCCCTGGCTCAAGCGATTCTCCTGCCTCAGCCTCCTGAGTAGCTGGGATTACGGGTGCATGCCACCACGCCCAGCTAATTTTTGTATTTTTAGTAGAGACAGGGTTTTGCCATGCTGGCCAGGCTGGTCTCGAACTCCTGACTTCAGGTGATCTGCCCGCCTGGGCCTCCCAAAGTGCTGGGATTTTACAGGTGTAAGCCACCACATCCGGCCTGAAACTGTATTTATTTACTACAGTATAAGGCAGTAAGGAAGAACAGAGGAGCAAGAAAGATAGTAGACATACAGAAACAATAGCAAAATGGCTAATGCAAATCCAACCATTAGCAGTAATAATTACATTTAACGTGAATGGTCTGAACACTCCCATCAAAAGGCAGGGATTGTCCGACTGGATTGAAACAGCAACTATGTAATGCTTTCCACAATTTAGCAACATCTATCAATGGAGCAAAGAGTAGGCATTGGTGAGGAGATGTCCAGGGAACTACTGAAGCATGTAACACCAAGAATGGTCAGGAATGCTTTCCCCAGGAGACAAGAGCATCAGAACTGAGAACTGAAGGATGACTGGCTTCAGCTTAACATTTGGCCTGGCTGGGTGTGGTAGCTCATGCCTGTAATCCCGGCACTTTGGGAGGCCAAGACGGGCAGATCATGAGGTCAGGAGATCGAGACCATCCTGGCTAACACAGTGAAACCCTGTCTCTACTAAAAATACAAAAAAATTAGCTGGGCATGGTGGTGGGCGCCTGTAGTCCCAGCTACTCGGGAGGCTGAAGCAGGAGAATGGCATGAATCTGGGAGGCGGAGGTTGCAGTGAGCCGAGATCGCACCATTGCACTCCAGCCTGGGCGACAGAGTGAGACTCCATCTCAAAAACAAAAACAAGACATTTGGCCTCCCAGAAATCCATGCAATAGAAAAGCCTGCACAAGGCCGGGCATGGTGGCTCATGCTGTAATCCCAGCACTCTGGGAGGCTTAGGTGGGAGAACTGCTGGAGCCCAGGAGTTGCTGTAGAGACTCTATCTAGGGACGGGGTCTTGCTATGTTGCCCAGGCTGGTCTTGAACTCCGGGGCTCAAATGATCCTCCCACCCCAGCCTCCCAAAGTGCTAGGATTACAGTTGTGAGGCACCATGCCCAGCCCTAGAGACCCTGCCTCCACAAAAAAATAAAAATAGCCAGGAATAATAGCACATGCCCATAGTCCCATAGTCTTAGCTACAAAACACACACACACACACACACACACACACACACACACACACACACACACACACCAAAAGCCTGCACAAGCACACACAGGCAGGTATGAGGACGGTCTCTGTAGTACTGTTTATAATCAGGAAAAGTTGGAAATGGCCAGGCTGGAGTGCAGTGGTGTGATCTCGGCTCGCTGCAACCTCTGCGCCTCCGGGGTTCAAGCGATTCTTGTGCCTCAGCCTCCTGAGTAGCTGGGATTATAGGCATTCACCACCATGCCTGGATAATTTTTGTATTTTTAGTAGAGACGGGGTTTCACCATGTTGGCTAGGCTGGTCTTGAACTTCTGGCCTCAAGTGATCCACCTGCCTCGACCTCCCAAGGTGCTGGGATCACAGGCATGAGCCACTGCGCCCTGCCGCAAGCATATCCTTATGATCAAAAACTATGCAGCCAGTGCAAAGGTCAATCTCTGTTTATGTATGAGGACAGATGGTCTGAACTATAGTAAATGGAAACGATGCATGGTATAAAACATGATTCTGTGTATTTAAGGGAAAAAATATATAGATAGATATACACACATATGTATAGAGAAAAAAAGAAATAAAGTAGAATTTTATACTTTTTTTTGTCCTTTTTTCCCCCTTTTTGTGGGGAATGGGGTCTCACTAAATTGCCCAGGCAGGTCTCGAACTCCTGTGCTCAAGCTATCCTCCTGCCTCTGCCTCTCTGAGAGCTGGGATTACAGGCATGAGTCACTGCGCCTGGCAAAATAAACTAGAATTTTTTTTTTTTTTTTTGAGATGGAGTCTTGCTCTGTCACCCAGGCTGGAGTGCAGTGGCGCAGTCTCAGCTCACTGCAACCTCCGCTTCCCAGGTTCACGTCATTCTCCTGCCTCAGCCTCCTGAGTAGCTGGGACTACAGGCGCCCACCACCACACCTGGCTAGTTTTTTCTATTTTTGGTAGAGATGGGGTTTCACCGTGTTAGCCAGGGTGGTCTCGATCTCCTGACCTCATGATCTGCCCACCTTGGCCTCCCAAAGTGCTAGGATTACAGGAGTGAGCCACCGCGCCCGGCCCAGCTAAACTAGAATTTTTAAAAAGTCACTGTATTTCTTGCAAGGTAAGGGTTAAGTGGCATGTTTTTTGTTTGTTTGTTTGTTTTTTTGTTGTTTGTTTGTTTTTTTGAGACGGAGTTTCACTCTTGTCGCCCAGGCTGGAGTGCAATGGCATGATCTTGGCTCACTGCAACCTCCGCCTCCCAGGTTCAAGCGATTCTCCTGCCTCAGCCTCTCGAGTAGCTGGGATTACAGGCATGTGCCACCACACCCAGCTAATTTTGTATTTTTAGTAGAGATGGGGTTTCTCCATATTGGTCAGGCTGGTCTTGAACTGCTGACCTCAGGTGATCCACCTGCCTTGACCTCCCAAAGTGCTGGGATTACAGGTGTAAGCCTCCATGCCTGGCCTAAGTGGTATGTTTGAAAGAACTGGGTTGGTAAAGGTTTAGAGAAAAATCTCTGGAGGAGTGTACACTAATGGATTCTCTCTGAAAGTAGTAATGATGGGGAACATGTACGGAATAAAAGTCAAATTAAGCTGGGCATAGTGGCATATGCCTGTAGTCCCAGCTACTTGGGACGCTGAGGTGGGAGAATCGCTTGAACCCAGGAGTTTGAGGCTGCAGTGAGGCATGACTGCACCATTGGATTCCAGCTTGGGTGACAGAGTCCCCATCACTCAAAAAAAACAAAAAACAAGCAAATAAAAAAAACAAAAAAAAAACCAACCCTAAAAAAAGTCTAATTAAACTACATAAATGGCACAGGGTAAAAAGTAAGTGGCCAGCCGGGTGCAGTGGCTTACGCCTGTAATCCCAATACTTTGGGAGGCTGAGGCGAATGGATCACCCGAGGTCAGGAGTTTGAGACCAGCCTGGCCAACATGGCGAAACCCCATCTGTACTTGAAAAAAAAAAAAAATTAGCCAAGTGTGACGGTGTGCACCTGTAATCCCAGCTACTCAGGAGGCTCAAGTGATTCTCCTGCCTCAACCTCCTAAGTAGATGGGATTACAGGTACCCACCATTATGCCTGGCTAATTTTTGTATTTTTTAGTAGAGACGGGGTTTCATCATGTTGGTCAGGCTGGTCTTGAACTTCTGACCTCATGATCCGCCCGCCTCGGCCTCCCAAAGTGCTGGGATTACAGGCGTGAGCCACAGCGCCCAGCCTGAACGTTCTTTCTTTCTGGAGCGCCAGTGTGCCCATGCGTCCTCCTGAAGTCTCAATATCAACTTGAAAACTGGGGCAGCATAGTGTGGGCTTTGCTGTCCACCTGACCCAGTTCCAATCCTGGCTCCCATCAACACAGTGGCCAACTTGCGTGGGGTCTATTCCCCTCAGTGAGCCTCAGTTTCCTCCTCTGAGAAATGAGGCAATGACAGCACCTGCCTCACGAGATCCTATGTGCTAAGTGCTCAGCACTGAGTCCTGAGGAGGAACCGCGGAGCTGCAGGTGCCAGGGAGGTGGTGGGTCCCTGGGCTCTGGGCTCAGACAGCACTGGTGGTAGCGGGGGAGGGGCAGGCAACGTGCTCTGTGCTTCCATCCTCACCTTCAACCAGAGAGCTATGCATTAACCTGCTTGACATCTTAGGGGAGCATTTAACATTTTGTTGGAGTCAAAGGATTTATGCTTCCAAAAAAAGCTGAAAAACCAGAGGCTGGGTAGAGAAATCATACCAGCTGCATAAGTGTGTGCAATGCTTTTGGTCTGTTCAGCCTGGGGACTCTGAAGGGGACCAATGGGTGGTCCTGGGTGGGTGACAGGCTCTCAGGGAGCGAGCTGTGGTCCCTGCCTCCAGGAGGAGCAGTGGCACAGTAGGTGGCAGTGACAGTGCTGACCACTCTGAGCCTGTGGAAGCTGCCTGGCCTTGTTCTAAGCATCTTATAGGCGTCACCTCACTTAGCCGCCGTAGCAACCCCGAGACAGGAACTACCACCACCTCCATGTTCCAGGTGGGGGAAACTGAGGCCCAGGGAGATGAAATAACTTGCCCGAAATGATGTAGCTAGTGGGGGATAAGAGCCAGGATGTAGACATAGGTAGTCTGGTTTGAGAGACGATATTTTAACCACCATTCTGTACTCCCAGTGACAACAACTGTTAACGATAAATATCAATACATAATACATGAGAATAAAACACAGCAGCAGCTGATACACTTGAGCCCAGCTATGTCTCCAGTCCTGTGATAAGTGCTTTAAACTCATGGTCTCAGTTCGCCCTCACAACTTTAGATGGAGGATCCTTTTTTTTTTTTTTGAGAAAGAGTCTAGTTCTGTCACCCAGGCTGGAGTCCAGTGGTGCCATCTCAGCTCACTGCAATCAAGTGATTCTCTCGCCTCAGCCTCTCGAGTCTCTGGGACTACTGGCACCCGCCACCACACCTGGCTAATTTTTGTATTTTTAGTAGAGGCGGGGTTTCATCATGTTGGCCAGGCTGGTCTCAAACTCCTGACCTCAGGTGATCCGCCCGCCTCGGCCTCCCAAAGTGCTGGGATGAGAGGCGAGCCACCGTGTCTGGTTGACAGATCCTATTACCCCCATTTTACAGATGAGGACATTGAGCCTCAGAGCACCTAAGGGGCCTGAGAGAGATCACGCAGTTGGGGTAAGAGGTGGAGCTGTGATGTAGACATAGGCAGTCAGAGGAAGAGCCCTGAAGTCACACTGCTCACCCACATACCCCGAGGGCCCCCAGCCACTTGGCCTTCACCCTGGACCAATCTTGCTTTCTCTCCCTGACGTGTGTCATGGGCTGGAGAACCAATTCATCCCTGCATGCGGCTGGAATTGTGCTCCAGTGTAGGAGCCGTAAGCAGCCACATTGCCCCTGTGGCCTGTGGGGCAGAAGCGACGGGTCTTCAGGAAGCAGACACAGAGAGGGTCTAGGCAAGAGATTCAACAGAGATACCAATCAAGCCACTGCTCGCTACCTCCACCAACCACTGCCACCTGTATTGTCAGAGCGGCCTCCTCCTGGCTCCCTCTTCCTCCTGCATCCTTCCCCAGCCTCAGCACACAGCCAGAGAGATCCTGGGAACATGTGAATCAGATCAGGACTCTCTCAGGGTTCCACCTCACTCTGGGTAAGACCCAGAGCCCTCCCGACAGGGCCCCCCATCTGCCCCCCTCTCTTCTCTGCCCCCAGCTCCTCCACACTCCCTCTCCTTCACTCTGCTCCAGCCATGCGGAAGCTGTTCCTCAAACACATCAGAAACACTGCTACCTTGGGACCTTTGCACTGCTCCCCGCCCTGCAGATCTCTGCCTGGCTTCCGCACTCCCTTGAGTTCCAGGAGACGGCCTCGCTTCCTCTTCCCAAGCTGTGACTCTCCGAGGAGGTCTCTGTCTCAGGTGACCCCAGCCTCCCAACACTCACAGGCAGGGTGGGCCCCGGTGGATCTTCAGGCCCTCAGATTACCTTTCAGGGCTGTGTCCCCAGAAGGGCATCCCAGGGACTCCTGGCGCAGCCTGGGGAAGCAAGGCCACGTGCTTCCTGCCTGCCTGGGAACGCCCGGCTGCGTCAGCTCCATGTGGAGCCGAGAGCCTATGACTGCTCCTAACAGCTCTGACAAATTGCTCTGGAAGCCCAGAAAGCTCTGGAGTGCGTGCTGCCTCAGGAGAGGGCGAGGGCCAGGTGGCTGCCCGCCCAGGATCACTCAGCCCACTGCGGTGCCCATGGCAGGCACTGGCGCCTGGCAGCATGCCTGGCAGCTGGGCTCCCATGACGAATGTCTGGAGGGAGCATCTGTGAGGTCATCGATGGGCACAAGCTGCTACAGGCTGCACCTGCTTCCACGGCAAGGGCCGCAGCCCGGGGAAGGGAGGGTAGGGGGCTCCCCGCTTGGGCGTGTCAGGACCCATCCCTCTCCTGGCAGCCTTTGAATGCTGACCACCATCCTCCCCCTGCCCAAGATAGTCCGTCCTCTCCAGAGTAGCCCACAGTGATCTTTTCTATTTTTTCATTTTTACATTTTATTATTATCATTTTTTGAGATAAGGTCTTACTTTGTCACCCAGGCTGAGTGCAGTGATGTGATCTCGGCTCACTGCAGCCTCCACTTCCCGGGGTCAAGCAATCCTCCAACCTCAGCCTCCCAAGTAGCTGGGACAACATGCGTGTGCCACCACACCCAGCTAATTTTTTGTAGACATGGGGTTTTGCCATGTTGCTCAGGCTGGTCTTGAACTCCTGGGCTCAAGTGATCCACCTGCCTTAGCCTCCCAAAGTGCTGGGATTACAGGTGTGAGCCACTACGTCCAGCCCACAGTAATCTTTTTAAAAACATTAAGTCAGATGATGTGCTCAAATGCCTCCCATGGCTCCCATGTCCCTTGGAACCAAATCCCAGCATCTGACTTTGGTCAATATGCCCGCTAGAACCAGGCTCCTGCCACCTCACTATGCTGACCTCCTGCCACTCTCCCCCCATCCCACCTGCTTCAGCCCCTCTGGCCACCTGACCATTTCTGGAGCATTGAGAGTAAGTTCACCCTCAGGGTCTAGTCATCTACTGTTTCCACTGCCTGGATCTCACCCTGGCTTCCTACAACGCATCACCTCCTGAGAAGCCTTCCCAGAGACCCGCTGTTTTTGCCTTTCCTCCCCAGCACTTATCACCTCCTGGCACACTCCACGGTGGTTCGGCTGTCTGTCTGTCTTGTCCTGTCTCCAGGAGAATGACAGCTCCATAAGGGAAGGATGCTGCGACACCTGGCACAGAGTAGGGGCTGCAAAGGTCAGTGACTGGAAGAATCAGTCCCCGCTGGCTGCCCCACTCTGCCTCCTCTTCTCACAAGCACCTCAGGTGCTCCCAGGCCACGGCAGCCTCCAGACACGTGGCAGCCACCCTGGACTCTCACATGGCTTGCTGGCTCTGCCCTGGGCCTGCATCTCCCTCCCAGCTTACTTCCTGGCAATGCCGCCTGCTGCCACATCCACAGTTGCTTTGTCCTCCAGCTCAGGCCCACGTCCTCCCATGCAGATCCAAGCCTCAGCCCCCTCAGAGACTTTGCCTCCTGTCTCGCTGCCAGCACCATATTTTGGAACACAAATCCACCCGCATTACCCTGGCTGCTCTTAAGATGAGATCCAAACTCCATAATGGAGCTGGTAGGGCCCTGAATGTTCTGGCCACTGCTGATTTCCCCAACCTCCCATTGGCTGCCCTACCTGCCTACCTACCTACCTACCTCCAGGGCCTTGCTCTGTCACCCAGGATGGAGTGATTGATTGATCAACAGGGTGTCAATCAGTTACCCAGGATGGAGTGCAGTGGTGCAATCACAGCACACTGCTGTCTCGAACTTCCAGGCTCAAGTGATCCTCTCACCTCAGCCTCTTGAGTAGCTGGGACTGCAGGAGCCTACTGCCATACCCAGCTAATTTAAAAAAATTTTTGGCCAGGCATGGTGGCTCATGCCTGTAATCTCAGCACTTTGGGAGGCCAAGGTGGGTGGGTCACCCGAGGTCAGGAGTTCGAGACCAGCCTGGCCAACATGGTGAAACCCTGTCTCTACTATAAATACAAAAATTAGCCGGGCGTGGTGGCAGGTGCCTGTAATCCCAGCTACTCGGGAGGCTGAGGCAGGAGAATCGCTTGAACCTGGGAGGCAGAGGTTGCAGTGAGCTGAGACTGTGCCATTGCACTGCAGCCTGGGCAACAAGAGCGAAACTCCATCTCAAAAAAAAAAAAAAAAAAAAAAAAGTTTTGGTAGGGGGATAGAGATGGGTCTATGTTGCCCAGGCTGGTCTCAAACTCCTGGCCTCAAGTGATGCTCCTGCCTTGGCCTCCCAAAGTGCTGGGATTACAGGCATGAGCCACTGTGCCCAGCCACAATTTCTATACTTGAGCCCAAGGGCCTGTGTTCAGTGGCCTGACGATACCACCCTCCTCCCTACCACAGGGACTTTGCACACGCAACTCTAATTCATAGACATACTTTCTCCACGCCTCATCTTTCCCTTCTGTTTTTTTGTTAATGGTAAATAGTCATATATACATTCTTCTGAATGAGAAATTCAACAGACTTAAAAAAAAACATATGTGTGTATATATACATAGTTGTATATATACATACTGAGGTTCACAACATATATTGAGGCCCAGAAAGTGTGTGTGTCTATATATATGTTGCATATATACACACAATTTCAAAAACAGAGCAAATACCTGTATAACTGCATCCCAGATGAATGTCTCTCCAGCCCCACTGAACCCCTCTCCTCCTTCACCCGCTCCCTCCTCCCTGTCCCCCTCATCCTTGGCAGATGTGACCCTCGTTCAGGAACATTATCGCTGGCCCTAGGCTAGATTAGACACCTCCTCCAGCTCTGCATCCCATCCACCCTCAGACCCCACCCGTCTCTGCAGGCTGTCCCCTGGCACAATTCATTCATGACTTTTGGCATTATTCACTAGCTGTTTCCCATGGGCCTCCGTCCGTACCAGGACGGTGGGGATCTGGTCTGCCTGTTCCAGCTCCCTGCAGAGGCCCCGGTGCACAGCAGGCGCTCGCTGTGTGAATAAATACCAAGTTCTATGCCACAGAGTGCTGTGGAGGTAGACATAGGGCAGTCAATGAGTGCTCATGCTGGGCCTGTTCAAAGGTGCCTGCCTTCCAGGAGCAGAGGCTGGGGAGCAGGCTGTCACTCCAGCCCAGGGGCACGTTCTGACGACAGCACATGAGGGGGGCTGCTGGGCTGCCCGGTGCACAGTGCAGTGTGGCCGCCATGGGAGGCAGAGGCACGTGTGGCCACTTGAACCAAGGTCTGGCCCCAAGCAGGTGGCTCTGTGACCATCCAGGGAACTTGTGCCTACTGAAATGGGAAGACTGTGGGAGGCCAATGGAGTGAGGTGGGGTGAGATGGACAGTGGGAGTCCGTCTCATTCTCTGTCTGGACTGCTTTTCCCTCCTGACTTCCCTGGCTAGCTCAGACTCTTTCTCCAGGAAAGCCCCTCCCACAACTGGGCTGGCCCCTCTCACAACTGGGTTAGGGGGGCCCCCTTTGGGCTCTCACATCCCTGTACCCCTCCATCATGGCCCCAACCCCTCTGCCTGGCCCCCCTCCAGCCCACCCTGGCCCCTCTACCTGGGCCCCTCATCTTACCCTGGCCCCTCTACCTGGGCCCCTCATCTCACCCTGGCCCCTCTACCTGGGCCCCTCATCTTACCCTGACCCCTCTTCGCAGCTGCCTTGTATCCCAGCCCTGACCCCTTAGCCTGGGCCCCCCACCCTGACCCTGACCCCTCTGCCTGGGCCTCGCCCATCTTGACCTGACCCCTCTGGGCTGTCTCTGTCTGGGAATGCGTCAGTCAGGCAGGACTGGGGCTCCCCCAGTCACCGCTGTGTCCCCAGCACTGCCTGTAACAGGTCTTGGACCAGGGGGGATATTCTGATTTCGTGAATTTGAGGCAAGGCCTCATTTCTGTGTGTTTTTCAAATACACCCTCATACCCCATGATTCTGACAGGCAGTCTTCAAGTCAAAGCACTGTTCTAAGGGTACATTCAATCTTTACCACATCCCTATGATGTAGGTATGTGGTTTATCCCTAGTTTCACAGATGAGGAAACTGAGGCCCAGAGAGGTTCAGTTACTTGCCTGGGGGTACACAGCCAAGAAGTCGCTGAGGGAGGGATTGAATGCAGGTGGGCTGACACTAAAGGCCACACTCTTATCCACATGGATTTTTTTTTTTTTGAGACTGAGTCTCACTCTGTTGCCAAGGCTGAAGTGCAATGGCGTGATCTCGGCTCACTGCAACCTCTGCCTCCCAGACTCAAGCGATTCTCCCGCCTCAGCCTCCAGAATAGCTGGGACCACAGGCGTGCACCACCACGCCTGGCTAATTTTTGTATTTTCAGTAGAGATGGGGTTTCACCGTGTTGGTCAGGCTGGTCTCGAACTCCTGGCCTCAAGTGATCCACCTGCCTTGGCCTCCCAGAGTGTTGGGATTACAGGCGTGAGCCACTGCGCCGGGCCTGGATATGTTTTTTTAAATCAACTCATTTTATTTTCTCCTTAACTTGTCCAAGGTGGTATCTGTAAAATCAGGGGGTGAGTTGCAAACTCTTTTTCCTAATACTCATGAAAGCAAGCATATATCCATTTAAAATAAAACATTTTCCTCCCCGCACCACCCAAATCACCTCAAGCACCCCATTTTGGGAAATGCTGTGCCACACTCAAGCCTGGTTGCCTAGGAGAAAACTTCAGGAAGCAGCTTTAATGAGCAGATAAGAATGATTTGCAATTAGCATCAATTGTCTGTATGCAAATTAAAGCTCCCAACCGCAGGGCCCTCTTCTGCAGCGGGCTCCTCTCCCATTTCATTGCCTTCATTTCTGGGTTCAGCAGATCCTTTCCTTAGACACAGGGTTATTTCATACCCACCCTCCCATCTCAGCCACAGTCTACTCCAGGCCTGGCTGTCTTTATGTCTCGGATTTCAAATCCTCCCAGTTGTTCGGGTTCGCTAAGGTGGTGGTCCCATGCCTGGAATGGGGGCTACTGCAATCGAGACCTGAGGCCCCTGGTATAGACTCTCTTGGCTTCATGTCCCTCTTCGTGGCACAGGTTTTTGTTTTTTTTTCCACAGTGTTTTATTTTTATTTTTTATTTTTTTGAGACAGAGTTTCACTCCGTCACCCAGGCTGGAGTGCAATGTATTTTTGTTTTGTTTTGTTTTTGTTTTTGTTTTTTAAGATGGAGTCTCATTCTATTCCCCAGGCTGGAGTGTAGTGGTGCAGTCTTGGCTCACTGTACCCTCCACCTCCCAGGTTCAAGGGATTCTCCTGCCTCAGCCTCCCGAGTAGCTGGGATTACAGGCGCCCACCACCATGCCTGGCTAATTTTTGTATTTTTAGTAGAGACGGAGTTTCATCATGTGGGCCAGGCTGGTCTCGAACTCCTGACCTCAGGTGATCCGCCCACCTCGGCCTCCCAAAGTGCTGGGTTTATAGGCGTGAGCCACCGTGCCCGGCCTGGGAGCGCACACGTATTCATTTGTCTCAGTGATTATCTGATTCTCATCTGCTTCCCTCATTTGACAGTGGGCGGTGGGGAGGCCTCATCCAAATGTGCTCCTGATTTCTCTCAGCTCCCAGCACAGTGTCTGGGACCGAGCAAATCCCTAAGAAATACTTATGAATGGAGTGAATGAATAAATGAATGAAAGAGCCATTCAAAAGAGTCCACATGTTCAAAAGATTAAGAGGTACTCGTCACCAGGTGTGGTAGCTCATGCCTGTAATCCCAGCATTTTGAGAGGCCGAGATGGGAGCATCGCTTGAGCCCAGGAGTTCGAGACCAACCTTGGCAACACAGTGAGACCCCTTCTCTACTAACAAACTTAAAAAATTAGCTGGGCATGGGGGCACACACCTGTAGTCTCAGCTACTTAGGGGGCTGAGGTGGGAGGAACACTTGAGCTGAGGAGTTCGAGGCTATCGTGAGCTATGGTCGTACTACTGCACCCCAGCCTGGGCAATAGAGCAGGACCCTGTTTCTAAAAAACAAACAGCCACTTGTCTAGGGAGATGAACTGAGAGGTCTAAAACACTCAGACAGTGTCTCTCTCTGTCTGTCTCCTCTTTCCTCCTTCAGCCCTTCTCCTGGCTCTTTGACTCAAGGAGACCCTTGGATCACAGTGTGCCCGGGGAAGTGCTGACACTACAATCACTCAAACACAGTGGTTTTCAAATATCTGTCAGAGAACACTGTAAGCCATGAAATCATCTGAGTGGGGATTGATCAGCATTAAAAGTTTTTAAATAGAGTAGACTGGATCAAAGTATATCACACACAGGTTAAGAATTATTTTGGAAACCACTGCTTCACCTTTTTTTTTTTTTTTTTGAGATGGAATCTCGCTCTGTTGCCAGGCTGGAGTGCAGTGGCATGATCTTGGCTCACTGCAACCTCTGCCTCCCAGATTCAAGCGATTCTCCTGCCTCAGCCTCCCGAGTATCTGGGACTACAGGTGCCCACCACCACGCCCAGCTAATTTTTGTATTTTCAGTAGAGATGGGGTTTCACCATGTTGGCCAGGACGGTCTCGAGCTCTTGACCTTGTGATCCGCTTGCCTTGGCCTCCCAAAGTGCTGGGATTACAGGCGTGAGCCACTGCTCAAAGCCACCTTTTTTTTTTTTTAACATAGATATTTCTGTATAGATGGACACAATTCTACTGTGGACTGTGGTCAGAAGTCTGAGTTGGCTGCCTGAGTGTGGGTGTCCTGTGTGGAGAGAGGCTGGGGTTTGAGGACTGGAAAAGGCTTTAGGGCGCCACAGGAGAGGAAGATCCCTGCGCCAACCAGGTTCTGAGCCCTGATGGCTATCGGGGACTCAGGCTAGCCCACCCCAGGCATGGTCAGGAAGGGATGTGGGGCTGTGGACTCAGGGGCTGGCACTGGACACTACAGCACAGCAAGCCCTGCTGGGGTCACAGAACCCTAAGGGGGTCCAAGGATGAGGCTGAGCTCTGTGTCTGTGTAGAATACTCTTTCCATCTCTGTGCCCTTTTCTGGAAGGTGGCTCATTGCCTCCATCCGAACGTCAGTGTGTGTGGTCGGGACTCTAGGCTGCTGGCTCGCCAATTCCTGCTTTTCTTTTCTTTTCTTTTTTTTTTTTTTGAGACAGAGTCTTGCTCTGTCGCCTGGGTGGAGTGCAGTGGCACGATCTCGGCTCACTGCAACCTCTGCCTCCTGGGTTCAAGCGATTCTCCTGCCTCAGCCTCCCAAGTAGCTGGGACTACAGGCGCCCACTACCATGCCTGGCTAATTTTTTTTTGTATTTAAGTAGAGACGGGGTTTCACCATGTTGGCCAGGACAGTCTGGATCTCCTGACCTCATGATCCACCCGCCTTGGCCTCCCAAAGTGCTGGGATTACAGGTATGAGCCACCGTTTCCAGCCAATGCCTACTCTTTCTCTCTTACTCCCGTCTGCCTCTCTACCAGTGGCTCTCAAAGTGTGGTCCTGGGACCAGCAGCATCAGCATTTACTGAGAACTTAATGCATATTCTCAGCCGGGCATGGTGGCTCACACCTGTGATCCCAGCAATTTGGGAGGCTGAGGTGGGAGGATCCCTTTAGGTCAGGAGTTTGAGACCAGCCTGGCCGACATGGTGAAACCCTGTCTCTACTAAAAATACAAAAATTAGTTGGGCATGGTGGTGGGCACCTGTAATCTCAGCTACTCGGGAGGCCGAGGCAGGAGAATCACTTGAACCTGGGAGGTAGAGGGTGCAGTGAGCCTGAGACCGCACCACTGCACTCCGGCCTGGTGAATAGAACGAAACTCCGTCTAAAAAACAAACAAAAAAACACCAATGCACGTTCTCAGGTCTCCCGCTCCGACCTATTGAATCAGAAACTCTGGGTGGGGGCCAGCAGCTGGGCTGAACAAGCCTTTGAGGGCTTCTGTGGGGACCATCGCCGTATACGGTAGAGCCTGGAAGACCAAACTACAACTTTCCAGACCTCCTTGTAGCTGGGATGGCCCCGTGATGCCAGCTGCTGAAAGGGGTTCTGGGAAAGTGTTTGCTTTCTCCATAGGAAGGGAAAGGTGCTCAGAGGCTTCCAACTTTCCCCTCTTCTCTGTCCCCAACTGCCACTCACCAGGCAGCACAGCTCCATCTCAAGGCAAGTGAGACATGAGCCAGCATGGTAAAGATGCCGAGCAGGGAGACACAGAGTGCCAATCCTTGAGGCTCTCCACAAGCCACAGCACTAGCCTGGCTCTGCCTTCTCTGGACTTCATGTTAGGGGACTGTTTGTTACACCTCTATTTGTTTAAGCCACAGAGGGTCAGGTTTCCTATTGCCTCCAGCCAAATACACTCTATCAGATACAGTCTGTGACCCTTTAGAAAGCATAAAAACTTTTGGTATCAGCAGAGAGCAAAGAAAAAAGAGACAGAGGGTCAGAGAGAACCAGAGACAGATGAAAACAGAGACAGAAGGCCAGGGGTTTCTTTCCCTCCACCTGGGGTCCCTGAATGCTGATGGATGGGCAATAAGGCAGAGATCCACGAGCTCCTCAATTCTGTCAGCAAACCAATGACTAGGCGCATTCATCCGTGAGTGTGTTTCTGGGGAGGAGAACCCCACCATCAGGACCGTAAAAGTAGAACTGGCGAAGTGGAAGGTGGTTAGAACCCAGACTAGGTGCAACAGCTTACCTGGGCTGCCTCGGTGGGTCTCGGCTGCCCCCCGCCAGTCCCGTGGGGGTGCTGGAGCCGGAGGAGTACAGCTTCGGTCGGTAGCCCTTGCTTTGGCCGGCAACTGCGGGGGCAGGGGAGACCTCCCGCCGCCTGTCTGCGTGGTGGGACCTCCCAGCGGCCTCGCGACCCCCGCCACAAAGGCCCATACTTCCAGGGGGCTTGTGTGGCTTGGCGGGCCGTGGAGCCTTGGCCAGGGACATGCAGCTAGGGCTGGAGGTGTAGAGGGTGGTGTCGATGCCGCTGTCACTAGAGCCACCCTTGGAGAGGGGGTCTTGCTCTGGCTCCAGGGGGTCCAGGGGGTCGAACCAGCGGTCGTCGCTGTGGCTGCTGGATGCGTTGCTGGAGAGGGTGTTGCTGCTGGAATGACTTGAGTATTGAGGTTCTCCCTGAGAGGCAAGAGAAGCGTGTCATTCCCAGACTCCAGGGCAGGGGCGCATCTTCCCTTGCCGGGTCCTCCCTCTGCCTGGGCCTGAACCCTGGGACCAGACAGCTTCAAATCCTGGCTTCTCATCTACTGGCCGTGTTACCTTGGGCAAGTGATTTACCTTCCCTCAGCCTCAGTTTCCACATCTGTAAAATGGAGGGTGATAGTAAGCCTGCCTCATGGGGCTGCTCAGAGGAACAAATGACATCAGGCACAGAACATGCTTCCCACATCTCAGACTCAGCGAATCTAAGACTGAGTTCGGCAGCGTCTTCCTCATCTCAATGACGCCGGCCATGCTTTCAGCTGCCCCTGCCAAGAGCCGTGGACTCACCTTGACCCCGCTTTTGCTCTCACTCATGTCCAGCCCACTAGCAAACCCTGCTGCCCGCGTCCTCAACACAGATCCGGGACCTGTCACTTCCTGCTCCACGGCTCCGCGTGGTCCTGTCCATGCCTGTCCTGTCCTCCCCCTGGGGCCAGTGCAGCAGCCTCCTCCCTGGTCTCTCTGCACCCTCATCCCCCTGTTTATTCCCCACACGCAGCCAGCAGAAGGCTGAGAACACCTGAGTTAGATGATGACCCCCACCTGTGGCTCCATCTTACTCCAGGCACAAGTGAGAGTTCCCAGCATGGCCCATGGGGCTTTGATGCTTGGGTCCCGGTCTCCAACTTCATCTCCCCTCCCTCCCGATCACGTTGCTGTGGCCATGGTGGCCCCCTTGCTATTCTCGGAACATACTGGGCACTCCCCGTCAGGGCCTCTGCGCCTGCTGCTCCCTCTGCCTGCAATACTCTTCCCTGAGAGATCTTCGTGGGCCTCCCCCTTCCTTCACTCAAGGTTTCCGCTCAAAGGTCACCCCCTCAAAGGCCCTCTCTGACCACATCATCCTTGAGCTGCAGTGCTTGTCACTCTCTCCCCTGGACTGTTTTTTTTTTTTTTTTTTTTTTGAGATAGAGTCTCACTCTGTCGCTCAGGCTGGAGTGCAGTGGTGCAATCTTGGCTTACTGCAGCCTCTGCCTCCTGGGTTCAAGCAATTCTTGTGCCTCAGCCTCCCAAGGAGCTGGGATTATAGGTTCCTGCCACCACGCCTGGCTAATTTTTGTATTTTTAGTAGAGACGGGGTTTTACTAGGTTGCCCAGGCTGGTCTCGAACTCCTGACTGCAGGTGATCCGTCCGCCTTGGCCTCCTAAAGCACTGGGATTATAGGCGTGAGCCACCGCGCCCAGCCCGCACTTTTTCTTATACAACAGATCTGTTTATCTGCTTACTGCTTGCTGCCCCAAATGGGAAGTCAGCTTCCTGAGGACAGGGCTGGTCTGTCCTCTTCATCATCATGGTCCCAATGCCTGGAGTGTTGTAAGCGCTTGTCAAACACCCACTGAACGAATGGATACAAAGAGATTGCCAAGAGCCCCTGCAAACCATCTCCTCCTCCTGGACACACAGGACTACATCCCCAGCCTTCCTGGGCCATGCAAGACTACATTTCCCAGCCTCCCTTGCAGCTAGGTGTGGCCACGTGATGGAATGGAAGCGATTCATGCCATTTCCAGGCCTGGGCTAAAAAACACCTCCCATGTGATCTTTTCTCCCACTCACCTCCACTGCTGGAAAGACGCAGGGACCCAGCAGAGGGCTTGGAACCTCTGAGGGACAGCAGAGCCACAAGAGGGAGGGAGCCTGGGCTCTGAATCACCACGTGAATGGCGGGTAGATGCTCACTGAATACCTGCACTGCGCTGTTACAGGAGAGGGAAATCCACTTCCACTGTATGAAGTCACTGAGATTCGGGGCTGTCTGTTACAGCAGCTGATTTACCATGACTGATGGAACAATGAGGAAACTGCGGCTCGAGGAGGTAAAGGGATTTGCCCTAGATGACCTGGCTGATGAGGGCTGGAGCCAGAATGTGAACCTGGTTGGTTCCAACTCAGACCAAGTATTCAACCCCTCTGCTGAGTGGAAGGTGGCAGAGGTTGAGGATGTGCTCAAGTGTGAAGCTCAGAGGCCACACCCAGGCAGGCCTGGCTCCCCCGGTAGGGCAGGGTGGGGCCCAGACTCACTTTGGAATGCCTGTTGGGGGAATCTTTGCCTGCTGCATCCTGCCTGGACGGGTGCTTGTTCCCGCTGCTTCCGGCTATGGCTGAGAGCCTGGCCTGGGCAGGCACATGCCACAAAGGCTCTGTAGGAAAACAGGAGACACACCAGTGGTTAGGAGTGACTCAGGCCAGGGCCTGAAGAATCTGGACCCTTTGCCAGACTGTCTGCTCACCCACGGCATGACCCCATCAATTTACACCTTGGAGTGCAACACTCAGTAACAGAGAATACATCTCAGCACATACTATGTGCCAGACACCGTTCTGAGGGCCTCACTGAAGCCGTGCAATATCCCATTTCCCTCTCTCCCTGTCACCCAGGCTAAAGTGCAATGGAATGATCATAGCTCACTGTAACCTTGAACTCCTGGGTTGAAGCCATCCTCCCGCCTCAGCCTCCCAAGTAGCTAGGACTACAGGTGTGCATCACCATGCTTGGCTAATTTTTTTTTTTTTTTTGAGGTCTTGCTACAGCATCCAGGGTGGTCTTGAACTCCTGGCCTCAAGTGATCCTCCTGCCTCAGCTTCCCAAAGTGCTGGGATGATAGGCGTGAGCCACCATGCCTAGCCTCCTTTACCCATTTATCTATGAGCTTGACTGTCTTTTTTGAGATGGGGTCTCGCTCTGTCGCTCAGGCTGGAGTGCAGTGGTATGATCTCAGCTCACTGCACCCTCCACTGCCCAGGGTTCAAGTGATTCTCCTGTCTCAGCCTCTCAAGCAGCTGGGATTACAGGTGTGGCACCACCATGCCCAGCTAATTGTTTTGTATTTTTAGTGGAGACAGGGTTTCACCATATTGGCCAGGCTGGTCTCGAACTCCTGACCTCGTGATCCACCTGCCTCGGCCTCCCAAAGTGCTGGGATTACAGGTGTGAGCTACCGCACCCGGCCCAAACTATCTTTTATCTTATTGGTTAGTAGAGTTCTTTACATATGCAAGGTAGCAATCCTTTGTTGGTTGTATGTACATAGTTTTTTTTTTTTTTTTTTTTTGAGACGGAGTCTTGCTCTGTCACCCAGGCTAGAGCGCAGTGGTGTGATCTCAGCTCACTGCAACCTCTGCCTCCCAGGTCAAGTGATTCTCCTGCCTCAGCCTCCTGAGTAGCTGGGATTACAGGCACTGGCCACCACGCCCGGCTAATTTTTGTATTTTTAGTAGAGACGGGGTTTCACCATCTTGGCCAGGCTGGTCTCGAACTCCTGACCTCGTGATCCACCCATCTCAGCCTCCCAAAGTGCTGGGATTACAGATGTGAGCCACCGTGCCCGGCCCACAACTTTTTTAAAAAACAAAAATGGAATAATAATAAACACTGTCCTACAACTTAATTTTTCACTTTGTAATATGTCTATACTTGCTTTTCTCTTTATATCTTCACCATAGGTCTTCACATAATTGAATGTGATGTTACCCTAATAGTATTGCACTAAGTGAATGTACATCAATGACCTGCCAGTTTCCTACTGATGGATATTTAGGTTATCTTGAACAGTCTTCCCTCTACAGTGGCCTTCCCTCTACATGCGACTTTGAGCAAGCGTGGGATTGTGTGTGGGACAGAGAGTGCTACTGGTGGAATTGCTGGTCCAAAGGTGAAGCGGGTTTAAGAGTAGTGGCTGCTGTGGATGTCAGGCCTGGTGCGGTGGCTCACGCCTGTAATCCCAGCACTTTGGGAGGCCGAGGCGGGCAGAGCACGAGGTCAAGAGTTGAGACCATCCTGTCCAACATGGTGAAACCCCGTCTCTACTAAAAAAAATACAAAAAATAGCTGGGTGTGGTGGTGCACGCCTGTAGTCCCAGCTACTTGGGAGGCTGAGGCAGAAGAATCGCTTGGACCTGGGAGGAGGAGGCTGCAGTGAGCCGAGATCGCACCCCTGCACTCCAGCCTGGAGACTAAGCGAGACTCCGTCTCAAAAAAAAAAAAAAGAGTAGCAGCTGCTCTGGATGTCAACTGGTTTAACCTCTCCAGCCTAGTCAGTATGCCTGGACCAAGTATCTTGCTGACCTTAAAAAAAAATTGGCCAGGTGCGGTGGCTCATGCCTGTAATCCCAGCACTTTGGGAGGCCAAGATGGGGGGATCATTTGAGGTCAGGAGTTCAGGACCAGCCTGACCAACATGGTGAAACCCTGTCTCTCCTAAAAATACAAAAAAATTAGCTGGGTGTGATGGCACATGCCTGTAGTCCCAGCTACTCGGGAGGCTGAGGTAGGAGAATTGCTTGAACCTGGGAGGTGGAGGCTGCAGTGAGCCGAGATCGCGCCATTACACTCCATCCTGGGCAACAGAGCAATACTCCGTCTCAAAAAAATAAATAAAAAATAAAATAAATAAAGACATACATAAAAAGTGACCAACCCCAGTGGAGGGCATTTAGATATTATCTATGGAAATTACAAATGCACTAACTGAGGAGCTGAACGCCGGTGATTTAACCCCAAAGCTGACTTTTGATCACTATGGTATTCAAGATCATTAACATAATGATAATTCCCATTAAGCGTGTGTTCTGTGTCAGGCGCTATGGTAAGCACTCTGCATACATTACCCTGCTGCGTCCTCCCAGTACCACTGTGAAGTGGGTATCAGGAGCATCTCCGATAGATGTGGAACAAGACTCGGAGAGGTTAAGCAGCTGGTCCAAGGTCGCACAGTGGGAAAGGGCCAGGCAGGACGTGTGGCTCGGATTGGCCTAGTTTAGCACCTGTGCTGTCAAGCCCTGCCTCCTCCCTTGGCTTCACCAACAACGGCAATGCTGGCAGTGGTGGAGAGTGAGTGCCCGATGGGCAGGAGCTCTTGTTCTCCTAATGATGGGCCGTGGGCTTGGCCGGCATTATCTCACTGGACCCCCCACAAACTGCCCTGGAAGGAGAGACACCTAGGATGTCCACTACAGGAGTGGGACCTGAGGCTGAGGGGGAGGAGGTCACTGCTGAGGCCACACACCAAGCATACGCCCAACTCAGAACTGCCCACCAGGCCTGTGGGACCCCGAGCTTGCAATCACACTGCCACCTCCGGTGCAAGCCCAGGGTACTCTTGGGCCCATGTTCCTGCTGGGGAAGGTGGCCCGGGTGACCAGGCAGGGCACTCAGGGCCACTGCAGAGAATGGCCTGGCTGGATGTGGTCTAGTCTCAGTTGAGGGTGTCACCGCGTGTGTGGCTTTCACTGGGGAACCATGGATGCGAGAAAGTGGGGAGGCTGGCCTCTTTGTCCACCTGCTCTGCCTCCATTGATGGTTTTCCTCTTTGGGGCATTTTTATACACCCAGAAGGTGCTGGCTCCCCGGGAGGTGGGCAGTCACTCTGGGAGACCACATTTCTACAGAGCGAAGCCCATGGCAGTCACATCCGGCCTCAAAAACCACAGACAACGGACAACTCCAGTGCTCTACCTCTGGGCTGACCTCTGCCCCTGACTTGACACTTGAACTCGGCTGCCCTGCAGCACCTCCACTTGGGTATCTATCAGGCACCTCTCACTGAACATGGCCAAGGCCAAGCCAAGGGCTGTACCTTCCCCCAAACCTGCATCTCCCACAGTTTTCCTGCTCAGTTCATGGCTTCTCCTTTCAGCTGCTGTGGCCAAACCCCCTGTGGCATCCTTGACTTCTCTCATGCCCACAACTAGGCATCATCAAGAAATTTGGTTAACGCTGCCTTTAAAATACTATATCCAGAATCGTGCATCTCCGCCTACCTCTGTCCCCACCTGGTCCTGCTCCCACCCCACCTGACAGTAATCTGTAGCCAGGGGCTCCTGGGAACACCCGAGTCAGATCCTGCCCCTCCTCTGCACAGAAGACTGAGACCTGCGGCTCCTGTCCCACTCTCAGTACAGGACAACCGCCTCCCCGTGGCCCAAGAGGCTCCACATACTCTGCCCGTCCCCTCCCTGATCTCAGTTCTCACCACATGGGCCTCATCGCCACCACCTCAGGGTCTCCAACTAGCTGTTCACTTTCCCTGGAATGTTCTCATCCCCACTGACTTCTTTGCATTATTCCAACCTCACCTGAAATGTGATTTGCTCAGAGATGCCCCCCAAACCCTGTAAATCTCCTTCTGCACACTGTGACAGTTTCCACTTTTTTTTTCTTTTGAGACAGAGACTGCTCTGTTGCCCAGGCTGGAGTGCAGTGGCACAATCTCGGCTCACTGCAACCTCCACCTCCCGGGTTCAAGTGATTCTCCTGCCTCAGCCTCCCGAGCCGCTGGGATTACAGGTGCCCGCCACTATGCCTGGCTAATTTTTAGTAGAGATGGGGTTTCACCATGTTGGCCAGGCTGCTCTCGAACTCCTGACCTCAAGTGATCCGCCTGCCTTGGCCTCCGAAAGTGCTGGGATTACAGACATGAGACACCGTGCCCAGCCTAGTTTCCACTTCATACTCGGCATTACTGTTAATGTTTTATCATCATCGTGTCCCTGTAATTGTCCAATTCTCCCACCAGACTTTCAGCTCCAATAAGGCAGAAAACATGCCTGCCTGGCTCACCCGGTATCCCTGGCGCCCAGCCTGGTGGCATCATCAGTTGAATGCATGCACAGGTGAAAGGGCAGCTTCCTCCCCATCCTGGCTGCCCCTGCATTCTCCTGCCCCAGCTCTGCCCTCAGCAGGCCCTGATCCTGTCCCCTAGTTCTCTGGATCAGCCCTCGGTGACCTGCTGGCCTTCCTACCCCAAACTTGACATGCTGGGCAGGGGACAGCGTGAGAGCATGCTAAAACCCTGGGCCAGGCACAGTCTCTGGGCAGCCGGTGACCATGGAGGCAACCCTCCCAACCTGGGTGCTCTGAGGCCTGGGAAACGCTCACACTCTGTGGGTGAGGGGTTGTGGGTGGAGCTTATGGAGGGGTTCTGGGACCCAACAGGGCTCCGTTCATATCCTGATTACGCTGCTCACCAGCAGTGACCTGGGACAAGTGACAACCTTTCTGTGCCTCATCGTCCTCCTCTCTAACCGGGGGCAGTCGCAGTGCCCACCCTGTTGTGTTCCTGAGACGACTAAACATGAAGGCATGTGCAGTGTGCACACTGGACAATCCACGAAACTGTACAGCTGTTATTAGGATGGCTCGCTCCATCGGGGCTGGGCAAACCCCCACATCTGCTGCGAAGCCTGATCCTTGCCATCTTTAGTGAACCAACTTTTTTTTATTTTTTTATTTTATTGAGACAGGTGTTGCTCTGTCGGCCAGGCTGGAGTGTAGTGGATCATGGCTTGCTGTAGCCTCAAACTCTCGGGCTCAAGCCATCCTTCCACCTCAGCCTCTTGAGCAGCTGGGACCATAGGTGCGCACTGCCACACCTAGCTATATTTTTTTATTTTTTGTAGAGGCAGAGTCCCACTAGGTTGCCCACGCTGGTTTCGAACTCCTAGCCTCAAGCAATCCTCCCACCTCAGCCTCCCACAGTGCTAGAATTATAGGTGTGAGCCACTGTCCCTGGCCTTTTTTCTGAGTCTTGAATACATTGTAGACCTCACAATGATTTCTTTTTTTATTTTTTAGATGGAGTCTCACTCTGTCTCCGAGGCAGGAGTGCAATGCGTGATCTCAGCTCACTGCAACCTCTGTCTCCCGGGTTCAAGCGATTCTCCTGCCTCAGCCTCCTGAGTAGCTGGGATTACAGGTGCATGCCACCACACCCAGCTAATTTTTATATTTTTGGTACAGATAGGGTTTCATCATGTTGGTCAGGCTGGTCTTGAGCTCCTGACCTCAAGTGATCCACCCGCCTCGGCCTCCCAAAGTGCTG
Organism: Homo sapiens; assembly: GCF_000001405.40. Classification (NCBI taxonomy): domain Eukaryota; kingdom Metazoa; phylum Chordata; class Mammalia; order Primates; family Hominidae; genus Homo; species Homo sapiens. The sequence continues at coordinate 38,156,573 of NC_000019.10, read as the reverse complement.
GGATTACAGGCGTGAGCCACTGCGCCCAGCCTCATGATGATTTCTAAACACAGATTCCCCTGATCCATGTGGGCGTGTGTGTATGGCGGCGGCAATTTTAGGAGTCAACTATAACAAGGTCCCAAGGAAGTGAGAGGGGAGCCAAGCTCCAGGGGACAGAAGAGGGAAGGGAAGGGCAATGGTGAGTTTCTTTTTTGGGGCCCATGGTGTATGCAGGAAACACTTCCTCCCCATTTTGTACTTTGGTGTGTAATGAAATAGCCAAGCAACACTTTTCTCTTTTTCTGAACTTGCTGAGGAAAAAGGAAAAAAGGGATCCAAATCTATCTGTCTTGGAGCAAAGATGACAGAATTGCAGGCAGTGACATGATCAAATGTGCTGAGGACAGGAGCAAACCACGCACACCCTGGAGACAGCAAAGAGGCTGAGGCCCCAGCAGTTCGACCTGCTTCCCTGAAGCCCAACCACTGTCTCTGGTTTTTGTTTTTTTTGAGACAGAGTTTCTCTCTCGTTACCCAGGCTGGAGTGGAACGGCGCGATCTCAGCTTACTGCAACTTCTGCCTCCCGTGTTCAAGCGATTCTCCTGCCTCAGCCTCCTGAGTAGCTGGGATTATAGGCATGCACCATCACGCCTGGTTAATTTTTGTATTTTTAGTAGAGAAGGGGTTTCGCCAAGTTGGCCAGGCTGGTCTCGAACTCCTGATCTCAGGAGATCGGCCTGCCTCGGCCTCCCAAAATGCTGGGATTATAGGCGTGACACTGTCTCTGGTTTAAGAGAACCATGGGCTGAGATATTGAGGAATTCTCCAGGCCACGAATCTTGGGGCATGCAGCCTCTTCCGTACCCCACAGCATCTGGGGGAGCTGGTGTGCTGATGGGGTCAGCTCTCCCAGCTGCCTGGAAATTCTCAGACACTCCCTAAGAGGACATCTCCACCCCTCCCACTCTGACGTCACTGCTTTCTAACATTGCTCATTTGTTTGCTTCCTTCTGAATCCATCTCGCCCATTCATCTGCTGGTTCTCAGACTTCAAAGGGGCTACAAGTTTGTTCTATGGAATTATGTTTAAAATATTCATCTGAGTAGTTCACAACATGATTAATAATGGGGAAGACACATTGAGAAGATGCTCAAATCTTAGCAGTCTTCAGAAAAATGCAAATTACAGACATAAAGAATTCAAATTACAAAGCCAGCCGGGTGCGGTGGCTCGCGCCTGTAATCCCAGCACTTTGGGAGGCTGAGGTAGGAGGATCACCTGAGCCCAGGAGTTTGAGACCAGCCTGGGCAACATGGCAAGACGTTGTCTCTGTAAAAAATGTTTTTAAAAAATAATAAATAAAATAAAACCATAATGTGGTAGCACCACCTGCCCACCGGAATGAATGAAACACAGAGGCTGGTGAGGGCATGCAGCAACTAGAACTCTCACATGTTGATAGACAGAGTATAAGATGCTTTGTCATTTTGGGAAACAGTTTGGCACCTTCTTATAAAGTTAAACATACTAGCCCTGTGTGGTGGCTCACACCTGTAATCTCAGCACTTTGGGAAGCCGAAGCGGGTGGATCACTTGAGGTCAGGAGTTCAAGACCAGCCTTGGCAACATGTTGAAACCCTGTCTCTATTAAAAATACAAAATTAGCCAGGAGTGGTGGCTCATGCCTATGGTCCCAGGTACTTGGGAGGCTGAGGCAGGAGAATCGCTTGAGCCTGGGAGGCGGAGGTTGCAGCGAGCTGAGATTACGCCACTGCACTCCAGCTTGGGCAACAGAGTAAGACTCTGTCTCAAAAAAAAAAAAAAAATGAATAATAAAATAAAATAGCTGGGTGCGGTGGCTCACGCCTGTAATCCCATCACTTTGGGAGGCTGAGGCGGGTGGATCACAAGGTCAGGAGTTCGAGACGAGCCTGGCCAAGATGGTGAAACCCCGTCTCTACTAAAAATACAAAAATTAGCCAGGTGTGGTGGCGCATGTCTGTAGTCTCAGCTACTTGAGAGGCTGAAGCAGGAGAATTGTTTGAACCCAGGAGTTGGAGGTTGCGGTGAGCCGAGATTGTGCCATTGCACTCCAGCCTGGGTGACAAGAGCGAAACTCCGTTTAAAAAATAAATAAATAAATAAATAAAATAAAATCAACTTAAAAATATGACCTAGAAATTTCACTCCTAGGTGTATACCCTACAGAAATGTGAACCTATGTTCATCAAAAGACAGGCACAAGAATGTTCCTAGCAACACTGCTCTAGGCAGCCCAACTGCAAACAACCCAAATGTCTATCAACACCAAGATGTGGCAATAAGTTGTGGCTTATTCATACAACGGGGGATACCACTCAGATACTGCGATACCATGTACATTCACTGGCTGGCTGTCACAAATGTAACACTGAGTGACAGAAACCAGACACACATACACAAAATAGACACAGTGTGATTCTGTATTCTATGAAATTCAAAACCAGGCAAAGCTCAGGCTGAGAAGTAGGACAGGGTTCCTTTGGGGGTACTAACTGGGAGGGGAATGGGGGTTTGGAGAGGCTAGCCATGTTATATTTCCTGCCTGGGTGTGTCCACTCTGCGATAGGTTATCAGGCTGTGTCTTCATCATGTAGGCTCTTTTCTTTTTTTTTCTGAGACAGAGTCTTGCTCTGTCGCTCAGGCTGGAGTGCAGTGACTCGATCTCGGCTCACTGCAACCTCTGCCTCCCAGGTTCAAGCAATTCTCCTGCCTCAGCCTCCTGAGTAGCTGAGATTACAGGCATGTACCACCACGCCTGGCTAATTTTTGTATTTTTAGTAGAGACAGGGTTTCCCCATGTTGGCCAGGCTGGTCTTGAATTCCTGACCTCAAATTATTATCCGCCCGCCTTGGCCTGGCCTCTTTTTTTTTTTTTTTTGAGACAGAATCTTGCTCTGTCACCCAGGCTGGAGTGCAGTGGCACGATTTCAGCTCACTGCAACCTCTGCCTCCCAGGTTCAAGTGATTCTCCTGCCTCAGCCTCCCAAGTAGCCGGGATTACAGGTACATGCCACCATGCCCGGCTAATTTTTGTATTTTTAGTAGAGATGGGGTTTCCACATGTTGGCCAGGCTGGTCTTAAACTCCTGACCTCAGGTAATCCTCCCACCTCGGCCTCTCAAAGTGCTGGGATTATAGGCGTGAGCCACCCCGCCTGGCCATGTGGGCTCTTAACATGTGCCGTATGTCCATAAAAGTTGAAAACAACACAGGAGGGTTTATGTAATGAAAAGCCACGGGACGCAGCCAGTCCTGCTCCTGAGAGCTCAATGCTTAATCTTTTTCAGCTACCTTCCCTGGTGGCTCCCAGCTCCATGTCACACAGCTGCACGCCGGCTCTGGCCTTATCAGCGGGAGCAGACGCCACCTGCCGATGCCCTGTCTGGACGGATAAGGATCTCGCTTGCTGGTTCCGCTGCTCTCCTAGGTGCCCTCTCTAGTCTTACATGTGGCGCTTACAGCTTTCTTTTGTGTTTTATCCGTCACTCACAAGAGGGGGAGTGTTGCCTGTCAAGCTCTAAGTAAGAGGTCCTGCGGAGTGAGGCAGGCGGGTGGGCGCAGCAGCTGGTGGGGGCCCTACCTGGCTTCTGGCGTTCCATGGTGCTCTCCTGGCTGGTCAGGCCGCCGGAAGAGGAGTCGCCGCTGGACGTCCCATCGTGGCTGAAGTGGGGATCAAGAGATAGCAGGGGGTGTGGGGCAGCCGTGTACCTGCAGGGGATGAGAAGAACGTGCCCAGGGTTAAAGATCAGCCTATGTCGAAAACCACCTGAGCCTGAGCCTGAGCCTTGCTCGCCAGTGGGTTTTAGACACACGGGAGGCTCCGCTGTGGATGAGAGAAAGCGGTTAGGAAGGCTGGATGAGTAAGCCTGGAAACGTGCTATTAGCTGCGGGTCCGGGATGAGAGTCTCGCCTGGGAAGCCTGCCAGGGAGCTGGTGGCGGCGGGGCAAGGCGGGTTCCTAAGGGAAGGAGGGGGCAGAGGCCGCTTGGGCCGACAGCCCTACCCCTGGGCTCCTCTCAGGGGTCCTGTTTTCTGGCTGTGACATGGGGTGAATGTCCCCAGCAGCTACTGCCCCAGGCCTCTCTCGGGCTGCCTTGCTCTGATGGAGACAGCAGGTTGGGAAGCATTCATGGGTGCAGCAGGCCCTGAGTTGGGCAACTGGGGCTTCAAAGCTCACCATGGCCTCTTGCCTAGACAGATGCAGCCACTTCCTAGCCCACAGCCTCAGTTTCCTTAGCTGTCAAGAGGCGATAACAGTAGGTCCTTCTTCTCAGGACTGAAGGATGCCCCGTCATGTCCAGTGTTTAGGCAGGGGTTTGATTCCTGACACATGGTGACTTGGGACACCTGGCTGATGGGCTAGAACTCTGTGTGTTCTACCACGCCCAGCTCACGAGGTAACATTTTCTACCTCATAGAGTTGGGGAGTGGATGGAATAAAGTTATCCCCTAGACAGAGGTCCTCCTGGAGGCCAGCTTCGCACACCCACATGCAAGGCTAGGATTTAAGGGAGGTGGTGGTAGAAGGCTCTCACTGTGCCCTCCTGTCCCAGTGGCATTCTCTATTTTTTTTTTTTTTTTTTTTTTGAGATGGGGTCTTGCTCTGTCAACCAGGCTGGAGTGCAGTGGCACAATCTCAGCTCACTGCAACCTCCGCCTCCCGGCTCAAGCGATCCTCCCACTTCAGCCTCCTGAGTAGCTGGTACTATAGCTGCATGTTACACGCCCGGCTAATTTTTAGTATTTTTTTGTAGAGATGGGTTTCACCATGTTGCCCAGGCTGGTCTTGAACTCCTGGGCCCAAGCGATTTGCCTACTTCAGCTTCCCAAAGCGCTGGGACTACAGATGTGAGCCACCATGCCCGGCCCCAGTGGCCCTGTCTACAACCATGGGGTGAATCTTGTAGACACTTCCTAACGTCCAGTCCTCCTTGGATCACAGCCGGTTGTGGTAGAAGGTCTTCTCCCTGTCTGAGGTTGGTTCAGAGACAGGCCTGTGACAAAATTTTGGCTGATGAGACACGAAGGGAGGTGAGTTATTAAGACGCCCACAAAACATTCCAGTTCTCCACTTCCAAGCAGGTGGCAGGACACACTTCCAGGTCCCTTGAGACTGGCTGAATGGAGTCATGTGACCAGCGCTCATAGCTGAGCTGTCAGGGAAGTGACTTGGAGTTGCTGGCTGCCTGGGTAGCCTGGGTCCTGAGAGGTCCCTGCCAACCAGCAGTGGAACTGCGGAGGGGCTGAGAAATAAACGTTGCTGATTTAAGCCACGGAGACTTTCAGGTGTCTGTTACCCAGCACCGTCTGACTGAAATGGGGTAAGTCTGCCCAGAGGCTTCTGGGAAATCTCCTTGCTCCTAAGAGGGATGACAAGAAAAGATGGCCTCTCTTTGCCCTCCAGATGCTGCTGGGTCCAGATTTAACATCATAAGCTGCTGCTGCCCTGTTGCTACCAGGCTGCAGGTAAGACCCACTCTGATGGTGGAAGAGAGGAGGCAGAAGGAATCTGGCCCTTGATAATGTGGTCAAGATGCTGGGTTCACCCTCCCTGGAACCTGCCCTGCTCCTGAGCTTCCTTTTCTGTGAGATAACAAATTCCTACAATGTTTGAGCCAAATTTTGGTTACTTCAGCCAGAAGCACCTCACTGACACAGGCCCTGTGCTCTGGGGGAGTTACTGAGCCTCCATTAATAATGTTGATATTAGCCAGGTGTGGTGGCTCACGCCTGTAATCCCAGCACTTTGGGAGGCCGAGGCAGGCAGATCACTAGAGCTCAGGAGTTCGAGACCAGCCTGGCCAACATGGCAAAACCCCATCTCTACTAAAAATATAAAAATTAGCCAGGTGTGGTGGTGTGTGCCTGTGACATCCCAGCTACTTGGGAGGCTGAGGCAGGAGAATCAATTGAACCTGGGAGGCGGAGATTGCGGTTGCAGTGAGCCAAGACTGTGCCACTGCGCTCCAGCCTGGACAACAGAACAAGACTCCATTTCAAAAAAAAAAAAAAAAAAAAAGTGTTGATATTGCAATTCCCTGGTTGGCTCCTGGCATCTGTATTTTCAACTTGGGAGGATCTGGTAGGGGGAGGTGAGGTGATAAACTAGGATCCCCCAAGATGCCAAAGAGGAAGTAACTGACTTATCCAGGGTCACCCTGCCAGCTCAAAGCCAGGACTGTCTCTACAGGGACCCTGCCCTAATCCCCTGGCTTCAATGCCCTGAGCACAGTAGAGAGGTGTTTCAAGGGGCACTGCACTCTCTGAAAACTCAACTCCACTCACTTGCCAGGAAAAAACACACCATCCTCCCTGCCCTCAACCAGACCTTGACCACTGACACCTCCAGGAAAGGAAAACAGGGCCCAAACACAGGAAGTACGAAACGTGAATTCTTACTTTTCTCAATGTCTGAGGGCCCAGTTTCCAGCAATCAAAGGGATTTTACAAAAGCAACTTTGACTATAAGCAATCTTCATCTTACTAGCTGACTTCACACCTGGCTAGCTGCCTGGTAAAATGTGGCTCCATCCTTGCTGGAGTTCGGAGTGTTGATGCACTTACTCAGTTTTCCCAAAAAGTCG